>NC_000016.10:74259469-74562500 GCF_000001405.40 Homo sapiens | reverse complement strand
GCAACAGAGTGAGACCATCTACAGAAAATAAAAAAAAGAAAAGCTTCCTTTAGCTGGTGAAAATACACTTTGGTATAATGCATTAAAGGCTTGCAGCATTTATTCATATCAGAGTTTGGGAGAGGAAGATACATGAGGTTCTATTATTAGTGGCATAGGCCTTCCAGTGACTATTTCATAATGAGTCAACTTATATTTTCTACTGGAAGCAGATGAGGTTGTCATCAATCTGCAATACCTTTGACCAAGGCAACCAGTCAATTCAGTTAGCTTCACCTAAAGCTGTTGTGTCTGTAATACCTTACTTAACTGTTTACAACTTGTCCAGTGAAACAAGTACCACTATCACTGGAGATTTCTCCAGGAATGCCCCGTGAGGGAAACACATTTTCTGACAACCTTTTAGCTACTGTTATAGCATCAGCCTTCTTGCATGAGAAAGCTTTTACCAGAAAACGTGTTGAAAATGACAGTTGAATGAAATTCCTCTATAAGTGTTCCAATGACCCATCAGGTAGCTGAAGTTTTAATTATCTTCCCAGGTTGTAGGTTTGATAAGCCAAACCTTGGTCATAAACCATTTTTAGCGATTTAGAGCAGTCACCACACCAATGTATATGTTTTCTATTTGGATCATTTTCTGTCTTCCATGATGAGTCATGGAGTGCAGAGCTTTTAATAATGGAAGATTTACGGATTCAGGAAGGACCAGGTGGCTGTGCAGGATCTCTGTGATTCCATGCTTAACATTGCATTTATAGCCTGTTAAATACCAATTTTGTATCTCCAATTCAGGTGCATAGCACTGTTCATTAAATGGGTTATCATAGGTAATTTGACTTGGAACATAGAGTTCATTCAAGTTGCATATCTTAACAGTTTTAGTACTGGCTGATTTAGCATGAAAATCTGGCAGAGTATTTTTCTTAGTATTCAGTTAATTTTTGTCCTGCTTGGGTTAGCAGTTTTATAAACCAGTCTCTTTATTAAAGTTCTGGGAATTCTTACCCAGTCCAAATTAGATGAGCCTAAAGTTATCAGAAACTTGTATTCAGTAGTGCTTATTAGGGTCCTTTCCATTACTTTCCATGAACGTTCTTGAAGACATAATGCTCTAGGATTTTACTTGGTTGTAAAGAGCTTAAAGAAAATGCATCCGTATAAAGCAATTAACTGTGGAAACAAAATGATCATGGTTAAAGACATAATTGACAAGAAAATTTGGTTGTGGTCATGAAGGGTGTGAGGGTGCAGGCCTAGGTGCCAATATTGGGGGCAGGGACCTCAGCCTTCTGAGGCTACTCACAGGCATGCTGCCCCCCATGCCCAGCTCTGACACCAGCAGGAGGAAGGTGCTGGCTGCTGCAGGATCCTGGCTTGCTGCCTGTTGGCCCCGATCCTGCCCCATCCCTCCAGCTGGGCACCCCCAGGTGCTGCCATGCAACCAAGCAGGACTGTGCAGGACTGCGCAGGACTGCGTGGTGCCAGACTATATCTCTTCTAAAAATTCATTCAATTTGAAATAACCTTTAAATAACTTTTTTTCTCAGCAAACACATATTTTTATGCCTTTATAGCTTTCCTTACAAAAACATATCTTACTTTCTTTACATATTCTATATACAGAATTGCTTCTCTCTTTCCTTCCTTCTTTCCCTCCCTTCCTCCCTTCTTTTTTTCTTTCGAGATGGGATTGCTGTGTTGCCCAGTCTGGTCTCAATCAAACTCCTGGCTTCCAGAGATCCTCCTGCCTCAGCCTCCAAGTAGCTGGGGTTACAGGCCTAAGCCACCATGCCCAGCTCAGGTTTAATTTTTCTTACAATTAGTTGCTTAAGCTTTGCCTTTTATAAAGAGTTTTTAGGGCTAGGCGCAGTGGCTCATGCCTGTAATCCCAGCACTTTGGTAGGCTGAGGCAGGCAGATCACCTGAGGTCAGTTCAAGGCCATCCTGGCCAACATGCTGAAACCCATCTCTACAAAAATACAAAAATTAGCTAGGCTTGATGGCAGTCAAGTTACTAGTTACTGCGGGGGCAGGGGGGCGGCGGGGGGAGGCTGAGGTGGCAGAATCGCTTGAACCTGGAAGACGGAGGTTGCAGTGAGCTGAGATCGTGCCATTGCACTCCAGCCTGGGCGACAGAGTGAGACTCCGTCTCAAAAAAAAAAAAAAAAAAAGACAAAAACTGAGGTCCCAATTCAAAGCAGTTAGGAGGAAATCCCCCCTTTCTTTGATTCTGGAGTCCTGGGGGAGCTTCAGCCTTTTTGTTCTATTCAGACCTTCAACTGATGGAATGGGACCCACCCACATTGGGAAGGACAGTCTGCTTTGCTAGTCTGCCTGTCCAAGTGCTAATCTCATCCAAAAACAGCACCGTAGACCCACCCAGAACAATGTTTGGCGAAACGCGTGTGGCCCAGTGAAGTTGACACAAAAAATTAACCATCATCCTCATAAAATACCTAGTACAATCTGAATAAAATGTGTACCATTGTTGGTTCTTTAGTTGTGACAGATTGCACTATATAAAGTAAGCTATTAACAATAGGGGAAAATGAGAAGGCATATGGGAACTCTGTGTGCTGTCTTCTCAACTTTTCCATTAAGTCTAAAATTCTCCAGTGGTTTATTTTTTAAAATAATAAATTCAAAATAAAATTATGTTTTAGGCATGTTACATTTTAGGTGACAGTGGACATTCAAAGTGAATACATTAAGAAACTGAAAATACATATGTCAGAAGGCTGAAGATGAAAAATGAAGTCTTCATCAATAGAGACATGATACGAAGACGTAATCTCGGTGGGAATGAGTAATGAAGAAAAAGCAGGCAAAGAATTAAGTTCTAAGAATGTCTAGAATTAGAAGGGAAGAAGAGATCCAAGACTATCTGCATATTTCACTCTCTAAAATTAAGATGAGAGAGGTTTGAGGAGGAGAGAGCCTGGCCTAAAGAGGACAGAGGATTAAGGAAGAGTTATATTTTTATTTGACTGTATTTGTGTTGTCCCCTGCCCCCCCATCGCCCCTCCTCCCCCAGCCTTACCCTCACCTTTTCTAGAGACAGGATCTCCCTCTGTCACCCAGGCTGGAGTGCAGTGGTGTGATCATAGCTTGCTGCAGCCTCAAACTCCTGGGCTCAAACGATCCTCCTGCCCTCAGCCTCCTGAGTAGCTTGGATTACAGTTGCACACCACCATGCCCAGCTAAGTTTTTTTTTTTTTAAACAGCAGGAAGCCTAAAGATGGGTAAAAAGGATTACTTCTGATAGTAAAAGTCATATGAAGCAGGAAATAAGGAAATGTACTCAGATACCTCGTTTAAAAAATAAAAGGCCAGGCCCAGTGGTTCAGGCCTGTAATCCCTGTACTTTAGGAGGCTGTGGCAGGAAGACTGCGTGAAGCCTGGAGTTCATGACCAGCCTGGGCAACATAGCAAAAAAATCTAAAAAATGAGTCACACATAGTGGGATACACCTATAGTCCCAGCTGCTCAGGAGGCTGAGGTGGGAGAATTGCTTGAGCCCAGTTCTGGGATGCAGTAAGCTATGTCTGTGTGACTGCATTCCAGCCTGGGTGACGGAGTGAGACCCCGTCTCTAAGAAAATATAAAAAGTAAAAAGAAGATGTACAGTCTGTGACAAAATAGGTAATAGAATTAGGTTAAATTTTATTTTATTGTAAGCCATAATTAAATGTTTGAAGACAGATTGAAACATTTATCTGCCCTTCTCTTTTCTTCTGACTATTCTAATCCACCATGAAACTCGTAGGGTCAAAATAGTTAATATAGGAAACTTTCCGCATCCTTTGGGGGTAAGAAATAAGTTACAAAAAAATTTTAAAGCTAAAAATAAAATTGGAGATTTCTTCACATTTTCTAAAAATGTCTTAAGGTTCTCAAGTCCTGAAATTTACAAATGTGTGTGTATCCATGGAAACATGGGCGAAAGCCATGCAGGTTAAAGTCAGACTCAAATGTTGTAAAGCAGGTGCTCAGCGAGTTAACAAATATTATAAAATCCTAAATTATACTTAACCTTTTTGGTATAATCTTCAGTAATACAGTTCAAACATTTGTGCACACACTTTCATTTTATTATCCATTATTCATAATTGAGCACATGGAAGGCTGGCTTAACACCTGAAAGCAATCTGTTACATTGAGATGCTTCTTTTTGCTGATACTAACACTTGCATTTTCCCCCAAATCCAATAAAATACTCTAATAATTTCACAGAGATGCATCAATGTGGTGATACTGCCAAAAGTGAAATGTTGGTGAGCCAGTACCACCTTCACTCAGTAGCTCAAAAGTTTGTCAGCTGGTGAACACAAAATATAAAATCCACATTGAAAAGCCTCTTAGGTACATAAGTATATAATATATGAAAATCAGACTGTGAAAGTTGAAGACCATCTGTGAATAAAAATGCAAATATTTTAAATTTTTAACTACCTACAGTTTCAGGGTTTTACTGCTTTCCTTATGTGTGTGTCTAGCATTTAAAATTTTTCTATTTTGTTCAGCATATGTTCTTTACAAATGAGTGGTATGTCTTCCATAAAAAAGGACTCATTATCCCCTCAGCACAATCTTCAAGACAGGACACTTTCTATGGCCAGGCCTGGTGGCTCACGCCTGTAATCCCAGCACTTTGGGAGCTGAGGCAGATGGATTACTTGAACCCAGGAGTTGAAGACCAGCCTAGAAAGCATGGTGAAACCCCAACCCTACCAAAAAAAAAAAAGACACACAGGACACTTTCTACCAAGGAACCAGCTGGCTGCTTCCAGATAGCTGCACCAGACTTCTTTCAGATGCTTCTGGGATATGGTCTTCTGACCATGTTCTTTAGCCTCCTTTGCTTCCTGTTACCTGCTCAGTCTCAAGAGCTCCTGACTCAGGCTTTTGGTCTGTTTTCCTGAAATCTTCTGCGTCTGGACTAGTATCTGAATTAACTATGCCTAGAGTTTTGGCCTACTAGTATCTGCAAAGCATTCTCACTTCCACCTGCTCACACTCTTGGGCTAAGTGGTCACCCATAAGTAAGCCTATGCTCTGGCCCCTCCCCAGACCTAAAGAGAGCTTCTTGCCTCTCCCCAGACCTAAAGAGAGCTTCTTGCCTATTTTGCTATCTAAAGACCTCTATGATTAAAATTTTCCTTTAATTGAGTCTCACAGCTTTACTTCAGCACACTTACTATTACATAGTAATGGATAAGCAGGAAATAAAGATCTACAAAAGTCAAACAAATCATATATAGTTATAGAAACATTTGTAATATTTGAGGTAAGGATTTACAAAGCTGTTTTATCAAAGGTCCTGGGTTTCTTCTAGTTTACTTAGCTCTTTATACAATGATTGTAATAACCACAAACTTTTTGCTAACCCCACACCAATTAGGGGTGCTGTTGAAACTGGTCAGATGCAAAAATATAAAGATTCTTTCTACTGCTTATCTTTAATGTATGGGGAGTAAATCTTCCTCCTGCCAAATTATAAAGTACTTCACTGTTCCTGAGCAGTGAAAATTAGAATATATTTTATTTATGAGAATGCATTTAAATAATTGCTGTATTATTTAAAAGCTATATTATTAGAGTTGTTCTTATCAGCCTACATATGGAAATAGTCTGTAAACAGACTGTTACACAGTTTCAGCTATTCTCTTACTCATTGGCTAAAGACTATTAGGTTGTAATAATAATATTATTTTATATATTTTTATTAGTAATAATATTTATTATAATATATATATTTGAGACAGAGCAAGACCTTGTCTCAAAATTATGTATATATAAAATAATAAAAAAATAATAATATTATTCCAACCTGCCACCCAGGTTGGAATGCAGTGGTATAATCCTAGCTCACTGCAGCCTCTGATGGCTAGGCTTAAGCATTCCTCACACCTCTGCCTCCCCAGTAGCTGAGACCACAGGCATGAACCACCACGCCCAGCTGACTATTTTATTTGTAGAGGCATTGTCTCACCAGGTTGCCCCAGAGTGTATTAGATTATTTTGTGTATAATCTGTATATTTCATACTAAAGTTGGTTTAAATAAATTGTTTGGGTTAGCCCCAAACAAAACCAAAAATTTTATGGAAAGAGGTCCATTTTTCCTAGTCAAAGAACTTTAAATTTTCTAGTAAAGTATTTAAAGTCATGATTTATTGTAAAATGGTAAGATAATCAATAGCTACTTACTGTTGCTTGTTTCCAGCACCTAACTGTATATCTTATTGTAATGGATCTTTCCTGTAGGACTATTTCACTTTGTTATAGTAAGAGTAAGAGGGACATTTTGTGATTTAGGAATTTGTAATTAACTGTTAACTGTAATATAAAGTAGGCGATTTATTCTTACCAGTGGCTCATGCCTATAATCCCAGCACTTTGAGAGGCTAAGGTGGGAGCATTGCTTGAGCCCAGGAGCTGGAGACTAGCTCAGGCAACATAGTGAGACCCTTCTCTACAAAAAAATTAAAAATTGGCCTCATGTGATGGCATGTGCCTGTAGTCCCAGGGATTCAGGAAGCTGAGGCGGGAGGATTGCTTGAGCCCAGAAGAGTGAGGCTGCAGCGAGCCATGATCGTGCCACTACACTTCACCCTGGGTGATACAGCGAGACCAAGACCCTGTCTCAAAAGAAAAAGAAAAAAAAAAAGATGAATTATCACCAGCTATAATTGTCTTTGTGTGACTTAGTGACTTGATTTTTCCACAGAAATCTTTTAAATCTTAGGCTAATTGTTCCTGAAACCCAGCATGTTTCTTTTCTTTCTTTCCTTTTTCTTCTTTTCTTTAGAGACAGGGATCTCTCTCTGTTGCCCAGGCTGGAGCACAATGGAGGAGTCACAGCTCACTGTAGCCTTGAATTCCTGGCTTAAGTGATCCTCCTGCCCCAGCCTCCCAAGCAGCTAGGACTACAGGCACACACCACCACACCTGGCCAATCTTTTAATATTTTTTTGTAGAGATGAGGTCTCTCTGTGTTGCCCAGGCTGGTCTTGAACTCCTGGGCTCAAGCAGTTGTCTTGCCTCAGCCTCCCAAAATGCTGGGATTATAGGTGTGAGCCACCGCACCCAGCCTGGAATCCCATTTTAAATGTACTGATGGAGTTGACAATGTCAAGGAAACTTGCGTTAATTTTTAAATTTTGTTTTTTGTGTAGTGGATCCTTTCACAACATGAATAATTGCCCAATTTTATGTTCTGTCAATCTAGGACAGACCACTAGATAAGACAAGATTATAATTTGGGGAGTTGGCTTTCTTGATCAGTTTTCAGTGAAGGAAAAGTTACAATTTGTAAACTTATTTTTAACACCACCATAGTGATCATTTGATCAGTTTGTGAGAATGGCCCATCTGGTGGGTATCTCCAAGCACAGTTACAACTGTTTTTTCTTTTTTCCCGTTTTATCACAAAGTCTTATAAACTGAAGGCAATTATATGTTTTTATTATTTATTTATTTTAGACACAGGGTTTTGCTCAGTCGCTCAGGTTGGAGGGCAGTGGTGAGATTATAGCTCATTGCAGCCTCAAACTCCTGGGTTCTGGCAATCCTCACACCTCAGTCTCCTAAAGCACTGGGACTATACGTGCATGCCACCATGTTTGGCTGCAGTTACATCTTTTTATGTTAGTGTGTGATCTTTATTTGGGCATCTGTCAGTAGGTCCACTGTTGAACAGAGAACTAGTTAAAGTGACAAACAATGATGTCATTTGCTTTGCAAGTTGAGGAAATGAATATTAATTAGATATATCCACCAAAATGTAATTTTATTCATGCACTTTACCAAAGTTCCTTTCTATACAATAGTTCTTTTCTTGGCTGTTCATTTTCATCGTGATTTAATGAAGTCCCATCTGCTCAATTTAAGTGACCATCTTACATTTAGCCAGAATATATTGAGAAAAGTGCTGGAATCCCTCTCATTTTTTTATTTTTCTTTTTTGAGATGGAGTCTTTTTCTGTCACCCAGGCTGGAGTGCAGTGATGCAATCTGCTCACTGCAACCTCTGCTTCCTGGGATGAAGTGATTGTCCTGCCTCAGCCTCCCGAGTACCTGGGGTTACAGGCGCCCACCACCGCGCCTAGCTAATTTTTGTATTTTTAGTAGAGATGGGGTTTCACTATGTTGACCAGGCTGGTCTGGATCTCCTGACTTCAAGTGATCCGTCCGCCTCGGCCCCGCAAAGTTCTGAGATTACAGGCGTGAGTCACGGCGCCTGGCTCTCCTCCCATTTATTGAGGAAATCCTGTCTTAAATCATTTTGTAACAAAGTAGGGTTTAAATAAATAATTCTGAGGAATTGTACACATTGTATTTTTTTTTCCTGACTGATTTTGTGCGAAAGGTAATTCCCTAGTTATCTCCCATAGATGACTATATTTTGTGTTGTACCTGGTTCTTAAATACTCAGTCACTGAGATTTACTTAGGCCATGGTTGAGAATGTTGAAAGCTTACGCTTTGGTTGAGAATTTTAAATGATCTCATAAATCTAGATTGACAAATTGTATTTTTGCATATGTGAGTTGTGCTATTGTCAGATAGCTACTTCTATTAAAGAGCTGATTACCAAGTTATGGAGTTTGGATATGCAGTGAAAATTCAGCTTTTAGAAGCCACAAGAAGACCAAAATGATAGCAGAATACAATAACTGAAGTTGCAACTGCTATGAAGTCTATACTATTTTAAAGAATGTTCCATGGCCTGGCACGGTGGCTCAAGCCTGTAATCCCAGCACTTTGGGAGGCCGAGGCGGGTGGATCACGAGGTCAGGAGATCGAGACCATCCTGGCTAACATGGTGAAACCCCGTCTCTACTAAAAGTACAGAAAAATTAGCCGGGCGTGGTGGCAGGCACCTGTAGTCCCAGCTACTCGGGAGGCTGAGGCAGGAGAATGGTGTGAACCCGGGAAGCGGAGCTGGCAGTGAGCCGAGATCGTGCCACTGCACTCCAGCCTGGGCGACAGAGCGAGACTCCGTTTCAAAAAAAAAAAAAAAAAAAAACCGAAACAAAACCAAAAAAAGAATGTTCCAGAAAATTGCCATTTATTTATCTAATATGTACTGTTAAGCTAGAATCTGTCAGAATAGTCAAATTTTGAAGAAAATAGTAGCCGAGCATGGTGGTGTGCACCCATGATTCCAGCTCCTTGGGAGGCTAAAGCAGAAGCATCACTTGACCCCAGGAATTCAAGACCAGCATGGGCAACATAGCGAGACCCTGTCTTTAAAAAAAATTTTTTTTTTTTTTTTTGAGACAGAGTTTGCTCTTGTTGCCCAGGTTGGAGTGCAGTGGCGTGATCTCAGCTCACTGCAACCTCCGCCTCCCAGGTTCAGGTGATTCTTCTGCCTCAGCCTCCCGAGTAGCTGAGATTACAGGCGCCTGCCGCCACACCCGACTAATTTTTTGTATTTTTAGTAAAGACAGGGTTTCATCATGTTGGCCAGGCTGGTCTCAAACTTCTGACCTCAAGTGATCCGCTCGCCTCTGCCTCCCAAAGTGCAGGGATTACAAGCGTGAGCCACTGCGCCTGGCCAAAAACAAGTTTTTTTTAAAAAAAGTAAAATAAGGGCCTGTGACACAACTGAACTTCAATATAAATTGTTTCCAAAACTAGGGAAGACATTCAGAATCAAACCACAGGTTAAACACTGGCTTAAGCAGAAGGACCTGCATTTTTTTTTCTGTCTATAAGTTTATTCAATGCAAAATAATCCTCTCCAGTTTTACTGAGGTCACTGACCACACCCACAACCAAATCTGCTTCTAAACTGGAATTTGGTTGCTGACCCAACCCCAGCCTCGGCTTTCTCATCGGACCAGGGGACACAGCACTCTGTCTGTGGGTGTCTTTTGGCTTCCCCTTTTGTGAGCTTTGCGGGTTGCTCACCCTCCAGACCTTTAGGCCAAAGCCTGCCAGTCTCTGGATGACTGTGGTATAGGGTGGAAGGCACAGTCTCACGGGGCAGATGGAGGTAATCAGAGATACTGGATACAGTCGTTGGTAAGGTACCAGTAGAAATGTCTCCAGACAAACCGTTCCTTCATGTAGCCTTAAGACTTGAGAGACTGCATGGCCTTCATGATGTGAAGGTTGGGCACATTCTTGTCTTCTGCCAGGTCTGGGTACTTAGGAAGGTGGACATCCTTCTTGGCCACCATGACTCCCTCCTTAAAAAGGAGTTCATAGATGGCAATCCCGTTCTTCTTAGGCATCAGCATCTTGGTGGCTGCAGGGCCCAGGTCCGGGGCTGGAGAGACCTGCAACTTAACAGAGATCGCATCTTCCAAGTCAGGACATTTGAAGGAAGAGATGCTAATCCATCCCGTAGAAGACAATATTGTGTCTCTGGTAAATGTTGGATGTGCTTTTGATTACTCAGAAAAATTTTTATATAACCTATTTTCCACATCCCCCAAACTAGATCATAGCAGTGGGGCTTAAAGGGTATGCAAACTTCAAACTTTTTAGATTAAACTTAACTCTTCGGTAGGAAAGGTGAAGGACTGGTAGGAAAAGGAAAACTAGAAAGATATTTGCCGTTTTCTTCCGTTTATAATTAACTCCCTATTCTAGACTACCTTCTGTTGTATCTACTTGGACTAATGGCGAAGACGTTTAAGGATCTGCAGGTGCAAAAAGTATCTTAAAAAGATACCTTCCCCACTTCCCTTCTCTTTCTTCTCCCCAGTAATTCTCCTTGTACATTTGAAATGGGCTGTATGACATCATCATAGCCTTTGGTAATGACACCTAAAGGCAGGTCCCCCTCCCCCCATACACTGACACCCACACCTCTTCCCAAATTAGCCAACTGACACTTTAAAGTTGTATTTTCTTTTATTTAAAAAAAAAAAAATAAGGGCTGGGCATGGTGGCTCATTCCAGCACTTTGGGAGGCCGAGGTGGACAGATTGCTTGAGCTCAGGAGTTCGAGACCAGCATGGCCAACATGGCAAGACGCCCGTCTCTACTAAAAATTAAAAAAAAAAAAAAAAAAATAGCCAGACATGGTGGTGTGCGCCTGTGGTCCCCAGCTATTTAGGAGGCTGAGAGAGGAGGATTGCTTGAGCTGAGGTGGGGGTTGGGGCTAAGGTTGCAGTGAGCCGAAATCACACCACTGCACTCCACCCTGGGTGACAGAACGAGACCTTGTCTCAAAAAATAAATAAATAAAATAAGATATAGCACTTGCTTTATATGAAGCAGTTCATAAAACCCATTTTGCCAGCTCAGGACTAATGAAAAACTATTTTTATTATGTATAATTAACCTAATTTAGGAAAAAGAAGCAGACTTACGGGAAAGGCTAGCACTGAGACAAGGAAGCTCAAAAATTGCTTTCCTGAGATTAGTATTACCAGCCCCAGTATAGCATTTGAAATTGTTATTAGAATTCTTGAACCTAGTTGCTCAAATCTAGGGCTGAGTTTGTAAGGGTTAAATAAGTTGTCCGTTAGATTCAACATGAATATTTCCAGGGTTGCTCTAACTTCAGACATTAGATCAGCTTATTTGATAGGCTGGAGGTGTGTTATTGTACAAAATTTGGAATGGTGGCTCGAGAGGAATAAGAGATTCCATCCCACTGATACTGCCTCTCAGCTTCTCACATCTACTGCCCTTGTTCAGCATTATCAAAATGTAGCATTCCAAAAGCTGTTTCTGTATATTTCACCTTTATATTTATAGTATCACTAAAAAAAGATTTCATTTAAATCTCTAAATTTTTTTTTTCAGAAGATTGCTGCCAAGCTTGTCCCCCTCTTGACTTTTGCATCTTTGTCTTATTTCACACACTGAGAACAGTTACCTAATTGAGTCTTAAGATTATAAAATCCAGTATAAAAACATCTTACAATTAAAAAATACTCTTTAATTTAAAAAATTATGTTTTAAATTTAGAGCTTATCACGTTTCATGGCCCAAAATAGCACATTGAGTTTTTGGCATCTTCTCGCCTGCCCATGCCAATGAAAGCCACACCATATGGTATGACTGCTGTTACTTTAGGAAACCCACACACGGCGGACACATTGCCAGGCATGAAGCTGAGGCTCTGCTCTCATATGCTTATCTTTGTAAGCCAACATATTGACCAGGATATATTAGGATTCCAGTACATCATGGTCTTCTATCAATTGAGACTTCGAGCTCTTTCTCCAACAGCTTTAACATTTGGCCACATAATGAAAACACATATTCTAAACATCATGGACTCTCTTACTCAACTTCAGGAAGAAGCTTTTGAATGACAGCTGCAAGAAAGGAAAGCACAATCAATAAGTATTTTAGTGCCCCTTAAGTTCTAGCACCCGTCCACCACTGTGCCCTTTCTTTTTATATTATTTTTATTTTAGAGATCTTGCTCTGTTGCTCAGGCTGGAGTGCAATGGTGTGATCATGGCTCATTGCAGCCTCAACTTTCCCCAGCTCAAGCAGTCTTGTCCTCTCAACCTCCCAAGTAGCTGGGAATACAGGTGCTCCCACCACGCCCGGCTAACTTTTTTTTTTCTTTTTGGCACATTTGGGGTTTTGCTATGTTGCCCAGGCTGGTCTTGAACACCTGGGCTTGAGTGATCCCCCTGCCTTAGCCTCCTACAGTGGTGGGATTACAGGCGTGAGCCACCACGCTCAGCCCCTTTTCCTGTTGTTTATTTTCCATTTTATAGAGCAGTCATTTAGTTCATTGTGGACTTCATCCAAACTTTTCTCAAGGTTATAAAATTACTATTAAGGCTTTTTAATATAAAATTAGCAAATTCTCCTGAAAATAAAAGGTGTACAGATTTTGTTCACCAGCTTTGTCTAGTCATACTTGGAGCAAATATTGAACGTGCTATGCTAGCTGTGCTAGGCACTATGTATAAAAAGATGGAGAAGACTGGCCAGGCGCAGCGGCTCACGCCTGTAATCTTGGCACCTTGGGAAGCTGAGGCGGGCGGATCACGAGGTCAGGAGATCAAGACCATCCTGGCTAACACAGTGAAACCCCGTCTCTACTAAAAATACAAGAAGTTAGCCGGGCGTGGTGGCGGGCGCCTGTAGTCCTCAGGAGGCTGAGGCAGGAGAATGGCGTGAACCCAGGAGGCGGAGCTTACAGTGAGCTGAGATTGCATCACTGCACTTCAGCCTGGGCAACAGAGCAAGACTCCATATCAAAAAAAAAGATGGAGAAGACAAAATTCCACCTGCAAGGAATATGTAAACAGGTTATAATACAGTACATTACTTTACTAGAGAGATAGAAAGCATACTGTGGTCATATCTTGAAGTGACTCATAAAATTAAACTCAAAAGGAAAATATTAAATTTTTGCAGAAGTGCTTATTAGTGTTATTGCCTGATCCATCAAGAAATGCTTAAAGCTCAGAGAGGAATGTATAAGATTGATTCATTGAACCAACATTGGTTCATTTGCTGATTGGCAAATGACTGAAAAATTAAGTGTTGTTTGGTATTACTATTATTTTTTTTTTGGTGATGGAGTCTCTGTCACCCTGGCTGGAGTGCAGTGAGGTGATCTCAGCTCGCTGCAACCTCCACCTCCTGGGTTCAAGTGATTCTCCTGCCTCAGCCTCCTGAATAGCTGGGATTACAGGTGCCTGCCACCACGCCCAGCTAATTCTTCTATTTTTAGTAGAGACGAGGTTTCACCATATTGGCCAGGCTGGTCTTGAACTCCTGACCTTATGTGATCCGCTTGTCTCAGCCTCACAAAGTGCTGGGATTACAGGCCTGAGCTACTGTACCTGGCCCTGTTTGGTATTATGTCTAAGAATTGATCATCTAATAGTCTTATGGGAATTTTTAGAGAATTGAGATTTAAATTGAGGCTAAAAGTCCTGAAAAATTGTCCACGAAGGAAGTTGTTTGGGAGAAGCTGTTGATGTCAGTTTGACCCCAGTAAGCTGTTTTTGGAAGCCTAGATGTCAGATTTCTGTCAACCAGATAACATATGGAATGCCAGTGAATGCCTAGAATTGTGTGGTAGGCCAAGCTGTGGTTACTGCCTTCAAAGAACTTTCTTAAATATAAGTGTCTGGACTGTTATCTTAAGAAGAAAACTTCTGCCAGAGGCTACAGAGGTTCTGTGATCAACCAAGGATTTTTCATTTGAATTCAGATATTTTCGGGAAGAATTTAAAGATAGCTATAATTTGGAGCCAGATTTATGCCAGCAAAATCATTTATGCCGTTGCCTGCTTTGTGATGTTATGGTTTTACCAAGTAAGAATTGGAACACAGGTTCAGAATACTTATTTTCTGGTGTCCTATGGCAGATATTTTTAGAATGCAGAGCAGCTAAAGTGCTCGTTGTGAGTCAAGTTCTTACCCAGAAATAGATATTGACTATTGACTTTACAAAAAAATAGTAGCTGGGCTTGGTGGCGCACGCCTATTATCCCAGCTACTCGGGAGGCTGAGGCAGGAGAATCGTTTGAATGCAGAGGTGGAAGTTGCAGTGAGCCGCGACTGAGCCACTCTGCTCCAGCCTGGGCGACAGAGCGAGACTCCATCTCAAAACAAACAAACAACTTTGGATTTTTTATTTCTGAATTCTTCTGTTCTGAAAATACTGTTTTAAGCCATCATCAGTGGATTAAATGAATACTTTATATCAAAAGGATACAGCTTTTGGTATCAGAGACAGTGGAAATGATCCCTCTATGGAAGTGGAAATTTGTCACAGATGTCAACGTTGTGAGTTGGTGATTATGCTATCAGAGTTTGTCAGAGGGGTTTGGAAAGATAGGACTCTAATTTTTATGGGAGAAAGGTTGAAAAAAATGTATTTTTTCTCTCTTCATCATAGCTCAAATTCAAAGCACTTTCATTCAAAGCATTTTCATGCAATTAATGATTGGCTTCTTCCAAAACATAGCACAAATTAACTGGTAGAACAGGAATTAGAATGAACAATTCCATAGTCTTACCCTGTGAGTTGTTTCCTCACTATTCCAAAAGAATGCTAAATGTGAAAAAATATATACTTTGTCATAAATAGAAACTGAGCCTTAAGCCAATACACAGATGCAAGACACTTTTGTTGTGTCTGATCTATTTTGGAGGCAATTACTTATGTAAGCTAGATCTGCTTAATCTTAAATTCTAAAGCGAAATGTGATTAGTCATCTTTGGAAAAAGGATCTACTCTTCATTTTTTCTGTTTTTGTTTTTCTGAGCTTTAAGGACAGGATGTATAATTGTATTAAATAAGTTATTGGTAAAGTAAGGAAAAGATCGATGAGGTGATTTACATTTATAGAAATTGTTTTTGTTTAATTGAGGCACTACCTCTACATCCCCCTTGGAGGCAAGGGAACACAACAAAACCAGAAAAGTTTAGGAATTTGTTATGGCCCCAAAATGATATAATAAAAGACTGTCTTAAACCAGGGAAGTCAACTTCCTATTCTTATGCACCATTTCTTTGTTCTGGAAGCGGGGACAGTTCTAGCAACCAGTTGAGTAAATTATTTTGCTAGGTCTAGTGTTGTGATCCTTTGCTCAGTGATAAGCCTTTGGGGAAGGAAGGCTTCTCTCTCTTTTCAAACTTCATTAAAATGGTGGGTCCAAATTATCACATGTTACCCACTTCTAGTCAGGGATCCTTTTTTTTTTTTTTTTTTTGAGATGGAGTCTCACTCTGTCGCCCAGGATGGAGTGCAGTGGCATGATCTCAGCTCACTGCAACCTCCGCTTCCCAGGTTCAAGTGATTCTCCTGCCTCAGCCTCCCAAGTAGCGGGGATTACAGGTGCCTGCCACCACGCCTGGCTAACTTTTGTATTTTTAGTAGAGACGGGGTTTCACTATGTTGACCAAGCTGGTCTCAAACTCCTGACCTGAGGTGATCCGCCTTGCCTTGGCCTCCCAAAGTGCTGGGGTTACAGGTGTGAGCCACCACGCCTGGCCTAGTCAGGGATCCTTCTAATCATAAATTCTTACCTTTGTTTATGGCCTACACTAAAGTTTCAGAAGTCTTAAATCAAAGCCTTGTATTTTATTTAATTAATTAATTTGTTAAGACAGAGTCTTACTTTGTGACCCAGGCTGCAGTGCTGTGGTGCGATCTCTGCTTACTGCAATCTCTATCTCCTGGGCTCAAGCGATCCTTCCACCTCAGCGCCCCCCACCCAAGGAGCTGGGACTACAGGCACATGCCACCACACCTGGCTAACTTTTGTATTTTTTGTAGAGACAGGGTTTCGCCATGTTGCTCAGGATGGTCTGGAATTCCTGGGCTCAAGCAGTCTGCCCACCTCAGCTTCCCAGAGTGCTGAGATTACAGGCATGAGCTACAAAGCCTTGTGTTTTAGACATTAGATTTCCCAGTACTCTCCTGAAGAACAGTAATTATGATTATGAAGATTTCAAAGATACTATGGTAAGATCTGATCGTCTTTGAAAGAATTATAGTAATGTAGCTCAGGACTTCCTTTTATACTGCTTTGTACTACCTGTTCACAGGTGACTGTCAGGTGATTTCAGTAACAAACTCAGACAAATGCATGACATTTAAACTGAGTTATTGAAGTCATTGATCTTGCTTTATTAAAGTTGACCGGTTGGTAACAAACATTTACTTTTACAAAATTAATCAACATGAGTTTGATGTGATGAGAGAATTATATTGACTGGAAGTGGTAGGCATGAAACATTTCCTAAGTAAAACTTAGAAAAGAGACCTTAGTTAACCAATACCCTCTTGGTTTGTTTGCATGTTAAAAGATGTCTGCATCTGAGCAGTTGAACTTAAATATAAAGTTGAGCTCAGATACAAAGGTTCTTTAGAACTTTAAAAGACATGGGTGAACAAAACCCAAACTAATCCTCTGATGTTTACTTAGAAACAAAAACCTAAATGAAATTCAAAATAGATATCTGAATTTAAATTTGTGTATAAACATTAGATTGAAAGACTAGGGTCTGGAACAGACAGAAATTCCACACATACTTTTCTGGGCTTCGAAAACTTGGTGGAGTGGGTCAGGCATGGTGTGGCTCATGCTGGTAATCCCAGCACTTTGGGAGGCTGAGGTGTGTGGATCCCTTGAGCCTAGGAGTGCGAGACCAGCCTGGGCAACATGGTGAAACCCCATCTCTACAAAATACACAAAAATTAACCAGGTGTAGTGGCATGCACCTGTAGTCCCAACTACTAGGGAGGCTGAGGTGAGAGGGTCACTTGAGGCTGGGAGGTTGAGGCTTCAGTGAACTGAGATTGTACCACTGCACTCTAGCCTGGGTGACAGAGCGAGACCCTGTCTCAACAAAAACAAGAATACTTGGTGGAGTGATTTAAATCCTGTTTTTCCATTAGGATTAGATCTTTCCACCAGAATTTCCTGAATTTATTCCTTTTTTCTAGTTTATCCTAATGTGATTGATGTAATTTAAACCGAAGTTGCCTTCCTGTAGCCAGAATCTACATATCTGCAAACTTATTCCTGAAGTTGAGGCTTTAATAGAACACTTCTTTTGTATTTTTTTCTTATTTTTGAGATTGATTTATTTTGGGATTGGGGCAATGCAGAATTAACACTCTTCTAGAAGTATGCAATAATTATTATTATAATTATAGATTATATTTATTACATACTTACTACTAGCATTGTGCTAGGTGCTTTAAGTATTTTGCTCCACTTAGGCTTACAGATGTTAAATAATGGCCGGGCGCGGTGGCTCACACCTGTAATCCCTGCACTTTGGGAGGCCGAGGTGGGAGGGTCACAAGGTCAAGAGATTGAGACCATCCTGGCCCAAATGGCCAAACCCTGTCTCTACTATAAAGTACAAAAATTAGCTGGGCGTGGTGGCACGCGCCTGTAATCATAAGACTAAGTAAGGCAAGAGGGTCGCCTAAACCTGGGAGGCGGAGGTTACAGTGAGCCGTGATCACGCTATTGCACTCCAGCCTGGGCAACAGAGTGAGACTCCATTTCAAAAAACCAACCAAACAAACAACAACAAAAAACAAAATTAGCCAGGCTTGGTGGCACATGCCACCACGCCTGCATGTGCAGGAGATTCTCACACGAAGCAGGAGATTCGCGTGAACCTAGGAGGTGGAGGTTGTGGTGAGCCGAGATTGTGCCATTGCAGTCCAGCCTGGGCAACAAGAGTGAAACTCTGTCTCAAAACAACAAAACAAAACAAAAACATGTTAAATAATTTTTCCAAGATCTTGCAGCTAGTACCTGGAAGAGCCCAAATTTGTTCCCAGATCTCTTTCCAAAATTTGTGCTGCATAGCCAGACCTATAGATTGTATAGTAATGAATGCTTAGAAGTACTTAGGAGTCTTCTTTGTTTTTCCGTTAATGGAGATGAACATTCTTTATTAGGGAGCTAATACATTTTCAACCATTGACATACCTATGAGATGTTTTAAAACAGTAATTCTAAAAGGATCTGCATCTGTTCTGCCCATCTCCTTTCACTTCTCCAAGCCATTTCTATAACAATATTTTCCCTTCCTTGGAAAGGTAGTCATCTGTTTTTCTGGAATCATATTAGATTTGCAATCAATTGGAGTCAAGCTGTCTTGCTTTTTATCCCATCTCCCCCCTATTCTCACTGAAGCACAGGGAATTAGAATTTGTTCAGGTCGTGTGGTGATCACTGGCTCAGGTGGAGTACCATCAGCAGGATTCTCCCGGTCTTTTGTACTTTGTACTTTGTTTTCAAAATCAGTTAATTTCATAACAGAAAATTAGCACTTTAAAAGGCACAGATGTGATTTGGAGATTATGGGTAATTTTTAGATTGCATCTTTGTTAATATTTAGATTAGTTTATCAGTATTTCCCAAACTATAATATAGTTTGATATAGTGGTAATTATTGATGTATACCTTTTTTCTACCAACTGTAGAATGATGTTATCTAAGCAAGAAGAAATGTAGGGACTTTTTGAGGATTTTATCAGATTTTTATGCACATTACTAACATTTGCAAACCCAGAAGATTTCAGTTTTTTGTCTGTTTTTTTAGAGGTAAGTTCTCACTGTGTTGTCCAGGCTGGAGTGCAGTAGCTATTCACAGGCTCTAACATAACACATTACTGCCTCCAACTCCTGGTCTTAAGAAAGCTGTCCACCTCAGCCTCCCAAGTAGCTGAGACTGCAGGCATGTGCCACTGAGCCTGGCCTGATTCTGTTTTTAAAATATATTAAATTTTTTTCCCAATTTAGCCCTGGTCTCTTTCTTTGAGCTACGCATCTTTCAGAATTGTGCAGTGAAGTGTGCTGTCTTAATTCAGATGGAAGTCCACTTCCTGAATCCAAGCTGTACTCTTCAGAAGCACCAGTAATTTGCACTGGGTTATACAGAAAGAGTTCAGCACATTCTGGCAGCTCAGCCCTATTTGCTCTTGCTTAGGCCAGTTCAAGTAAACAATGCACTCACCACGGGTCAGTATGGAAGAGTTGTGGCATGTGCAGGTACTCGGGTCTGGGGTGTGAGAAATTATATTTAATTTCAGGACTTTTTTGCATCATGTAATCTTACATCCCTCATTTGTATTTTGTTTTCAAAATTATAGAAGTAACAAAGTTGGATTGGTAGTATGAGCTGCATTGACAGAATCATTCCAGATTTACTGGTTGTAAACATTAATGGTATTGTCAGATGTCTGGAAATTTTTTCTTTTAGTCTAGTTTTTCCTTCCTTCCTTCCTTCCTTCCTTCCTTCCTTCCTTCCTTCCTTCCTTCCTTCCTTCCTTCCTTCCTTCCTCCCTTCCTTCCTTCCTTCCCTTCTTCCCTTCCTCCCTCCCTCCTTCCCTTCCCTTTTTTTTTTTTGACAGAGTTTCGCTTTTGTCACCCAGGCTGGAGTGCAATGATGCAATCTCGGCTCACTGCAACTTCCGCCTTCTGGGTTCAAGCGATTCTCCTGCCTCAGCCTCCCAAAGTAGCTGGGATTACAGGTACCTGCTACCATGCCCAGCTAATTTTTTTGTATTTTTAATAGAGATGGGGTTTCACCACGTTGGCCACGCTGGTCTTGGAACTCCTGACCTCAGGTGATCCGCCCGCCTCAGCCTCCGAAAGTGCTGGAATTACAGACGTGAGCCACCGCGCCCGGCCTAGTCTAGTTTTCTTCTTTGCATTTGGCTATAGTAGCTACTGATTTGACAAATTTGTACCTTTGTTCAGCTGTTCCAAATCATGTGACAGGGCAAAGAAAGAATATAAAAGGATGCCATATCAAAGTTGATAATTCTGTTCATTATTCATACGGTGCCCTTCAGATAATTTTTTTCACCCTGCATTCTAAAACTCCCATGTAAAAGTTAGCTATACTATTCAAACCAGATCATCAGATGGTTCATGTGCTTTTCTTAGAGTAGAACTGTCAGTCTAGGACTCTAAGAGGGCAGATTGCTACCTGCTGTGTCCCAGAGGATGTAAATATATATTTCCTCCCTGCCACCACCCCTTTGAAATAGACAGTGGAAGGGGGAAAAATAGGAAAATATGAACTGGGAAAATGTATCATTAAACTCCCCTGCTTTCCCAGTCATGAAGATGTATTCTAAATATTTTCTGAGGTGTCTGTGTATATCCTAAACTGGAATGACCTTTTTTTTCCTTTTCTTACACATGGTATAAAAATTTTAAAGTGCAAAGAGTATGTAGTAAAAATAAGCCTTTTTAGGTATCCTTTCAGAAATAACCTATACACATACAATAAAACATGTGTGTCATGTATTTTGAATTCTTATTCTTTGCCTGTATGAAGCATGGCCTCTTGGATAGCAGTAACGTTTTTGTTGTTTAAAATGGTTAGATTTTATACAGAGAATGAAAGGCTAGTGGTCGCATATATTTGCAAAGCCTTCTATAATATTTGAAGGCCTTCTACATAACTTTTCTCCTGATGCTTATAATAGCCCCATGAGGTAGGTAAAGCAGGATTTACCTCTTTTATCTACACAAAATTTGAAGCTTAAAGAATGTTATGTGATAAATGTGCAGTGGAACTGGAATCAAAACCCAAGTCTTTGGCTGTTATTCCAGAATTCTTGTTTCCATTTTGCCTCTCAAACATGATAGCTTGAGGGGATCCGTTATCTTGTATCTTCTTTTATGAGATGTGAAAAATACCATGAGTAGCTGATTTTAGACTTTTTTTTTTTTTTTTTTTTGGAGACAGAGCCTTGCTCTGCTACCTAGGCTGGAGTGTGGTGGTGTGATCTTGGCTCACTGCAGCCTCTGCCTCCCAGGTTCAAGTGATTCTTCTGCCTCAGCCTCCCAAGTAGCTGGGACTACAGGCATGCGCCACCACGCCTGGCTAATCTTTGTATTTTTAGTAGAGACAGGGTTTCACCATATTGGCCAGGCTGGTCTCGAACACCTGACCTTGTGATCTGCCCGCCTCAGCCTCCCAAAGTGCAGGGATTACAGACGTGAGCCACCACACCCGGCAGAAGAATTTTTATACTGTATTTCGGTAGTAGTAGTGTGGTAGTTACAACCTCACAGTTCAGAAATATGACCTTTTTGATGTATTTCCTACAAAGCAGTTTATAAACATTAGCGCCACTTTCATTACATGTGGACACCGTAACTGACTTTATTCAGGCAGCTGAGCAGTGAAAACAAGGCCTTTTATCTCTTGATAGCTGTGTGCCTGCCGTGGCTAGGAGCCAAAGGGATAAACCTGTCCAAGGTTCTTCCCCTCGATGCCAAAGTGGAATCTGAACAAGCATTTGATAGAGTGCCTGACTCTGTTTCCTTCCCCCATAATTTAGGTAAAAATGGTTAACACCAGCACCAAACTGTATTCTAGATTTCTAAGTCATCTCCTAGGGAGAAAAAATGAGTGGTGGGAGGAAAAAATTTTCAGATAGTAGACTGTCATGGGGATGATTTTTAGTCCCAGCAGACTTAAAAACTCTTGTCATTGCAAGACAATCCTTACGTTTCTTAAATGTTAGGCAGTCCCAGATGGGAATTTGATGAAAAGATTGGTTGAGCTCTGTATATGAAAAGAAATATCTCTAAATGTTTCCCTAAAGGGATGGCCTATCTCCTATAGTTTATGAGCACCTTGTTTCTAATTCCTGGTAGTAAAATAAATGGGAAATATAAGGAAAGAATTTACATTTTTTTATACACGGTAGAAAAAAATTACATGTTTTTGTAATTTACATTTTATAAAATTTACAGTTTATACTTCAAAATTTACATTTAATACTTTATAAAATTTATGTATTTTTATATTCATGGATTAATAAATATTATAATCCAATGTAAAAGTCATTACATTTGCCATAATGTAATGATTCAGTTTTTGTTCAATAACTAAATTGCTATATATATATAATATATTATATATATAAAATATATATAATATATATATATAAAATATATATAATATATATATAAAATATATATAATATATATATATAAAATATATATAATATATATATAAAATATATATAATATATATATATAAAATATATATATATAAAATATATATATATTTGTATTTGTTTATTTTTTCACTCACAGGTCAACCATGAACTATATTCTTATTTGTTATTTTTTATTTCCTGCTTTGGGCATAGAAGATGAGAAATTATACTAATTTGAGTGTTTCCACTTGGTCAGTTTAACTAGTGTTAGAGTTTTCTTAAAACTAAGATGTAATTTGACTTCTCAAAGTAAAGTTTGGGGCAGAGCATCTTCTCTAGAGAGATGGATCTTTCTGTCAGGGAGTCAGGAGTTACTCAGTCTTTTTTGGGAGATGGAGGGAGGTCAACCATTAGGTCCAAAGCAGTGGTTTTGAGTAATTAGCGATTGCTCTGTGTTTTCATATTTTCAGAATAGGGATATAACCTCACTGAAGATGACTTAATTAGTACTTGACAAAGCTAAAAGTCCTGTCAGTATATTTATACCTATGTGTAAGTATGCTCTCTGAGTCATTCTGCTAATTCCCACTGTAAAATACGTATACCCTTTTATTTTATTAGAATTAAAGGGCTTTGAGGAGATTTTTCATTTTAAAGGTACAAGACAAGTTTTAACGTCAACATAGCCCACTCACTGTTCTATATTTATGTGAGACCTTTTAAGAACCAGGGATAAATGAGCTCTAATTTGTCTGTGAGGGTCTTTCCCCGTCTATCTTTAAAACTTAACGTGTTCCTATAGGAGTAACTATATAATATTTGACAACTGTTATCCCACCGTCCACTTGGGAAGCACACAAGTAATAAAAGTAAATCAAATTATGACACTGTGTTTAGCATGACATCTTAATTTGAACTATGAGAAACCATTATTGGACCAATGTTGGATTTTTACTAAAGACTTGTAGTTGTCCTAGCACGTATTAGGAGATGCCAAATGAATAAGCCTAGGAGTGATTGTCATGGGGTCCCTCACTTTCTCAGCCATCGGCACAGAATGTGCCTTTTCAATGCCACCCACAGCCTAGTGCTCCACCTTTCACAGCCTACCTCTCATCTGCCTCAGCCTGCACACAGCATCCTTAACCAAACCACAACCGCCTATAAGACTTAATTCAAATGTACCCTCCATGAAACTTTCTCTGACTGACTTTATTGCCATACTCATCTCATAGGGTTATTGGTGCTTTTTTCCTTCTTTAAAATATCAAGTCCTCCTTTCCCCCTAAAAACTCCACATTCAGCCTTGTATGATGATTAGATATGCACTTGAGAGCCAGCTTCTGTATCTCATGTCTTTTTAAGAAAAAAAAAAAAAAAAAAATCTCAAAATCTCCCGTTGGACCTGTACAGTAACTCCTTTTTGAAAAGGTAGTTGAATGCTAAAGACTTAAATAAAAGCAGCTACAACTCTTTAGTGAATCAGAACATTGTTGGAAGGCATAAAGCCTGTGCTGATCACTGTCCTTTTGGAAAAACAATACTCAGCCACTATCCCTGGGTACAAATAAGAAAAATAAATTCTGATAGAGCCAGAATAAGGCACTAAGAGGAAAGCAGTTCTAAACCTGAGGATCGAGATTGCATTTAGACTTGCTCAGGAGAGTTTCCCGGGGGTAAAAGATTGGGTTTATTTTGTTAGAGACCAGCTACATTATCTTCATTGTCATTGGGGCTTTGGACAAGGTTAATAAATGAAGTGTTCGTGTGATGGGAAGTTACTGGGTTCTTAATGAATAAACTCCCAGAAGACTTGACTTAATACTGCAGCAGAGTGTCTCCAATTGAAAGGAGGCATTAGGTTATCGCGTGACTTCAAATTTTTCTAAGGCTGTAAAAGCACTGATACTGTTGGCATCTTTTGTTTGTTTTCTCCTGAGGGATTCAAAAACAAAGTTGGTTGTCACTTAATTTAGTACCAGTTATCTTAGAAAAAGGACCCTATTCCTTTATGTGATCTGATGTAGTTCAGCTTCAGTGGAAACTGTAGAATGTTCCATATTTTAGACAACATCCAACTCCCAAGCATTTCTGTTTCAGAAACTGGGACACCTTCCAAGATAGCTTTATGAATCCTTTAATTTCTCCTTCCAGACTCATTAACTCAGCCTGTTCACCTTGGGGAAATCATAGTTCCAGACTTTCTGTAAAAACCTTCCTCCTAAGTGAATGCGGTAGTTGATTTGAGAACATTCAGACTCAAGCTTTTCAGTAGTTTATTCTGAAACCTGTTTGTTGTGACTTTGACTAGGAGAGATTAAGGTGAAACAGTAGTAACCATCATAATATACAAATTATCTGCATTAAAAAAACTTGAAATTCAGTAAGTACATTTTTAAATTCCACATCTCAGATTTTATGGACTCATAAAGCTGGAAAGAACCGCAACCAATGTTTGACCAGTATTTCTTAATTTTTTCTTGTCTCGTGGATCTTTTTGAGATGGTGATAGCTGTTGTGGATATTCTTCTCAGAAAAATATACATACACACAAATGCTTGCGTTCAATTTCAGGATATCTCAGACTCCCAAAGCCTGTTCATGGATTCCCACTCTAGTTCAAAGCCTGTTGTTAGGGGTTTAGAGAAGTTAAGTGATGTACCTAAAGTCACACACTTCTATTGCTAACTACTATAGAAAAGTGGCAGGGTTCTTTTTTGTTTTCTGTTTTTTGTGAGGTTTTTTGTTTTGTTTTTTAACCATTTCCTGATACACTCATCATGTTCTTTATTGAAGTCAAGCAGGTGTCTCCAAGTACTTGGTGCTTTTCCCTTTACTGCCTTTGTTTGCTGTATCATTTATACAGCATTACCCAAGTTCCTTCTCTGTTTTAGTCACTGATGCATTGGGATGGGGATGTGCTAAATTCTCTTCATTTTCTCATTCTTCTGTTTATAATAGTTTACTTATTGATACTAATATATGCAATGTCAGGAATCATTTCTCTCATATTTGGTCATTAAATTAGCAGCTATTTATTATACTTTTCATAACTTTTTTTCTTACAGTTTTCCATAGTAAGAGGACAGTTTTATTTCCAATGAGTAAATACTTGATGTAAGAGATCCTTCTTTTTGAAGCCCAGACTTCTATCTCCAGATAAGGAGTAGCTGATAATGTGACATAGCTCAGCTTCTAATTTGATGCCTCCACAGGCTAGGAGCCAGCACTTTGCCCCTGGTTTGAAGAATGCAGGTAGAGGTAGGAATCTTAATGATGAGAAGAAGTTTTTTTCCTCTATCTTGGTCATGTTCTTCCTATCATTTGAAAAATCAGTAACCATTCCCCCAGTAGATACATACTCATAAAATATTAGTTACACCCATGTTATATGCATTATAAAAATACGTTAAAACATAAATTAAAGGATAAGCTTTTTTAAAAACAGAAGCTCTGTTATTTTCTTCCTGACCCCCAAGGGATCATGTAACTTCTTCCTTGAGGAATCACTCCACTCCTTTTTGGAGATCACTCTTCTAATTCTTTAGGCCTATCTCAAGTCCCTCCTCTTGCTTGTTTGATTTCGCTATTTTAACTGTATAACTGGATTGTAAACAACTTGAGATTAGAGACCAGATAGAATGTTGTCTTTGTATCCTGCAACAATGCCTAGCACAATTTTGAGTTCATCATCATTATTCAATATATACTTGTTGGCTAATTTCTTGGGATCATCTCAGAGCATTATTTCACTAATTATTACCAAAGAGGAAGAAAAAAAATCCTCAGTTTTATCTTATTTTAGTAATTATGGGTGTTATTCCTCATGCTATTCATCTTCTAGGATTAGAGACAAGTGAGCCTGTCTGCACTTAAAGTTTTGTGGAAATAGATGTACTATATCTGATGAAGTGGTTTAATTGGGACATAATGAGAATGGTGCAGTATGAGAACCAAACCCGAATCAGCACCTGCATCTGTTTTCGTTCCTTGAGATTTCTGTTCATTGGTTCTTTATCACATGACTGAGTGCTGAAGCATAGTGTTTTCTTTTTATTTATTTATTATTTTTATTTACTTTCTCGAGTTCATTTATTCTGACATTATTGATGCACCCACCATTCCCCGGGTAGTATAAAATACTCCTTTGTATTTTATATTTCGTTCTCTCTCTTCTCTTCCTCTAAATCACCACTGTGTTCTTGGATTCTAAAAACCCCTCTAAATTTCTGAAATTAATTGTCACAATTATGCTTAACAATTCTTCATAGCGATTTGGTTCCATGAATCTCAAAGACCTAACATCATAACCTTGTTTTTACGGCATTCCTATTCTGTCATCTTTTCTTTCTGCATAGAGAAACTAAACCTAGGAAAAAGCTGGGCATACTGGCTCATGCCTGCAGTCCCAGCACTTTGGGCAGGTGAGGCAGGAAGATCACTTGAGACCAGAAGTTGAGATCAGCCTAGGCAACATAGCGAGACCCGGTCTGTACAATAAAATTTTAAAAAATTAACCAGCTATCATGGCACATACCTTTAGTCTCAGCTACTAGGGAGGCTGAGGCAGGAGGATCAGTTAAGCCCAAGAGGTGGACGCTGTATTGAGCCATAATGGTGCCACTGCCCTTCAGCCTGGCAACAGAACAAGACTCTATCTCAAAACTAAATGAATGAATGAATGCAAAAATAAGACGCATTTATAGTCAGTTGCAAATCAAGATAGCAAAAGAGATGAAAAGCAAGCACTGGTGTCCAGATTTGCACTTTTGTGTCTCCATGGATTATGTCATTTCTTCATGAAAGGTACAGTAGTGCTCTGTGCTTTCCAATATAATTCACTAATTTTAGATCATAGCTGTTACAGGTTCTAATTTAAAGGCTTTGATATTTTTATTTTATTTGTTTGATAGATATATTAGTCATTTTTTCTTCATAACAGACACCCTCAAACTTTCATGGGCTTAACTCGAGGCTTGTTTTTCTTTCCCATGGGTTATTCGAGATGGCTTTGCTTCAGGCTACAGGTTGAGGGTTAAGTTCAGGTCTGCTCCACATGTCTCTTTTCTTTGTACTACCATGTTCTCATGGGGAATGGCAGGGGTGCAGGAATACAGGCCAAACTACCCAGGCACATTTAAATCCTCTGCTCATATTGTATCTCCTAAAACTCCATTGGCCTGAGCATGTCAGTGGCCTATATTATATTATGTTACATTAACAGTATTACTAAGCACACAGTACTGCACCTCTTAGGAAGGAATGACATCATCCATGGAGACTCAATTAACTGCAAATGTGGACTGCAGTGCTTGCTTTTCATCTCTTTTGCTATCTTGATTTGCTCAACGTCAGCGGAGCCGGGTGTATACTCAGTTTATAGCAGGAGGCGGTACAGACTTACAAAACAGAGGATCTGGATGTAAAATCCTATGCAAGTGAAAAATTGGGAGAAATAATCCAGTCTCCCGCTGTAGGGAAGCAAGTCATTAAAACAGTAATTAATTTGCTAATATAGTCCTGTGGACTCTAAACATGACAATACATTTCTTTCTATGGGGAGCTTACATCTTATTTGACATTATTTTGAAAATTCTCCAATGCTCTAAATTTCTTTCAAGAATGCACCTTTAATCCAAATTTGTTGTTTAGTAGAAATGAGTATAAGTAGAGAAGATTGTGATATTAATTGCCTTCCATCCCTTGTTTGAGAAAGAGCTAGAATTGCTAATTGATTGGGAAAACTTAAAGGATAGATTTTAAAAGGATAGTGTAGAAAACTGTCTAAGAAAAAGCATTCTTGTAAATAAACTATTAAGAGATATAAGTTAAACTTCAGATTGAGGTGGTGGGAACAGAGTTAAGCTAGGTCGACTCAGCATGGAGGCTGATTTCTGAGACTGAGAAAGGCACCTTAAAAAGGCATTAAAGTATCTGCTATTAGACAAGTAGGGAGAAAGTTCAAAAGTACTGTGTTATATAATAGAATCTTATGATTACCTAGCAACCTAATTAAAGTCAATTTTAATATATGTTGTAAGTATAAAAATGAGTTTGTATGTTGCTAATGCCTACTGAATTCTGCAGTGGAATTAATAATTCCATAGGGAAACCTTTTTCTTCTTGAAATAATGCTAGGTGTGGCTACTTGATGTGTTCTATTTTCTTTATTGCCTTTTCTTTATCCTTGGATAGAAAACATCTGTTTATTTTAAAACTAGCATGTTTTGCTACCTAAATTGATAATATTTAAGTTATAGGCACACAGAATTCACTTTATATAAACAGATTCGAATACTATGGAAACTCAAAATAAATTATGCTTTTTTTTTGAGATGGAATCTCGCTCTGTTGCCCAGGCTGGAGTGCAATGACACAATCTCAGATCACTGCAATCTCTGTTTCCTAGGTTCAAGCAATTCTTCCACTTCAGCCTCCTGAGTAGGTGGGACTATAGGCGCGTGCCACCACGCCTGGCTAATTTTTGTATTTTTACTGGAGACGGGGTTTCATCATGTTGGCCAGGCTAGTCTTGAACCCCTGACCTCAAGTGATCTGCCTGCCTCGGCCTCCCAAAGTGCTGGGATTACAGGTGTGAGCCACTGCACTCACCCAGGAAATGGTGCCGCCTTATGGTGTGTTTTATTGCAGTTGTGTCTCCTTTGAAGGCACGAACAAGGAAACTAAAGGAGTTATGTATTGCAAAGCTATGTAATACTACGTGAAACCTAGTCCACACTTTTTTTCTGTCATGGAATTGAAAGTTTTGTTTTGTTTTGTTTTTTGTTTTTTGAGACGGAGTCTCGCTCTGTGGCCCAGGCCGGAGTGCAGTGGTGCGATCTCGGTTCACTGCAAGCTCCGCCTCCCGGGTTCATGCGATTCTCCTGCCTCTGCCTCCAGAGTAGCTGGGACTACAGGCGCCTGCCACCACGCCCGGCTAATTTTTTTGTATTTTTAGTAGGGACAGGGTTTCACTGTGTTAGCCAGGATGGTCTCGATCTCCTGACCTTGTGATCCGCCCACCTCAGCCTCCCAAAGTGCTGGGATTACAGGCGTGAGCCACCGTGCCCTGCCTGAAAGTTCATTTTATCTCTGGTATGTGTATCTGGCTTTACAAAGCAAATGTATCCATAGGAATATATTTCCAAATGTTTTTTTTAAAAAACTTTTTGTTATGAATTATAGACTCACAGGAAGTTTCAAAAACAGTACCTAGAGATCTTACATACCCATCACATAGCTTCCCCCAATAGCAGCATTAGGCCAATTTAAAAATCATTGATGGGGGCTGGGAACGGTAATTCACATCTGTAATCCCAGCTGTTTGGGAAGCTCAGGTGGGTGGATCACTTGAGCCAAGAGTTGTACACCAGCCTGGGCAACATAGTGAAACCCCGTCTCTATAAATAATACCAAAAAAATTAGCTGGGCTTGGTGACATTGCGCCTGTAGTCCCAGCTACTCGGGAGCCTGAGGCCAGAGGATCACCTGAGCCTGGGAGGTTGAGGCTGCCATGAGCCATGATTGCGCCACTGCATGGCAGCCTGGGTGACAGAGTGAGACCCTGTCTCAAAAAAAATAAAAAATAAATAAATAAAAATTGAGCGACTTTCTCTGCACTCTATAATAAGTGAATTATAAAGTGTCCTGTAGGAGTCCTTATGTCATTGTTGCTTTATTTATTGCTTTAGCATATTCTTCTCCATTCTCCCCATCTTCACATTGCACCATCGGGAAGGGGTTAAGTCTCATGTACCTTTCTGGTACATTTCTCCCCAACAGCCTAAAAGATATGCAAGCTCCATTTTACTCCTTATGTTGAAGAAGCATATTTGGTTGAATATTCAGATTTCTTGTTTTGAGTTTATTTTGGTGGTGTTTGAAAACTTGAAAGGTTCTCTATATATATATATATATATTTTTTTTTTTACATCATCTCTTCTTTTTTTTCTCTTCTAGCCTGAAAATGAAATTTCTTCAGACTGCAATCATGTAAGTATGGATTTTCTGTGATGCGCCATATGTGCTTTATAGATACGATGACAGATTTCGGGATGCTCTTCCTGTTGTTCTGGGAAGTGCTATGTTTTCTTACAGTCTTAATCTTAAAAGGATGACAAACTTTAAGGATGCTGGTAAAATCAACAAATAACCCTTCATTGTAGAAGCCTGCAGGTTCTCCCAAATAATATTTACGTACTTAAGTTTTTCTTCAGTTACAGCTACCATGTGAAAATAATTCTCTGCTTATCAAGTTTACAACTTTAGAATTTCCTGTTTTAAAGTTTTCTCATTTACTTATCACACAGTCATCTTCTTTTTGCCAAACGCTATAGTAGCACATTAAAAGGAGACTGATGTGAAATCAACTCTGTGCAAAAAGTATTGGGTGCTTTGGTAGAAGTCTATACAGAAGACACTGGAGACACAAAAATGAATTTTGTCCAGGTGAGTTGATGTCAGAAAAGGCTTAATAATGGAGATGAGGCCGGGCATGGTGGTTCACACCTGTAATCCCACCTGTTTGGGAGGCTGAGGCAGGTAGATCACTTGAGACCAGGAGTTTGAGACCAGCCCAGCCAACATGGAGAATCCTGTCTCCACTAAAAAAAAACAAAAAACAAAAATTAGCTGGGCATGGCGGTGCATGCCTTTAATCCCAGCTACTCTGGAGGCTGAGGCAGGAGAATTGCTTGAACCCAGGAGGCGGAGGTTTCATTGAGCCGAGATGGTGCCACTGCACTCCAGCCTGGGCAACAGAGCAAGACTTTGTCTTAAATAAATCAATAAATAAAAGAGGTGACACTTGATCTGGGTCTTAGAAGAGGCATCTATATGTGGCAAAAGTCACTCTATCACATTATAGAAGGTAGATGGGACCGGAGGCTGTATAAGCAGAGACAGATTGGCTATTTAGGTTAACTACTTACTCTTACGAAAACCTAGGTAAGTCAAGTACAAAATAAAACTAGAAGAATACTAGAAGATTAGAGGGAAGGCTTTTCTAAATATGACACAACCCCAAATGATGTTTTAAAAATATATATCTGCATCTATATCTGATTACATTGAAAGTTTTCTCCCCAAAAAATGTTTTGTAAAAAAGTATTCACAATGCAGATGAAAAGGACTATATTTGTTAATAGAAAATGCTATTAATAAACATAACAGACATGAATAGAATGTTCACAGGAAAAGAAAAAGGTGTCCAATAAACAGTAAAAAGTTTATTCTCCCTCAGAATCAAAAGCATAAAAATTCAGCAAAAAATGAGTGCACTGTTGTCATCCATTTGATTAGCAAATATCAAAAATTTGATAAATGGGTTCGCACCTGTACTCCCAACTACTCGGGAGGCTGAGGCTGGAGGACCCCTTGAGCCAGGAGTTCGAGGTAGCAGTGACCTACGATCACAAAACTGCACTGCAGCCTGGGTAACAAAGTGAGCCCCCCATCTCTTAAAAAGAAAAAAAAAAAAAGGATAAATACACAGTATTGATAAGGATGTGTGTATTTAAGCATTCTCTAGCCCATAGATCAAAAAACTACAACACTTAGGCCAAATCCAGTCTACTACCTGTTTTTATACATAAAATTTTATTGAAACAGCCACACCATTTATTTATGTATTGCCAGTGGCTGCTTTTCACACTAGGATGGCAAAGTTGAGTAACTGCAACAGTGACTACAGTTCCCTGAGAACTGTTACTTTCTGGCTCTCTGCAGAAGAAGTTGGCTGAACCCTGTTCAAGCCTATGTATGGGAATAAAAACAAGCTATAAAACAGTCAACCTAAAATGCATATGTTTTGACCCAGCATTTCTACTTCTATGAATTTATGGATAGTTAAAAGAATGGATAGAGATGTGTCTATAAAAGGATATTTGTTGTGGCATTATTTATAAAGCAAAGGATTAGGGGAAAACCTCAAAATCCATCAATAGACTGAATCTGACAGAAGAGAAACCCAGAAAAAAGTTGATGTGTGCCTTGGAACTCTCAAAGAGCCAGCCGGGCGCAGTAGTCCACACCTGTAATCCCAGAATTTTGGAAGGCTGGGTGGATCACCTGAGGTCGGGAGTTTGAGACCAGCCTGGCCAACATAGTGAAACCCCTCTACTAAAAATAAAAAAATTAGCCAGGCGTCGTGGCACACCCCTGTAATCCTGGCTACTCAGGAGTCTGAAACAGGAAAATCGCTTGAACCGGGGAGATAGAAGTTGCAGTGAGATCGTGCCACTGCCCTCCAGTCTGGGTGACAGAGTGAGACTCCGTCACAAAAAAAAAAAAAAAAAAAAAAGAACTCTCAAAGAGCCAAGGAATAGGAAGGATACGATACTGCTGAAAATGGGGGACAAATAGTATCCAAAAAACAGGAGATTTGGTGGAAGGTCTATGTAAGAAGCAGTCAGGACTCTTTAGAGAACAATTATATAACCCAGAAATTCTATAATATAGCCATTCATAATGTCCCGCATGCTATCAGAAATGGCTGGATATGAGAAGAAGCAGGAAGATATCAAGAGATAAAGTAGCCAACAGAGAGAGATCCAGAGAAGAGGTAATTCATATATTGGAATTATTAATAGCAGACAAGGACTTCAAATAACTAATAAAATAGAGGAAAATAAAATATTTTCCTATAAATAAAATAGAGGAAAATAAAATATTTTCCTATAAATAGAGGAAAATTAAAATGGATGAAAATATGAAGTATTTCAACCGAGAATTAGTCTTTATTAAGAAAATCAATTAGACATTTTTGGACTAAATGTAATTTCAGAAATTAAGAACTTATGGGTAGTTTTAAAAGACAGCTTTAGTGGACATAAAAACAGATTCATGGCCAGGTGCGGTGGTTCACGCCTGTAATCCCAGCACCTTGGGAGGTCAAGACAGGTGGATTACTTGAGGTCAGGAGTTCGAGACCAGCCTGTTCAACACGGTAAAAAACCCCATATCTACTAAAAATTACAAAATCAGCTGGGTGTGGTGGCAGGTGCCTGTAATCCCAGCTACTCAAGAGACTGAGGCGGGAGAATTGCTTGAATCTGGGAGGTGGAGGTTGCAGTGAACCACTATCGTACCACTGCACTCCAGCCTGGGCAACAGAGCGAGATTCTGTCTCAAAAAAAAAAAAAAGGCAGACAGAATGGGATAGAAGCAGTATTCGAAGAAATAATGGCCAAGATGTTTTCCAAATCTAATGAGAGGCATTAACCCATAAATTCAACGAACTTAGTGAACCTCAAGAGAAATCCATACTCACCTAACAATTTTTTTTTTTTTTTTTTTTTTTTTGAGACAGAATCTCGCTCTGTCACTGAGGCTGCAGTGCAATGGTGTGATCTCGGCTCACTGAAACTTCCGCCTCTGGGGTTGAAGTGATTCTCCTGCCTCAGCCTCCTGAGTAGCTGGGATTACAGGTGCCCACAACCACGCCCAGCTAACTTTTGTATTTTTAGTAGGGACAGGGTTTCACCATGTTGGTCAGGCTGGTCTCGAACTCCTGACCTCAGGTGATCCACCCGCCTCGACTTGCCAAAGTACTGGGATTATAGGTGTGAGCCACCACACCTAGCCTAGACACATTATTAACAATCTGCCAAAACGAAAAGATAAAAAGAAAACTCAACAAGCAGGCAGAGAAAAAGAGACATTCTCTTGAGGGAAGGAAAATGACAGCTGGCTTCTCAACAAAGCAAGCAGTAGAAACTAGAGCAAATGAAACAATAAATGTAAAATGCTGAGAGAAAATGCCAACATGGAATTCTATATCCAGCAAAAAATACCCCTTTAAAAAATGAAAATAGGCCAGGCACCGTGGCTCACCCCTGTAATCCCAGCATTTTGGGAGGTAGAGGCAGGCAGATCGCTTGAGGCTAGGAGTTGAAGACCAGCCTGGCCAACATGGTGAAATCCTGTCTCTATTAAAAATACAAAAATGGCCAGGTTTTGTGGCTCACGCCTGTAAACCCAGCAGGCAGATCACTAGGTCAGGAGATCGAGACCATCCTGGCTAACACGGTGAAACCCCATCTCTACTAAAAATACAAAAAAGCTAGCCAGGTGTGGTGGTGGGCATCTGTAGTCCCAGCTGCTCGGGAGGCTGAGGCAGGAGAATGGTGTGACCCTGGGAGGTGGAGCTGGCAGTGAGCCGAGACTGCACCACTGCACTTCAGCCTGGGTGACAGAACGAGACTCCATCTCAAAAAAAAAAAAAAAAAGAATTAACCACCGCACCTGTAATCCCATCTACTTGGGAGGCTGAGGCATAAGAATCACTTGAACTGGGGAGGAAGAGGTCGCAGTGAGCTGAGATCCCGCCACGGCACTCACCCCTGGCCGACAGAGCAAGACTCTATCTCAAAAAAAATAAAATAGGTGTTATCAGACAAGCGAAAGCTGAGAATATTCATCTCCCACATTTGCACACTGTGAGAAATCCTAAATTCTTGAAGGTAAAAGGATCACAAATTGAAGCAGAGAAGTAGGAGCACTAGAAGAGAAAAATAATTGATACGTATGACTATTATTCTTTCATGCTTTAAGATAACTGACTTGGCCAGGCGTGGTGGCTCACGCCTGTAATCCCAGCACTTTGGGAGGCTGAGGTGGGTGGATCACCTCAGGTCAGGAGTTCGAGACCAGCCTGGCCAACATGGTGAAACCCCATCTCCACTAAAAATATAAAAATTAGTTGGGTGTGGTGGTGCACACCAGTAATCCCAGCTACTCAGGAGGCCAAGGCGTGAGAATCACTTGAATCTGGGAGGTAGAGGTTGCAGTGAGCCGAGATAGCGCCATTGCACTCCATCCTGGGCAAAAAGAGCAAAACTCCATCTCAAAAAAAAAAAAAAAAAAAAAGAACTGACTTAAGCCAAAACAATAACAGTATACTTTCAGATTATAACATGTAGAATAAAATATATGACAACAGTAGCACAAAGGGTGGGTAGGAATAAAAATATAATTTTACTTTGGAATATTCTTATATTGTGTATGAGGTAGCATAATATCAATTCAATTTCGACTGTGACCAAGTTAAGGATGTATAATCAGGATACAGATTTGTTTCACATAATGATTGTTCAGTTAATGGTATTTAGCCATCATGACCCTTACAGGTTGATAGCACTTTACCCAAAACACAGATTATGCCCTGAGACATTATTGTTCTAAGCAAATTTGCGTGTAGCGACTTACTCAACACTAGTCAGACTATCACATGGAACAAATTTGAATTCTACCTCATAGTTAGGAGTGCTAAAGGAGTGATAGCAGGAAGTGATCAAGTAGCATCTTCTGTTCCTCTTCAGTGTGTCTTGCACATACAGTATTTCTCCATGTCAAAAAGTGGTTTTTGGTGTTGGTTTTGTTTTGCTTTTTGAGACAAGGTCTTGGTCTGTCACGCAGGCTGGAGTGTAGTTGTGTGATCACGGCTCACTCCAGCTTCAGTCTCCCAGGCTCAAGTGATCCTCCCACCTCAGCCTCCTGAGTAGCTGGGACTACAGATGCACACCACCATGCCCTGCTAATTTTTGTATTTTTTGTAGAGATGGGGTTTCACTTTGTTGCCCAGGCTGACCTCTAACTTCTGGGCTCAAGCAATCCAACCTTCTCAGCCTCACAAAGTGTTAGGACTACAGGTGTAAGCTGCTATACCCGGCCCAAAGTGTATTTTTTAAATCTCAAAGATTCATCTACAGGTAATGTCATGAATCTTTCCACATCAGTTTTTTCTAAGTGCCAAAGTTCTAAGGAAAAGAATTACCATAAAATATGTCTTCATACTGATACTGAATGCCTGCCTCATAGTCAGTCATCTGATTTTACATTACTTTCCAGAGAATGATTCCCTCATACCCTGCCTTTACCAACCATCACCAACTCTCAAGTCTTCTCTTTCTCCCTTGGAGAGTACAATGACCTTCCATTATGTTATATTTTATGTACAAGTTATATTTTACTTTAAAACTGTTTGTTACTTATATACTATTTTCATTTTTCAATTGATACTTCTCTCTCGGAAAATTGTTTGGGTATCTGGCCAGCCTGAATAACTTCTATTTATTTATTTATTTATTTTTGAGATGGAGTCTTGCTCTGTCTCTATTTTGTAGAGATGGGGGTCTTGCTCTGTGGCCCAGGCTGGTATCCATCTCCTGGCCTCAAGTGATCTGCCTGCCTCAGCCTCCCAAAGTGCTGGGATTACAGGCATGAGCCACTGCGCCTGACCAGATAACTTGAACTTCATCACAATTAAAAACTTTTGTGCATCAGACACTATCAAGAAAGTTGAATGGCAGCCTATACAATGAGAGAAAATACTTACAAATCATATATCTGATAAAGGGTCTAGTATTGAGATCATACAAAAACTCTTCCAACTCTAGAATAAAAAGCAAATTTTAAAACGGGCAATGGATTTGAATAGGCATTTCTCAGAAGAAAATATACAGATAGCCAGTTACACATGAAAAGATGCTCAACATCATTGTCATTAAGGAAATGCAGGGCTGGGTGGGGTGGCTCATACCTTTAATCCCAGCAGTTTGGAAAGTTAATACCGGAGGATAGTTTGAGGCCAGGAGTTCAAGACCAACCTGGGCAACATACGGAGACCCCCTATCTCTACAAAGAAGAATTTTAAAAATGTAGCCAGGCACGGTGGTATGATCATGCCACAGCCTGGGCAACATAGTGAGACCCTGTCTCTTTAAAAAGCAAACAAAAAAAGGAAATGTGTATCCTAACCACAATGAGATATTACTTCACGCTCATTAGGAAGGATGGGTGTAATCAAAAAGGTGGACAATTAACAAATGTTGGTGTGAGTCTAGAGAAATTGCTGGTGGAATGTGAAATAGTGCAGCCACTGTGGAAGACAGATTAGCAGTTCTTCAGAAAGTTAAATAGAGTTACTATATGACCCATGAGTTCCCCTGCTAGATGTATACCCAAGAGAGCTGACACATTTTCACACAAAAATGTGTACATAAGTGTTCATAGCAGCATTATTAGTAAAAGCTCAAAAATGGAAACAGCCCAAATGCCTATTAACTGATTAATGGATAAATAAAACATGATGTGGCCATACAGTGAAATATCAGTTTGCAAAAAAATGAAGTACTAATACATGTTACAACATGGATGAACCTCAATAACTGGACTCAAAAGATCACAAAAAGGACACAAAGACAGAAAGAAGGTTAGTGGTTTCCAGGAACTCAGAGAAGTGGGGAATGGTAGGTGACTGCTAATAGATACAGAGTTTCTTTTGGGGAAATATTCTGGAATTAGTGGTGATGATTGTACAACCATAACCTCTGAGTTGTGCTCTGGAAGGGCGAATTTTACAATGTAAATTCTATCTCAACAGAGTAGTATAACCAGCCCCCATGGAATCACCATACAGCTTCAAATATTAATTCAGATTGGTACTGTGTCATTTATATCCTTATGTACTTCCCCTCCCTTTGTATTCATTTGAAGCATAACCGAGACATCATATCATGTCATCTGTTAATATTTCAGTAAATACTCTAAAGGATAAGGACTTTAAAAAAAAAAAAAGACCATAGTACTGTTGTCATATCTTAAAATACCATAATTCTTTAACATCATCAAATATCAAATTAGCATTCAAATTTCCAATTTTAGCACCCACCCTAGAAGGGAATTTATTTAATCTGATAAAACGTGTCTATAAAAAGGCCTACAGCAAGCATCGTACTTCATGGTGAAATATTAACAGCTTTCTACCCAAGATTGGCAACAAGACATAGTTACTTATTATCGTAGAGGTCCTAGCCAGTGCAGTAAGGCAAGAAAAAAGAAAACAGGTAATAATTAAAAAGGAAAAAATTGAGCTGTCATTTTTTTTATTCTTTTTTTTTGTTTTGAGATGAAGTGTCGCTCTGTCACCCAGGCTGGAGTGTAGTGGCTCAATCTCGGCTCACTGCAGTCTCCACCTCCTGGGTTCAAGTGATTCTCCTGCCTCAGCCACCTGAGTGCTGGGATTACAGGCACATACCACACCCAGCTAGTTTTTGTATTTTCAGTAGAGATGGGGTTTTACCATGTTGGCCAGGCTAGTCTCAAACTCCTGACCTCAGGTGATGTGCCCACCTCAGCCTCCCAAAGTGCTGGGATTACACAGGCGTGAGCCACCGCGCCTGGCCTATTATTTTTTTTAAAATGCACTATCAGCAGAATCATAAATTGTCATTATTTACAGATGAGGTAATTATATAAATAGAAAATCCAAAAGAATTTATAAATGGACCAGCAAGTACTTAACAGATGAACTTAGTAAAGTCTCATGATAGAAGGTCAGTATGTAAAATTTAATTGTACTTTTATATATTATTAACAAGCCAATTTTAAAAATATATTAAAAATTAATATTATTTTAAAGTAACATGTAAAGCATCAAATACTTAAGAATAAATCTAACAAAAATGTGTAAGACCACTCTACAGATAAGTGTAAAATATTATTAAGAGAAATTTGAAGGCCTTTAAATAAATAAATGAGCAGTTGTGCTCATGAGTTGGAAGACTTGGTGTTATAAAAAATGTGAATGCTCATTACATTGACTATAGATTCTGTGCAATCCCATATTTATTGTTAGCAAAATTGCCACGTGATTTTAAAATTTATGTGGAAACACAGAGTACCTGTAACAGCCAAAGCGATCTTGAAGAACCAAGCAGAGAGACTGTACTACCTGGTGGAAGAGTTACCGTAAAGCAGCGGTAATTAAGGCAGTGTGGTAGAAGCAGATTCATACATAAATGGATACTTGAATAAAGAATCTTAACCCTTAATGTATGCCATTCATGGAAAATCCATTCTGAATGCCCTGCAGATCCAAATGTGAAAAGTAAAACAGTAAAATTTCTAAATAGGAAAATATCTTCATGACTTGGAGATTGGCAAAGATTTCTTAAATGGTTGTGTGCCTCTTTTAAAGTATCTCTTGTGCTCCATAAATATATACACCTACTATGTACCCAGAAATTAAAAATTTAAGTTTTCTTAATTGGGAAACAAAAAGCACTAAGTATAAAGCAAAAAGACTGATAAATTGGTTACTTAAAAATCTGTTTCATTAAAGACAGTATTGCTGGGTTCCGTGGCTCTGGCCTGTAATCCCAGCACTTTGGGAGGCCAGAGTGAGAGGACTGCATGAGCCCAGAGTTTGAGACCAGCCTGAGCAACATGGTGAAACTCTGTCTCTACAAAAAATATGAAAAATTAGCTGGGTGTGGTGATGCAGGCCTGTGGTCCCAGCTACTTTGGAGACTGAGGCGAGAGGATCGCTTGAGCCCAGGAGCTTCAGGCTGCAGTGAGCCATGTTCACGCCACTGCACTCCAGGCTGGGTGACAGAGCAAGGTCCTGTCTCAAATAAATAAATAAACAAGCATACAATATTAAGAGTATGAACTGGCAAACCATGGAAAAGTAAAAAAATTGATAATACATACGTCTGACAGTGTATCCAGAATATGTAAAGAAGTCACACAGAGCAACAAAGAAAAGCCAGTGGAATAAAAAAAAATATGTAAGATACTTAATCTGCCATGTCTCAAAGATGACGTCTGAATGAACTAAAAACAATGAAAAGGTGCTTAACTTCGCTTAGTAATCAGGGACGTGAAAATGAAAATCTCAGTGAGATACCAGTACCTTGACAGTGCCAATACCGAGTATCTGTGTGAATGTGGAACAACGGTGATAGTTAGCACAGCTAGTGCTTTCAAAGCTGGCTTGGCAGTATTAGCTAAAGCATAGCAAATGATACAGCCATTTTACTTCTAGGTGTTTACCCTACACAAATACTTGTAAATCTGCCCAAAAGGGCTAAATATTTGTAGCAGCTCGCAACAGCCCTATGAGTAAAAGGTTAGCAAAGCCCTTTTCCCATTTTCATAAGTATTTGAATTCTATTAACTTCTTAATTTCCCTTTCCCTTAACCTAATGAGAGCAAAATATCAACTAAATGCCTAGGCAGCATTGTTTATAATTAAAATGACCCTGATTGGTAAATTTTAGATGGGCTGTGAAGAGCTGTTAATGAATTATAAATGCCCAATCGGGATGCCGTACTTTCATGCTTTGCTGAATGTGGTGACTCATAAGCCTGGATGTATCCTTTGCAGGGACCCTGGAAACTCTGCCCAGAGCGTTGTTACAAAGGATATTGGTTCCCATGGGGCCTGAGGCTTCTGAGCCAAGGCACCTCCTTTCCATGCCCCTGTGACTAGACAATAGTCACAACGGCCATGGGGAGAAAATGCCTCCAGATGGCTCCATGAACTGCTGCCAGGACTTACATTGAGGAGGGACAGTTGATGCTGTCCTCCTGGCAATTTGTTGTTATTGTCTTTTTTCAGCCCAGACCTTTCCATAGAACCTCAGACTTTAGCTGCTGATTCCACATTTCTACTTTGTCTAATAGTCATTTCCAGAACGAAACTCTTGATTTTTCTGCCCCTAAACCTTCTCTTCCTGTAGTCTTCCCCATCCCCACTAGTGGCTCCTCTATTCTTCTGGTTGCTCAAATCAGAAACCTTGATTCTTCTCCTCTTACACTTCACATTCAATCCATTAGTAATCTTCTGGCTGCTCCTTGAAATATATCCTGAATTTGGCCATTTTCACTGCTATTGCCCTGATACAAGTCATCATCATGTCTCTCCGGGACTTCTGTGTTGGCCTCCTAAGCAGTCTCCCTCCTGCTTAGTCTATCCTACAGCTGGAATGATCCCTCTATCATGTTAGTTCATATTACTGCTCTGTCCAAAAACCCCTAAAACTTTTTTCTCACTGATTAAACTCCCAAATCTTTGTGCCCTGCAAGCGTGCAAATACCAACTCTCTGACCTCTTCTCCTACGACCGTTGCCCCTTGCCACCTCTACTTAAGCCACAGTGTCCTCCTTGCTATTCTTCAGATACTCAGAAAATGTTCCTGACTCGGGACTTTTGCATTCGCTATTCTTTCCACATGGAACATTCATCTTTCGTGGCTATTCATTTTCCTTCTCTTACTCTCTTATGGAAAATAGTACCCCATTCCCCTACTTTCAATTCACCTTGCCCTAGCTTATCACCTGACACATTTACTTGATAATTTGTGCCTTATCTTTCTCTCTTTCATAGAATGTAAACTCCTTGAAGGCTGTTGTCCTTTTTGCTCACTGCTGCCTGTCGGTAAAATTTCACAATCCTGAGAATAAACAAAATACCTTAAAGCTTTCAGAGAGAAGAAAAACCCAGGTCAAAATCAAAGTAGTGGCAATTTGAGTAATATACTTCCCATTAGCATTCCTAGAAGCTAGAAGACAGTGGACAAGTGCTTACCGAAAAATGATATCCAGTCAAAGTAATATAAAGATATTTCTGGCATGCAGTTCTTCCAAACATTTATGACTCATGCATATTTGTTGTTGTTGTTGTTGTCGTTTGAGATGGAGTTTCGCTCTTGTTGTCCGGGCTGGAGTGCAATGGTGTGATCTTGGCTCACTGCAACCACCGCCCCCTGGGTTCAAGCGATTCTCCTGCCTCAGCCTCCCAAGTAGCTGGGATTACAGGCATGCGCCACCACGCCCAGCTAATTTTGTATTCTTAGTAGAGATAGGGTTTCTACATGTTGGTCAGGCTGGTCTTGAACTCCTGACCTCAGGTAATCCACACACCTCGGCCTCCCAAAGTGCTAGGATTACAGGTGTGAGCCACCGTCTCCGGCCACGTGTTTTTAAATAAAGCCCCTGGAGGATGTGCTTAAAGAAAATGAGGGAATACACCAAGGCAGAGAAAGATTAAGAACCCAGTGACTAATGAATCAGCCTGAGAGAAAAGCAAAGGAAATTCTGAGGATGCTGGAGAAGGATGATGCATGTACAGAGAAAATAGCCAGTCCCTGATGGAAACAGGAAAATGAAAAGACTGCAAGATGAATGTCTCACTGGACACAGCAGAACATTTTGAGAGGAGATTTACATTTCTAGTAAAGAGATTGAGGATTAATTAATAATGGGTGTATAGGAAAATAGGCCTATGAAATAAGTGACTTAACTATAGAGCAAACTAAAAGTCGTATAGGAAAATAAATACAATATTCTGTGTCTCAGTATATATAACTTTTTACATAGTCAATAATGTGAATACTGAGTATCTAACAACATGATGATTTAACTGTATGGGGAGGAGTGGGACCAGGAAGATGGGTATGAGAATTCATTCCTCATCTTTTATAGTGTAAGTTACTACAGAATATCTAAAAGTGACAAGTCAAGAAATGACAGTTTAAGCATGTAGTTTAAAAATATGGAGGTAATTAACGTAAGCAAAAAGAATTGAAAGTGCCCGCTTCTGGGGAGTGGGTGGGGCTTTGGACAGGGAATTTCTTGTTTTGATTTTTTAAACTAACTTTATAGAACCGTTTGACTCAACATAGCTTTGACTTAAAATTTTAAGGGTGAATAAAAGAGGAAGTAGATTAAACGAGCTATAGACTAAATTTTCTTTTTTTTTTTCAAAAACCAGTAACATAGTCATTTATTATCAATATCAAGTATGTATTGCACATAATCGTATGTACTATACTTTTTTTTAATTATTATACTTTAAGTTATGGGTTACATATGCAGAACGTACAGTTTTGTTACATAGGTATACATGTGCCATGGTGCTTTGCTGCACCCATCAACCTGTCACCTACATTAGGTATTTCTCCTAATGTTATCCCTCCCCTAGCCCCCCACCCCCAAAAGGCCCCAGTGTGTGATGTTCCCCTCCCTGTGACCATGTGTTGTCATTGTTCAACTACCACGTATGAGTGAGAACATGTGGTGCTTGGTTTTCTGATCTTGTGATAGTTTGCTGAGAATGATGGTTTCCAGCTTCATCCATGTCCCTGCAAAAGACATGAACTCATCCTTTTTTATGGCTGCATAGTATTCCACAGTGTATATGTGCCACATTTTCTTAATCCAGTCTATCATTGATGGACATTTGGGTTGGTTCCAAGTCTTTGCTATTGTGAATAGTGCCACAATAAATATACATGTGCATGTGTCTTTATCATATAATGATTTATAATCCTTTAGGTATATGCCTAGTGATGGGATTGCTGGGTCAAATGGTATTTCTAGTTCTAGATCCTTGAGGAATCATCACAGTGTCTTCCACAATGGTTGAACTAATTTACACTCCCACCAACAGTGTAAAAGCATTGCTATTTTTCCACAACCTCTTTAGCATCTGTTGTTTCTTGACTTAATGGATATTAGCCCTTTGTCACATGGATAGATTGCAAAAATGTTCTCCCATTCTGTAGGTTGCCTGTTCACTCTGATGATAGTTTCTTTTGCTGTGCAGAAGCTCTTTAGTTGAATTAGATCCCATATGTCAATTTTGGTTTTTGTTGCCATTGCTTTTGGTGCCATTGCTTTGCCCATGCCTATGTCCTGAATGGTATTAATACAGCCCAGGTTTTCTTCTAGGATTTTTATCATCCTAGGTCTTACGTTTAAGCCTTTGATCCATCTTGAGTTTATTTTTGTATAAGGTGTAAGGAACGGGTCCAGTTTCAGTTTTCTGCATATGGCTAGCCAGTTTTCCCAACACCATTTATTAAATAGGGAATCTTTTCCCCATTGTTTACGTGTGTCAGGTTTGTCAAAGATCAGATGGTGGTAGACATCTGGTGATATTTTTGAGGACTCCATTCTGTTCCATTGGCCTGTATATCTGTTTTGGTACCAGTACCACGCTGTTTTGGTTACTTTAGCCTTGTAGTATAGTTCGAAGTCGGGTAGCATGATGCCTCCAACTTTGTGCTTCTTGCCCAAGATTTTCTTGGCTATGCTAGCTCTTTTTTGGCTCCATATGAAGTTTAAAGTCGTTTTTACCAATTCTGTGAAGAAAGTCAGTGGCAGCTTGATGAGGATAGCATTGACTCTATAAATTACTTTGGGTAGTAAGGCCATTTTCACGATATTGATTCTTCTATCCACGAGCATGGAATGTTTTTGCATTTGTTTGTGTCCTCTCTTATTTCCTTGAGCAGTGGTTTGTAGTTCTCCTTGAAGAGGTCCTTCACAGCCATTGTGAGTTGGATTCCTAGGTATTTTATTATTTTTGAAGCAATTGTGAATGGGAGTTCACTCATGATTGGGCTCTCTGTTTGTCTGTTATTGATTTATAGGAATGCTTGTGATTTTTACACACTGATTTTGTATCCTGAGACTTTGCTGAAGTTGCTTATCAGCTTAAGGAGATTTTGGGCTGAGATGACGGGCTTTTCTAAATATACAGTCATGTCATCTACAAAGAGGGACAATTTGACTTCTTCTCTTCCTATTTGAATACCCTTTATTGCTTTCTCTTGCCTGATTGCCCTGGCCTGAACTTCCAATACTATGTTGAATAGGAGTGGTGAGAGAGGGCATCCTTGTCTTTTGCTGGTTTTCAAAGGGAATGCTTCTAGTTTTTGCCCATTCAGTATGATATTGGCTGTGGGTTTGTCATAAATAGCTCTTAGTATGTTGCGATATGTTCCATCGATACCGAGTTTATTGAGAGTTTTTAGTTTGCAAGGCTGTTGAAGTTTGTCAAAGGCCTTTTCTGCATCTATTGTGATAATCATGTGGTTTTTATTACTGATTCTGTTTATGTGATGGATTACGTTTATTGATTTGCATATGTTGAACCAGCCTTGCATCCCAGGGATGAAGCCAACTTGATGGTGGTGGATAAGCTTTTTGATGTGCTGCTGGATTTGGTTTGCCAGTATTTTATTGAGGATTTTCAGCTAGATGTTGATCAGGGATATTGGTCTAAAATTCCCTTTTTTTGTTGTGTGCCAAGCTTTGGTATCAGGATGATGCTGACCTCATAAAATGAGTTAGGGAGGATTCTCTCTTTTTCTATTGATTGGAATAGTTTCAGAAGGAATGGTACCAGCTCCTCTTTGTACCTCTGGTAGAATTCGGCCGTGAGTCCACCTGGTCCTGGACTTTTTTTGGTTGATAGGCTATTAATTATTGCCTCAATTTCAGAACCTGTTATTAGTCTATTCAGAGATTCAACTTCTTCCTGGTTTAGTCTTGGGAGGGTGTATGTGTCCAGGAATTTATCCATTTCTTCTAGATTTTCTAGTTTATTTGCATAGAGGTGTTTATAGTATTTTCTGATGGTAGTTTGTATTTCTGTGGGATCGGTGGTGATAGCCCCTTTATTATTTTTTATTGTGTCTATTTGATTCTTGTCTCTTCTTTATTAGTCTTGCTAGCAGTCTATCTATTTTGTTGATCTTTTCAAAAAAACAGCTCCTGGATTCATTGGTTTATTTTGAAGGGTTTTTTGTGTCTCTGTCTCCTTCAGTTCTGCTCCGATCTTAGTTACTTCTTGTCTTTTGCTAGCTTTTGAAATTGTTTGCTCTTGCTTCTCTAGTTCTTTTAATTATGATGTTAGGGTGTCAATTTTAGATCTTTCCTGCTTTCTCTTGTGGGCATTTAGTGCTGTAAATTTCCCTCTACACACTGCTTTGAATGTGTCCCAGAGATTCTGGTGTGTTGTGTCTTTGTTCTCATTGGTTTCAAAGAACATCCTTATTTCTGCCTTCATTTCGTTATGTACCCAGTAGTCATTCAGGAGCAGGTTGTTCAGTTTCCATGTAGTTGAGCAAGTTTGAGTGAGTTTCTTAATCCTGAGTTCTAGTTTGATTGCACTGTGGTCTGAGAGACAGTTTGTTACAATTTCTGTTCTTTTACATTTGCTGAGGAGTGCTTTACTTCCAACTATGTGGTCAGTTTTGGAATAGGTGTGGTGTGGTGCTGAAAAGAATGTATATTCTGTTGATCTGGGGTGGAGAGTTCTGTAGATGTCTATTAGGTCTGCTTGGTGCAGAGCTGAGTTCAATTCCTGGATATCCTTCTTAACTTTCTGTCTCGTTGATCTGTCTAATGTTGACAGTGTGGTGTTAAAGTCTCCCATTATTATTGTGTGAGAGTCTAAGTCTCTTTGTAGGTCTCTAAGAACTTGCTTTATGAATCTGGGTGCTCCTGTATTGGGTGCATATATGTTTAGGATAGTTAGCTCTTCTTGTTGAATTGATCCCTTTACCGTTATGTAATGGCTTTCTTTGTCTCTTTTGATCTTTGTTGGTTTAGGTTTAGAGTCTGTTTTATCAGAGACTAGGATTGCAACCCCTGCCTTTTTTTGTTTTCCATTTGCTTGGTAGATCTTCCTCCATCCCTTTATTTTGAGACTATGTGTGTCTCTGCACGTGAGAGGGGTTTCCTGAATACAGCACACTGATGGGTCTTGACTCTTTATCCAGTTTGCCAATCTGTGTCTTTTAATTGGAGCATTTAGCCCCTTTACATTTTTTAAAATTATACTTTAAGTTTTAGGGTACATGTACACAACGTGTAGGTTAGTTACATATGTATACATGTGCCATGTTGGTGTGCTGCACCCATTAACTTGTCATTTAACATTAGGTATATCTCCTAATGCTATCCCTGCCTTCATTTCGTTATTTACCCAGTAGTCATTCAGGAGCAGGTTGTTCAGTTTCCATGTAGTTGTGCGGTTTTGAGTGAGATATTTAATCCTGAGTTCTACTTTGATTGCACTGTGGTCTGAGAGACAGTTTGTTGTGATTTCTCCTCTTTTACATTTGTTGAGGAGTGTTCTACTTCCAATTATGTGATAAATTTTAGAATAAGTGCAATGTGGTGCTGAGAAGAATGTATATTCTGTTGATTTGGGGTGGAGAGTTCTGTAGATGTCTATTAGGTCTGCCCGCTCCAGAGCTGAGTTCAAGTCCTGGATATCCTTGTTAATTTTCTGTCTCGTTGATATGTCTATTATTGATGGTGGGGTGTTAAAGTCTCCCATTATTATTGTGTGAGAGTCTAAGTCTCTTTGTAGGTCTCTAAGAACTTGCTTTATGAATCTGGGTGCTCCTGTATTGGGTGCATATATATTTAGGATAGTTAGCTCTTCTTGTTGAATTGATCCCTTTACCATTATGTAATGGCTTTCTTTGTCTCTTTTGATCTTTGTTGGTTTAAAGTCTGTTTTATCAGAGACCAGGATTGCAACCCCTGCTTTTTTTTTTCTTTTGCTTTCCATTTGCTTGGTAGATCTTCCTTCATCCCTTTATTTTGAGCCTATGTGTGTCTTTGCACATGAGATGCGTCTCCTGAATACAGCATACTGATGGGTCTTGACTCTATGCAGTTTGCCAGTTTGTGTCTTTTAACTGGGGCATTTAGCCCATTTACATTTAAGGTTAATATTGTTATGTGTGAATTTGATCCTGTCATTATGATGCTAGCTGGTTATTTCGACCGTTAATTGATGCAGTCTCTTCATAGTGTCAATGGTCTTTACAATTTGGCATGTTTTTGCAGTGGCTGGTACCGGTTGTTCCTATCCATGTTTAGTGCTTCCTTCGGGAGTTCTTGTAAGGCAGGCCTGGTGGTGACAGAAGCTCTCAGCATTTGCTTGTCTGTAAAGTATTTTATTTCTCCTTCACTTATGAAGCTTAGTTTGGCTGGATATGAAATTCTGGGTTGAAAATTCTTTTCTTTAAGAATGTTGAATATTGGCCCCCACTCTCGTCTTGCTTGTAGGGTTTCTGCAAAGAGATCTGCTGTTAGTCTGTTGGGCTTCCCTTTGTGGGTAACCCGACCTTTCTCTCTGGCTGCCCTTAACATTTTTGCCTTCATTTCAACCTTGGTGAATCTGACAATTATGTGTCTTGGGGTTGCTCTTCTTGATGAGTATCTTTGTGGTGTTCTCTGTATTTCCTGAATTTGAATGTTGGCCTGCCTTGCTAGGTTGGAGAAGTTCTCCTGGATAATATCCTGAAGATTGTTTTCTAACTTGGTTCCATTCTCCCTGTCACTTTCAGGTATACCAATCAAATGCAGATTTGGTCTTTTCACATAGTGCCATATTTCTTGGAGGTTTTGTTCGTTTCTTTTCACTCTTTTTTTATCTAATCTTGTCTTCTGGCTTTATTTCATTCATTTGATCTTCAATCACTGATCATTTCTTCCGCTTGATCAAATCGACTATTGAAGCTTACGTATGCTTCACGAAGTTCTCGTACTGTGGTTTTCAGCTCCATCAGGTCATTTAAGCTCTTCTCTACACTGGTTATTCTAGTTAGCCATTTGTCTAACCTTTTTTCAAGGTTTTTAGCTTCCTTTTGATGGGTTAGAACATGCTCGTTAAGCTCAGAGAAGTTTGTTATTACCGACCTTCTGAAGCCTACTTCTGTCAACTTGTCAAATTCGTTCTCCTTCCAGTTTTGTTCCCTTGCTGGTGAGGAGTTGTGTTCCTTTGGAGAAGAGGCATTCTGGTTTTTGGAATTTTCAGCCTTTCTGCTCTGGTTTCTCCCCATCTTCTACCTTTGGTCTTTGATGTTGGTGACCTACGAATGGGGTCTTGGTGTGGATGTCCTTTTTGTTGATGTTGATGTTGATGCTATTCCTTTCTGTTTGTTAGTTTTCCTTCTAAGAGACAGGCCCCTCAGCTGCAGGTCTGTTGGAGTTTGCTGGAAGTCCATTCCAGACCCTGTTTGCCTGGGTATCACCAGCGGAGGCTGCAGAACAGCAAATATTGCTGCCTGATTCTTCCTCTGGAAGCTTCGTCCCAGAGGGGCACCTGCCTGTATGAGATATCTGTTGGCCCCTACTGGGAGGTGTCTCCCAGTAGGCTGACTATATTTTCAAGGAGCTTGACTGAAGGAAATTTTTCCCTTCATCCCCTAGCCCACACCCTAATCCTGTAATTACTTTATTCTAAGTATCTCAAGTATATCCCATCTTTTTTCATTCAAATAAGTTCTTGCCTCTTGGTCTACTAACCTCCCTAAATCCTGCCCTTCTCCAGTGTAATCAGATGTGATCTTTTGAGTTCTTTGGTCAAAATTATCCATTAACCTTCCATTTCCTTTAAGATAAAATTCAAAACCTTTAATATGAACTGCGGTATTCAATGTGATCTGACCCCTGCGCCCCATCTCATCTTTCATACCTTCAACTCCAGCTATTCTGAACTCTGTTTCCATAGGTTATCATTTATTCTTTGTGTCCTTTCTACTTTTGTACACTTAGAAGCCCAATCTCCGTCAGTTCATCTGACTAAATTGCTTCTTATCCCTGAGGATCAAGCCCAGGATGACTGGACTGCTACCAAGACTCCCTGTCCCTCCTCTTACCACTCACCAAAATGTGTTCTTCCTTTGTGTTCTGTAAAATCTCCTGCATGCTTGTTATCACATTTATCACACTATATTTTTATTGTTTATTCCCTTTCCAACCTGACTCTTCCTTCTTTTGTCCTCCTGTGGTTGAGCTTCTTGACTTGCTGAGACAATGGTCTTTTTTTTTTTTTCCTTCCTTCACCTTTCTCATCCCCATTACCTAGAAGGATGTCCAGATTATAGTAGTTACTCATTACACGTTTGGGATGGATGAACAGATAGATTCATGGATGGATGTCTTAAGATTTGAGGCCAGGCGCGATGACTCACGTCTGTAATTCCAGCACTTTGGGAGGCTGGAAGCCAGCAGATCACGAGGTCAGGAGATCGAGACCATCCTGGCCAACATGGTGAAACCCCATCTCTACTAAAAATTCAAAAATGTAGCTGGATGTGGTGGCGCACACCTGTAATCCCAGCTAGTACGGAGGCTGAGGCAGGAGAATTGCTTGAACCCGGGGGGCGGAGGTTGCAGTGAGCCGAGATCACACTTGCATCACTGTACTTCTAGCCTGGGCAAAAATTTTTTTTTTTTTTTTTAATATGGATTCTCGCTCTGTCACCCAGGCGGAGGCTTCAGTGAGTCGAGATCGCGCCACTGCACTTCAGCCTGGGTGACAGAGCAAGACTCCGTCTGAGAAAAAAAAAAAAAAGAAATAAAAGACCAGAAAGTAGATTAATGGTTGCCAGAAGATGAGGGTAGAGAGGATAAAGTGTGACAGAATGGGTGTGGGCTTCTGTTTGGGGTGATAATGTTCTATAATTAGGCAATGGTGGTTGTTGCCCATCCTTGTGAATAAAGTAAAAAACCACTGAATTGTACACTTTAGAGAGGTAAATTTTATGGTATATGAATTATATATCAATTTGAAATGAACAAAAAAAAGATGAGATACAGTAAAATGTTTAGCATTTGACAATACTGTCATGGTTCTTAGGGAAGAGACTTGTTCATAAGGAAATTTATGCCTGTCAGAACAAGTAAGTTTTCAAATTAAAAGGTGAAGACATTCAAAAAATCTAAATGGTCATCTAAACGTCTGTTGGCGGAAAATCTATTTCTAGCTCAATTGTAGGACATCTGACTTTGCATTCGATAAAATAGTAAGGAAATATTCTGCTTATAGTTTTAATTTTTCTGGCTTTTGTTACTGTTTGTCCTAAATTTTTGTGATACCAGAAAGCTTTTCTTTTCTTTCTTTCTTTCTTTCTTTTTTTTTTTTTTTTTAAAAAAAAAAGGTTCAAGTTATTCTCCTGCCTCAGCCTCCAGAGTAGCTGGGATTACAGGCATGCACCACCACGCCTGGCTAATTTTTATATTTTTAGTAGAGACCGGGTTTCCCCATGTTAGCCAGACCAGTCTTGAACTCCTGACCTCAGGTTATCCACCTACCTTGGCCTCCCAAAGTGCTGGCATTACAGGCATGAGCCACCATGCCCAGCCTAAAAACTCAGTTATTGATGGTAGCCGAGAGATGAGAGCTTTTACTCATATTTTTGTTTTTGAGGAGGGAGGAGAAGAAATCCTACCCATCCTTTGTGTTTTCTTCAGATCTTCCTCAGCACTCATACAGAATTAACTGCATGCTTCCATGTCATTTCTAATGTACTTTTTATATGCCTCTGTCCTTCTAAAAAGCAGATCTGGTCGTGTCACCCCCTACTTTCTCTTCTGCGATTCCCCGTTATTCTTGGGTTAAAGTTCAGTCATGGCTTACAAAGGCTTTCTGATCTGGCCTGGCTTGAGGCTCCTCGGTCAGTCCTCCATTGGACTTCTGGTTCCCTCCACCCCTTGCTTCCATGGATGCGGTGTCATCTGCCTAAAAAAGTCTTCTCCCTACCCTTGAATCTGGCTAACTGCTTCTAGCCTTTCAGGTTTCATCTTAGCATTTTCTATGGTAAATCTTCCCTGACCAAACTCCCCATCCCTCCCCAGTTTGGAATATTCCTCCCCTATACTGCTGTGGTACCCAGTGATGCCATTAGCCAATTACTTGATCATACTCCCTGCCATTGACTGTAGCTGCCACTGGACAGTCTTTGTCCTTCTCCTTATGTTTTATCCACCAGTTCCTAACACTGTGTCTGGAACACAGTATGTACTCAGTAAACATTTGCTTGTTTCTTCTAATAGCCTATCTGTGAAACGCATTGCCAAGCAGATATTTAACTGAATCAGTGATTGATGACTGTATTTTTTTGTCTAGGAGTATATAGTAGCCAGAGAGGAATGTACCCCCCTCCAAAAATGAATATATACATACATCTTCATGTTCTACATCATCCCAAGTCTCTGCTCTATCTCACCAACTGAACAATTTAAGGCTCATTTTTGCTTAGTTTCAGAAATTGGATCACTTATCAAAATATTTTTATGGAAGCTTCAAAAATAAAGTAATATTTAGTCATTATCTGCAAGAATAGGCTTTAGATATTTTCTAGTGTAACATGTGTTAAAACAGTTGTATAAAGTGGACCTTATGGGCTGGGTGCAGTGGCTCACTCTTGTAATGCCAGCACTTTGGGAAGCCAAGGTGGGTGGATCACCTGAGGGCAGGAGTTCAAGACCAGCCTGACCAACATGGAGAAACCCCATCTCTACTAAAAATACAAAATTAGCCAGGCATGGTGGCACATGCCTGTAATCCCAGCTACTCGGGAGGCCGAGGCAGGAGAATTGCTTGAACCTGGGAGGCAGAGGTTGTGGTGAGCCGAGATCGCGCCATTGCACTGCAGCCTGGGCAATAAGAGGGAAACTCTGTCTCAAAAAAAAAAAAAAAAAGTAGACCTTATAGTGTATGTGTCAAGTGTTTTAAGGGAATCAAGAGGCTGGGCATGCTGGCTCGCACTTGTAATCCCAGCACTTTGGGAGGCCAAGGCAGGGGAATTGCTTGAGGCCAGGAGTTCAAGACCAGCCTGGCAGCACAGTGAGATCCCATCTCTACAAATTTTTTTTTTTTTTTTTGAGACAGAGTCTTGCTCTGTTGCCCATCCTGGAGTGCAGTGGCGCTATCTCGGCTCACTGCAACCTCTGCCTACGGTGTTCACGCCGTTCTCCTGCCTCAGTCTCCCGAGTAGCTGGGACTGCAGGCGCCTGCCACCACGCCGGCTAATTTTTTGTATTTTTTAGTAGAAACGGGGTTTCACTGTGTTAGCCAGGATGGTCTCGATCTCCTGACCTCGTGATCCGCCCGCCTCTGCCTCCCAAAGTGCTGGGATTACAGGCGTCAGCCACCGCGCCTGGCAATTTTTTTTTAAATGAATGAATGAATGAAGATAAATATGCCTAGAAACTAGAACCTGGGCGACTCTCCTCCATGAAACCGATCTATGAAAGCACTGTTGATTGTGAGATCTGAGACTGAATCCACCAAATCTGAGCTTCTGGATTAGACTTTTTGGTTCAAGCAGAATTTAGCTCATATAACCTATTTATATTTTCCTTGAAAACCTTACCAAGGATCTTAATTTTTCATTTTTTCTTGACTTTTTAATGGTTTTTAATTTATAGCTCTAAAAAAATTGTCATTTAAGAATCGCTTGAACCCGAGAGGTGGAGGTTGCAGTGAGCCACGATCACGCCGTTGCACTCCAGCCTGGGCAACAAGAGTGAAACTCTGTCTCAAAAAAAAAAAAAAAAAAAAAAAAAATTGTCCTTTAGTAAAAACGACAAAAATATATCTGAATAGTCATCCTTTTATTTGGCTTGCATTTTTTTCCTTTTATCTAGGAATGTGATGGCATTTTATCCTACTTTGTTTGTTATCTGATGTGAATATGCTTTGTCTGACTCTGTATAATTGGCTTTTGTCATTTAACGTTGATAATAAATTTCGTACTGTTCTAACTGGAGTTTTTCTTTGTTTTTTTTTTTCCTCTCCTATCTAGTTGTTGTGGAATTATAAGCTGAACCTAACTACAGATCCCAAATTTGAATCTGTGGCCAGAGAGGTTTGCAAATCTACTATAACAGAGGTAAGTTGTCAAAGAATTTTGTAGACAACTAATGGCTTAGAGGAGAAAATTACCAGACCAGCCCTTATGAGAAGAATGACTCAGTTACATTACTTTTCTTAGAATTCACATCTGTCTTGGTTGAAAATTAGGAAGTTGGGGGGTGTAATTAGACTCTTTTTGTTAATGTCCACCTACGCTTACATTAGGATACTATTGATTGAGGCAGTTGGAAATCAGGTTCTATTGGTCTCAAAACAGCAAGTAAAAGTGCTGAGGTATCAGTGCTACTCTCACACATTGGACAACATGCTGTGTCTGAAGCATATCAGCCTGGTTACAGGAGGTCTGTCAGCATTCCTGTTTTGGCTATGCAGCTGGATCAATTGACCCACAGAGGTATATACTTCAAATAATAGGAGTTAGTGTTAAAAAGGTTAAGATTTTAAAAATTATTTATCTTGGCCCAGTGTAAACAACAAATAATATTAGTGAAAATTGTGGTACTTTAAATTTCTTTTTTTTTTAACGGTTTTTTTTTTTTTTGAATCAATAATAGAAACTCCAGGAAGCCAGAGTTTCTGCATACTGAAATATGAGAATCACAGAGAAAACAGTTGCTATTTTTCCACCCCAGAATTAACAGTCATAGATCTCACACCATACTAATTGTCCTCAAGCTGGCCCTATTGATGAATTAAGTCAGGGCCACATTCTTCAGAGCTCTTAAGGAAGACCCTGTCTCATCCAGATAAACCATCAGCCTGTGTTCCTTGTGTCATTATGGGGACTCGTAGAACCTGTTTTCTCAAACTTTCTAATACTAGATCAGTTATGTTTTATTCTTTTAAAGCAGTGACCCCTCATATTTACCTTGGGGCTTCCGAGCAGAAAGGCATATCGTTGAAAAATTTATCTTTAGCTCCTAGCTTTAATATTCTACATCTCAAACTCCCTTAGCTAGCTATAGGACTAAACCTCTAACTTTAAAATATCAAGGGCAAAGATGTTTGCTTAATAACTGAACTAAATACTAACAAATTATTCCTAGGCTTGAACTTTAAATGTTTGTATTTTCCCTCTATATTGTGGTACTATACAATTGTAAGTAGATTTTTTTTTTTGAGATGGAGTCTTGCTCTGTCGCCCACGCTGGAGTGCAGTGGTGCCACCTTGGCTCTCTGCAACCTCTGCCTCCTGGGTTCAAGCAGTTCTCCTGCCTCAGCCTCCCAAGTAACTGGGATTACAGGCACATGCCACCAGGACTGGCTAATTTTTGTATTTTTAGTAGAGACAGGGTTTTGCCATGTTGGCCAGGCTGGTCTCAAATCCTGACCTCATGTGATCCACCCACCTCAACCTCCCAAAGTGCTGGGATTACAGGCATGAGTCACCGTGCCCGGCCATAAGTAGTTTTTTTTTAAAAAACACATTGGAGAGATACATATATATATACCCGCATATGTTTGTTTTGCCCCATTTTGTGTCCCATTAAATACATACCAGTTTGATTGGCCCAGGGAAATTTAGTTGAGTATGTACATATTCACTAGAATAATTTCACTCTTTGCATTAGGCTGGTTTCCATATAATGTGTGTATCACGATGGTCCTCTGTGACCTTTTGGGGTGTTCTAGTTTTGTAAAAGATTAGCATTAACAAGGACACTTCTCCCTCCCACAGGAAGATTATACTGGAGTCAGGGAAATTAAATATCAGGAAGAACACAGTCTCCAGCAAAACATTTCATTCTGTATTTTCATTCTATCATCTTTCTTAATTTTGGAATCCTACTTCCAGGGAGAAAAACAACATCACAAGAATACCTGTAAACTATTAATACAAACCAAACTTAATCTCCAGGATTGAGCTAAATCCTGCCTGCTTTCCTTCTGGCTCCAGTCAAAAAATAGAGTGACTGCAGCATTTTGCTCATGGTACCTTTTCAATCTGCTCCCCAGCCACTTCAGAGTTTACTCCTATTCTTAAATATGTTGATGATGATTTAGTGCCCCTTTTTTGCTGTTCATCTTAGAAGTTTAGTAAGATAGAAGGAAAAAGTGCTATCCAGCAGAATGAAGAAACATGCAAACTTCTCATTCTAACACCACGCCCTGTTGTAATGGATAGTGAGCTGAAAAATGAGTAGGTGCCACATCTCTGTTTCAGTAAAATCTCAAGTGATTGAAGCTAAAATTTACATTTAGTTTCTTATTGAGGCTACAGTTCAAAATGTGCTCCTGGTTTCTCTTGAGTTTTTTTTTTTTTTTTTTTTTTTGAGACGGAGTCTTGCTCTGTAACCCAGGCTGGAGTGCAGTGGCGCGATCTCTGCTCGCTGCAAGCTCCGCCTCCCAGGTTCATGCCATTCTCCTGCCTCAGCCTCCCAAGTAGCTGGGACTACAGGCACCTGCTACCACACATGGCTAATTTTTTTTTTGTATTTTTAGTAGAGATGGGGTTTCACTGTGTTAGCCAGGATGGTCTCAGTCTCCTGACCTCGTGATCCGCCCGCCTGGGCCTCCCAAAGTGCCGGGATTACAGGTGTGAGCCACCGCTCCTGGCCTCTTGAGATGTTTTAAAACTTTTGGTTGCTCAATATTAGGGCCTGGAAAAATGTTTCTCTGTTTCATTAAGTGGGTGTCTGCCACTAGTCTTGTTTTGTATCCAGTGTTTTTCTGTGGTTGAATTACAAGTGCTGGGATTTTCAAGCATCTATTCCTCCTTTCACTTTTCAAACTTAAGTCTGTTTTGTTCGGCAAAAAAAAAAAAAAAAAAAAATCTTTTCCAGGAAATACAGTCCTGGCCCTCTTTTTTTTTTTTTTTTTTTTTTAAGATGGAGTCTCTCATTGTCACCGGGGCTGAAGTGCAGTGGTGCAATCTTGGCTCACTGCAACCTCCACCTCCTGGGTTCAAGCAATTCTCCTGCCTCAGCCTCCCAAGTAGCTGGGACTACAGATGCGTGGCACCACACTCAGCTAATTTTGGGTTTTTTGTTTATTTGTTTAGAGAAGTAGTCTCGCTCTGTTGCCCAGGGTGGAATGCAATGGCTCAATCTCAGCTCACTGCAACCTCCGCCTGCCGGGTTCTAGCAATTCTCCTGCCTCAGCCTTCCAAGTAGCTGGGACTACAGGCGCACGCCGCCACACCTGGCTAATTTTTTGTATTTTATTAGAGACAGGCTTTCACCGTGTTGCCCAGGCTGGTCTCGAACTCCTGAGCTCCGGCAGTCCACCTGCCTCAGCCTCCCAAAGTGCTAGGATTACAGGCATGAGCCACCGCACCTGGCCAATTTTTGTATTTTTAGTAGAGATGGGGTTTCGCCATGTTGGCGAGGCTGGTCTCAAACTCCTAACTTCAAGTGATCCACCCCCCTCGGTCTTCCAAAGTGATGGGATTACGGACATGAGCCACCGTGCCCAGCCATGGCCCTCTTTTAGGCATCACAAAAACTTACTTGGGGTTAAACTGAAAGAATTTCATTCATCTTGACTGTTGAAAATCTCTGCTGTCTCTGAAACCAGTGTGAGACTATTATTTACTAAATTCCCAAGTTTGCCCCTTTAGAAGTAAACACAACTTTCTTTTCTGAACTGAGTTATTTACGTGGTCTGGATTTGATACTGGAGTTAGAGGTGAAGACAACCTGTTGCCTATAGGATAATTCCTCGGTGGTGTGTCCTTCATCCAGCACCTTTTGGAAGAGGAGATTGTGTTTGTTTTGCCCTATGGGCATGCTTGTGATAGATAGGCCTAATGGGGAGAATGCTCTCTATTGCATTCAAAGGACAAATAAAGCACTGTTTCTTGTTTATATTCAAAATAAACATTCCCATTTAACTCCTTCCTCTTGTCAGAATTGCCACTTCAGTTTGTCTTAATTTCCCCAAATGCAATAGGCTCTTTTCCAAACACCCTTCTCTGTTTTATAATTTAAGCTTATAATTCTATTATTAGGTTTTACTTTTGCCTGAATTTCAGCATTTGGGGGCTAGTTTGCTTTATTAGCATTTTGTGGTTTGGAATGCACTTTGCAGGAACACCACCATGCAGAATCACTCTGTGCCTGATCCACTAGATCATATGTCTAAACCATCCAAACTAGGTTCCCCTTCCCAAACTTCTTGCTAAACTGCACTGAACATTATTTTAAACATGTTTCCCAGACCACATGTGTCCCAGACCACAGCGGTTAAGTTTGGATTCTACTGATTTCAAAAACACATGTTCAATCCATAGTTAATTTAGAACACATTAATGTCATGTCAAGAAGTAGGCCAGGTGAGGTGGCTCACGCTTATAATCCCAGCACTTTGGGAAGCCAAGGTGGGTGGGTCACGTGGGGTCAGGAGTTCGAGACCAGCCTGGCCAACATGACAAAACTCCGTCTCTACTAAAAATACAAAAATTAGCCTGGCATGGAGGTGAGCTCCTATAATCCTAGCTACTCAGGAAGCTGAGGCAGGAGAATCACTTGAACCTGGGTGCCAGGGGTTTCAGTGAGCCGAGATCATGTCATTCCACTCCAGCCTGGGCGACAGAGCAAGGCTCTGCCTCAAAAGATAAATAATAATAATGTCATGTCAAGAAGTAATATTACACCTTCCCTCCTGTCTCTCCTTGGCCCTTAGGTTTGCCTAACAATAATAGTTTTCTGTGTAGCTTGGCTTAGGGTATGCAGCTGGACTTCACTTTTGCACCTGTTTGTCAAATCTTCCTCCCTAGATTCATCCCCTCGCTGTCTCCTGCATTTTTTGCATGGTTACAAGGACTTCATAGGACCATGCCAAAGCTGTAGATGTTAACAGCTCTTTTCACTGCATTTAGAAGTGAGCATTACCTAAGCATTTGATATGTAGGTATTCTTTTGCAAAACACATTAATCAGGTTTTTCTAGAAGGCACAACAGTCTGAGTAGGGATGACACTATTTTTCTTTAAAATGAATGTATTCCTAAATGTTTTCCTTGGATATATTTCTAAGCATTTTTCTTTTTTTCTTCCAAGTAAAGAATTAGGAAATCAACAGGAAAATTTCAGACATTTTTCTCTTTGATAAATATTGTTTGATACGAGCATGGAACACTTTTGTAAAACAGCTACTTTATTTTGAGCAGATTAAAGAATGTGCTGATGAACCGGTTGGAAAAGGTTACATGGTTTCCTGCTTGGTGGATCACCGAGGCAACATCACTGAGTATCAGTGTCACCAGTACATTACCAAGATGACGGCCATCATTTTTAGTGATTACCGTTTAATCTGTGGCTTCATGGATGACTGCAAAAATGACATCAACATTCTGAAATGTGGCAGTATTCGGCTTGGAGAAAAGGTATCTAATACTACGTTAGCTTCAACAAAGGGGTCTTAAAATTTGGTGTATGAAAAGCTTTGTATAACTGACATGGGAAAAATTTAGGACTGGAGTGACCTTAAGTTGAAATTGAAGAAACTTGTCCAGACAGCCCTAAGAGCTAAGGCTGGTTGACAATGTATTTCATGTGTTTGTAGCAAAATTTTTCAGTACTGTATGGGAAGCAGAGGAATTAATACCTGCAAAGAGTGGTGTTATCTTCACAATATTAGACCAGCTGCTGGTTACCTGTAATGTGCCTCTGGCAAAGGAGAGACCTGAGTTCTCTAATATTTTTTTTTTGAAACAGAGTCTCCCTCTGTTTCCCAGGCTGGAGTACAGTGGTGGGATTTCCGCTCATTGCAGCCTCAGCCTCCTGGGTTCAAGTGATTCTCCTGCCTCAGCCTCCTGAGTAGCTGGAACTACAGGCATGCACCACCACGCCTGGCTAATTTTTGTATTTTTAATAGAGCTGGGGTTTCGCCATGTCGGCCAGGCTGATCTTGAACTCCTGACCTCAAGTGATCTGCCCGCCTCGGCCTCCGAAAGTGCTGGGATTACAGACGTGAGCCACCGGTCCCGGCCAAGTTCAGTAATCTTTCTCTGCATATGTCCCACTGTTAGTATAAAAAAAATTACTGGCCGGGCGCGGTGGCTCATGCCTGTAATCCCAACACTTTGGGAGGCTGAGGTGGGCAGATCACGAGGTCAGGAGATCAAGACCATCCTGGCTAACACGGTGAAACCCCGTCTCTACTAAAAATACAAAAAAAAAAAAAAAAAAAAACCAAAAACAAAATTAGCCGGGCGTGGTGGCAGGTGTCTGTAGTCCCAGCTACTTGGGAGGCTGAGGCAGAAGAAAGGCATGAACCCAGGAAGTGGAGCTTGCAGTGAGCCGAGATCGCGCCACTGCACTCCAGCCTGGGAGACAGAGTGAGACTCCGTCTCAAAAAAAACAAAAAAAAAAATTACTTAGCACACTGGCTGCTGTCCATCTATAAAATATCAGAAAATTTTAAGATATGTGAAGGTACTTCTAGTTAGTTGGAAGAAAAGTCCTCTCTAAATGTGATATATTATTAATCTTCATCTCAGAAGAACTGATTTTAGTAAAGACAGGAAAGAAAATAACTACCTAGCTAGTTTCTTCTTCCACAGTTATATCTGATCTTATTTTTTGACTTAGTCTGCTGAACAGAAGGTCACAATAGAGATCTGGCCAGGTTTATTCTGAATTTGTTTGCTCAGCAAAAATGAAAAAAACTCCTGAAAAGTAATGGATGCCAGTGGGAGAGGGACCCTGAGACCTGTGGCATCACCTATTAGTTGCTGCTGCTCATTAATCTACTGTTCAGGAAATATGATGGAAAATAAAACCCATTTGTCCCTTTGCCCTCTATTTGTTCATGGTTGGCAGGCGTCTATCACTGACAAAGGGGACATGGTGTTAGGATCCTGGAACTGAGCACACCGTTCAAATGAAGGGTTTCTTGCTGTGTATTGTCTGGCTGTCACCAAAGCCCTGATGCCCTTTCCTTAATATGAGCACAGGGCCTGATCCCTTATCCGAGTGTACCACTGAGTTGGTCTTGAAAAACTCTGTGGCTTGGCATAAATCTTTCAGGCAAATAAAGAAAGGACAGCTTTAATAAAGAACGCAGTGTTTTCCTTCCCAGCAGACTCTCAAAATGACACAAAAGCACTTAAGTCACTGATGATTCAGGAAGCTCTTCTGACTTTATTTAGGATGTTGAAAATTATATCCAATTCCAAACCTGGCTCCTTTTAAAGTCTCCACAGGGTTCCAAACATACTTTTCAGGAATCAGAAATGAGGCTTTTTCACCCTCGTGATGAGTGCTCCATGCAGTAAAGCCAAGCGTTTCAGTCCCTCTGTGGAGTAGTTCTTGCCTGGTAACCACCAAGGTAGCAGCTGATTAGCCTCCTTCTAGCTCTCTGAATTGTCACCTCCATGTATGAGTTACTAAGTCTGTAGTGACTGAAACGATTGCAGAAAATAGTACTGCTGGAGCCAAAAGGCACGACAGGATTGTTTATTCACTTAGATAAAATAATAAAAATTGTTCCTATGGACTAAAGATAGAAATGACACTTTTGTCATTTAATCTTTCAGTATGTCTACCAGTTGGGTGAAATTTCAGTTTATACCAGGTCACTACACCAGCATCAAAGGCTTTCTTGTATTTTGGGGACGGTGAGATAGACTCACACATGAACTTCTGAAAAAACACCTTCCTTCCTATATCATTCACTCTGTACTACAGCCAAATTTAAAAAAGAGGGAGGCATGTTCTCAGCTCTTCTCTGCCTTTTTCTAAAACCCGTAGTTTGCTTTTCTGAAGCCAGTTATTCAGATAGAAAACTTATACTGAAAATTAACAAAGCAGCTTCTGAACACAGAAAACAACAGGCTTGTCAGTTTCAAATTTGCTGCCACTGAAGCTTGAAACTCTTCTATGACTGGCTTTGACTTGGCCTCCTCCAGAGGACCGAGGAGAGGATTCATGGTTAATCTGTTTGTACCTTGCCTTTGTATGAACACATAAATGTCATGATTTCAAAACTATGATTTTTTCAAATGTTAATATAAATTTTAGAACAAAGAAGATACATTAATAAAGGCTTTAGAATTTTATATAATAATAAATGTTGTCAAAATGAAAGGGCAGATTTCCAAAAGTAAAGATATAAATGATTTACATCATCTGAAGAAAAAGACTGTGGCTGCCAACAAAGGAACTTAATTGCGGACATGTGCCACAGTATTAGTACTTTTATGCTTTTCTCTCGGTAGCTGTATCATTTATTATTTATTATTTCATTTATTATTTCCTGCTTTTAACCAGTTAATTTGAGTAATTCTAATATTCCTTTTTCCTTTATCTAGTGAGGTAGATTACAGAAGACAGCAGAAGGATTGAAATAGAGAATGGTTTATAGCAGAGATAAAAACTGAGTTCTCGCCTACTATTTAGAGATTAGTGTTAGCATCTGTTGTTGGTTTTTTTTTTTGTTTTTTTTTGTGGGGGCCGTTGTTGTTAAAGGACACGGAATATGGGGAAGAAAAATACTGCCTATCAAACTTCTAAAAACGGATCAAGGCAATGGCAGTAGATTTTAAGCAGATGTTTTTCTACCATAATAAAGTTAACAAAAAATTATTGTAAGTTCATTTATAGGATAATTTATTACTCATATGCCAAGCCTGTGTATTAATAACTTTTTAAACCTAAATGAGCTTATTTTCTCATAATGTGCAGGTGTGTAGTTCACCTCACTTTAATTAATGTTTGGTAACTAACCATGCAGTCTTCGCTGTCAAATATTTATATGCCTTTCAGTTATAAACTCCAATGCACTAAAAGCTCAGAGACTCCGAGGAACTCCTGAAATACCCTTATTTGAAAAAAATATTTATCTGAAAGTTACAATGAATGGAAACATCTAGTAGAGAAGTATTGTTTTTTTTTATTTTGGTGTTGTTGTTGAGACGGAGTCTCACTCTGTCGCCCAGGCTGGAGTGCAGTGGCACAATCTCGGCTCACTGCAAGTTCCGCCTCCCAGGTTCATGCCATTCTCCTGCCTCAGCCTCCTGAGTGGCTGGGACTACAGGTGCCTGCCACCATGCCCGGCTAATTTTTTGTATTTTTAGTAGAGACGGGGTTTCACAGTGTTAGCCAGGATGGTCTCTATCTCCTGACCTTGTGATCCACCTGCCTCGGCCTCCCAAAGCGCTGGGATTACAGGCGTGAGCCACCGTGCCCAGCCAGAAGTGTTGTTATGACCTAATGCCAGTGTAGTTACATTTAGTCACACGTTGCTTATCGATGAGGATACAATGAGAATACCAGGACACGTTCTGAGAAATGTGTTGTTAGGCAAGTTGATCACTGTGTGAGTATCATAGAGTATAGCCTACTACACACCTAGGCTATGTAGTATAGCCTATTGCTCCTAGGCTACAAACCTGTACAGCATGTGGCTATGCTGAAATACTGGAGACATTTATAACACAAGTATAGTATTTGTGTATATAAGTACATATAAACATAGGAAAGGTACAGTAAAAAACACAGTGTTCCATAGCTGAGGGTGGTGGTGTGTGCTTCTAGTCCCAGCTGCTTGGGAGGCTGAGTCAGGAGAATCACTTGAGCCCAGGAGCTTGGGACTGCAGTGAGCTGTGATCCCTCCACTGCACTCCAGCCTGGGCAACAGAGCAAGACCCTGTCTCTTAAATAAATAAAAATGAAAGTTAAACAACAACAACAAACAAGTTTTAGGAGTTTTATAGACTCCACCCACTCACCCAGATTAACCCCATAAATAAATAATGGACTGTTAGCTAGACACTTCATGTTCTACAACTCAAATGAGTTAGTTAACTCCTCTGAGCCTCTGTTCATTCATGTCCGCAGTAGATATCAGAGCTGTGTCCTTTCTTCATATGTGTGTTAGGAGATAACACGAAAGCTTTCATGGAAACACTTGGAAATTAAGGTGCTATAGACAAATCCTTTAATTAAAATAGAAAAAAATACATTCTTTGGTTGATTTGAAATTTTGTCTGAAGTAGATGTTACGCTACTTGGTTTTAGGAATCTTTTTTTTTTTTTTTTTTTTTGCCTGAGACGGAGTTCACTCTTGTTGTCTATGCTGGAGTGCAGTGGCACTAACTCAGCTCACTGCAACCTCCGCCTCCCAGATTCAAGCAATTCTCTCGCCTCAGCTTCCTGAGTAGCTGGGGTTATAGGTACGTGTCACCACACCCACCTAATTTTTGAATTTTTAGTAGAGACAGGGTTTCACCATGTTGGCCAGGCTGGTCTCGAACTCCTGACCTCAGATGATCCACCCGCCTCGGCCTCCCAAAGTGCTGGGATTACAGGCATGAGCCACCACGCCTGGCCAGAATCTTTTTATTATATGCAGATTATTTCATAGATAGGTATTTTATTATAACAAGATTTTAATTGCGTGTGTATAAATGATAGCACTATATATAAAATATATATATAAAATATAATATATATATATATATATACTTTTTTTTTTTTTTGAGACAGAGCCTTGCACTGCACCTCCCAGTCTGGAGTGCAGTGGTGCAATCTCGGCTCCCTGCAACCTCTACCTCCTGGGTTCAAGCGATTCTCCTTCCTCAGCTTCCCGAATAGCTGGGATTACAGGTGCACACCACCACATCCAGCTGATATTTTGTATTTTTAGTAGAGACAGGGTTTCACTGTGTTGGCCAGACTGGTCTTGAACTCTTGACCTCGTGATCCGCCCACCTTGGCCTCCCAAAGTGCTAGGATTACAGGCATGAGCCATCGTGCCGGGCTAATAGCACTATATTTTAAGATGCTTTGGTTTGCTATATTAGTGGTTATACCTTAAATTGTTGAAACATATCTTGTAAGTATAGATTAGGACTCTTGAATAGAAAATATTTAGGGGAACTATCTCATATTTTGCATGAATGAATGTTTGTGGTTGCTATGGGGATGATGAAGTGTACAATTAAAGATAATTGGATGGTTTTTAAGAAAACTCTCAGAAGCGTTTTGTGTAAACAGTGGTAATCTTGTTAAATCCCATTAAGATAAATCCAGAACATCAACGTGAGTATTAAACAACAGATTCTACATATTGGGATGTTTGTGGACACCACAGAGTAGGGAAAGGAGCAAGAAAGTCTCTAACTTCTTAGTGGATTATGTGGTTTGTTGGTTTTTAACTTGACTGAAAGCACTGTTGGCCGGGCGCAGTGGCTCACGCCAGTAATCCCAGCACTTTGGGAGGCCGAGGCGGGCGGATCACGAGGTCAGGAGATCGAGACCATCCTGGCTAACACGGTGAAACCCCGTCTCTATTAAAAACACAAAAAATTAGCCGGGCGTGGTGGCGGGCGCCTGTGGTCCCAGCTACTCAGGAGACTGAGGCAGGAGAATAGAGTGAACCCGGGAGTGGGAGCGTGCAGTGAGCCGAGATAGCGCCACTGCAGTCCAGCCTGGGCGAAAGAGCGAGACTCCGTCTCAAAAAAAAAAAAAAAAAAAAAGCAAGCACTGTTATTTGGGAAATGCCTGGTTTTTAGAGACAAATGAACAGAGATTTCAGCAGTGTAATTTCAGTCTTGACATGAACTATGACCAGAACTTTGAGCCGATGTGGTTTTTTGTGTGTGTGTGTGTGTGTGTGTTTTTTTTACAGAGTTTCTGTCTTGTCGCCCAGGCTGGAGTGCAGTGGCACGATCTCGGCTCACTGCAACCTCCGCCTACTGGGTTCAAGTGATTCTCCTGCCTCAGCCTCCTGAGTAGCTGGGATTACAGGCGCACACCACCATGCCTGGCTAATTTTTTGTATTTTTAGTATTTTTAGTACAGATGGGCCTTCACCATGTTGGCCAGGCTGGTCTCGAACTCCTGACCTCAGGTGATCCACCTGCCTCGGCCTTCCAAAGTGCTGAAATTACAGACATGAGCCACCATGCCTGGCCCTGTTGTGTTTCTTATGAATTTTTGACATTTTAAATTTTTAAAAATTCAGGTTCTTATTTCTAGTGCTAACTAAACTATAATACTTAAACTTTCCAGGATCTCTGTTTCCATTTGTAGCATGCAAGTATTATATTCTAACTGAAGATTATTGAGAGCATTTTCTTTAACTTCCACAATGTGGTTGGTTCTTACTTGATTTCTTGGTAGAACGTTAATAAGTCAACTCTATGATGGGGTTTTATTACTTTGTGTGTGTGTGTGTGTGTGTGTGTGTGTGTGTGTAGCCAAATGTTGTTTATTTGAAACCCATGTGATAAAAGTTTTAAAATATTAATATCCTCGCTATTTTAGGATGCACATTCACAAGGTGAGGTGGTATCATGCTTGGAGAAAGGCCTGGTGAAAGAAGCAGAAGAAAGAGAACCCAAGATTCAAGTTTCTGAACTCTGCAAGAAAGCCATTCTCCGGGTGGCTGAGCTGTCATCGGATGACTTTCACTTAGACCGGCATTTATATTTTGCTTGCCGAGATGATCGGGAGCGTTTTTGTGAAAATGTGAGTCAGCTCAGAAACTGTTCTTTTCTTCCTTTTATTTTTACACATATATAATTTTGTTTTAATTAATTTAATTGTGTTGTTTTTTGAGAGATTGAGTCTTGCTATGTTGCCCAGGCTGGTCACGAACTTCTGACCTGAAGCAGTGCTCCAGCTCAGCCTCCCCAATTTTTGAGACAGGATCTTGCTGTGGTGCCCAGGCTGGAGTGCAGTGGTGTGATCATGGCTCACTGCAGCCTCCAACTTCTGGGTTCAAGCGATTCTTCTGCCTCAGCCTCCCAAGTAGCTAAAACCATAGGCAAGCACCATCTTGCCTGGCCAATTTTTTTAAAAATTTTTTGTAGAGATGGGGCATTGCTGTATTGCCCGGACTGGTCTTGAACCCCTGGCCTGAGGTGATCTCCTCCCTCTGTCTCTGAAAGTACTAGGATTATAGGCACGAGCCACTGTGACTTAAATATTTTTTAATACTCTATTCTAACGTAAAATAAGCCATCAAGAAACCTCACATGTAGAAAAGCCACAGAAATGGAAGAAGAAATTGGTCCCAGTATAGCAGAAAGTGGTAACTGGATGCTCAACCTTGATGACTGAACATTTGGTTAACAGCTGGCTTCTAATGATCTCCACTTAGTATTTTTTCTGCTTTATCTCACTTCTCAATTTCAGTTCTTGGAAGTCTGTTTTATCTATAGGAATTTTATTTTACCCAGGATCTTATTTACATCTATTCAATGGCTAAAACTTTGACGCATTATATATTTATGTGTTTTTGGCTAAGGTGAAGAAAACAGCAGGTGGCTAATCTTTAAAACCAAATCCTTGATTACCACCTGCTGACTCTACAGAACAGCCTTCTAAGTCTTTAAATAGAATGGTCTCTCCATCCTTACAACAAAGTACTGAAAGTAACTTGTGTACACTTCCACTCTGCCTGCTGGTTTGCATTAACAGCTTTAACCATCAGAGCCACTGATGTAAGAGTTTCGTTAACTCTAGCATACACTTGTAAGAAAGAAGACTCAGAGGCTGGGTGCGGCGGCTCACGCCTGTAATCCCAGCACTTTGGGAGGCCGAGGCAGGCAGATCACTTGAGGTCAGGAGTTCGAGACCAGCCTGACCAATATGGTGAAACCCCATCTCTACTAAAAATAAAAAAATTAGTTGGGCAGGGTGGCGGGGGCCTGTAATCCCAGCTACTTGGGGCTCTGAGGCAGGAGAATTGCTTGAACCCAGGAGGCAGAGGTTGCACCGAGCTAAGATTGTGCCACTGCACTCCAGCCTGGGCAACAGAGCAAGACTGACTCTATCTCAAAAAAAAAAAAAAAAAAAAAGACTCAGACTCTAACACTTCTCTTGGTTCCCTAATTAACAAAATACATCTGAGAACAAATGACAAACTCCAAATATCATGGGAATATTTTTTTCGTCTTTACTGCAGTCACTGTTTTTGTTAAAAGCCTATTAAATTTTATAAATGGAAGCGCTGTTTGTCCAAAGGTATGTACGATTATAATCGTTTAATAGAAAGCTCTATATGAGATTGTGGATAATGTTCAGCATAACTATTTAGCTAAAGTAATAATAATGTGTATGTTCCATCTTATAGACACAAGCTGGTGAGGGCAGAGTGTATAAGTGCCTCTTTAACCATAAATTTGAAGAATCCATGAGTGAAAAGGTAAGTATTATTTTGAAACTAATGAATGTTTTATTTGTTTTTTAAAAGCTTTCTCAGCCAGACACGGTGGCTCACGCCTGTAATCCCAGCACTTTGGGAGGCTGAGGCAGGTGGATCACGAGGTCAGGAGTTCAAGACCAGCCTGGCCAAGATGGTGAAACGCCGTCTCTACTAAAAATACAAAAATTAGTCGGCCGTGGTGGTGGGCGCCTGTAATCCCAGCTACTCGGGAGGCTGAAGCAGGAAAATCACTTGAACCCAGGAGGTGGAGGTTGCAGTGAGCTGAGATCGCACCACTGCACTCCAGCCTGGGTGACAGAGTGAGACTCTGTCTCAAAAAAAAAAAAAAAAAAAAAGCTTTCTCAATTTCTCTGAAACAATATTTCTTATAATCTTATACCGAAACGTAAATGACTGATAAAGCTCACCGCTTTCAGAGGTGAGGTACTTGGGTTTTAAGCATATTTGGCTGAAACCAAGAAAATGAAACCCTGATTGTGATATCTAGATAGTGAGAAGCCAAGTAGGGTTCTCACTGTGGTGGTTTTTTTAGGTGTTTTTGTTTTGTTTTGTTTTTGTTTTTTTTTGAGTGGAGTCTTTCTCTGTCACCCAGGCTGGGGTGCAGTGGCATGATTCGGCTCACTGTAGCCTCTGCCTGCCGGGTTCAAGCAAGTCTCCTGCCTCAGCCTCCCTAGTAGCTATGACTACAGGCACCTGACAACACGCCCAGCTAATTTTTGTATTTTTAGTAGAGACGGGGTTTCACCATGTTGGCCAAGCTGCTCTCAAACTCCTGACCTCAGGTGATCCACCCGCCTCTCACTGTGGTTTTATATAAAATCCTCAGTGTGATTTTATATAAAATTCTCAGATATTACTTTGTTTGGGGAGTAAAATCAGAGAATTTTATATAAAACCACACTAAGGCCAGCCCTGCCTCCTCAAGAAGTTTAGGTTAACCAAATCAATGTGCTTTCTAGGCAATTAGCTATTTAATTTTTCAGCAGCTATATCATTAAGCATCCTCTTTTAGTTCTTTGTCCCTGAATGAATGCAAGAATAGTTGATGGCTTTTGAAATAATTAATTTTGCTATCTTGTCATTTACTTTCCTGTGTAGCTGAAGAAATGTTTCTCATTTCCTTTTTCTTGTATCATTTGAACAATCTTATTCAAATCTTATTATTCAGATGATATAGAATAATTGAATAATTGTATTTTAAAGCATTGAACAGAATATCCCAAATGTTATGTTAGTTGCCAGTTTGATGCTAGTGAAATTTATGTTCGGGGTATTGTTAAAGTGGAAAAGAATGCTGTGTGTCAAGTTAACATATTGGGATCTGTGAGATATTTACATGTTTTGGATAGCTGCTATTGCAGCAACAACTAGCAAGTGACTACAGAATTTCTAGGTTCCCCACCCACTTACCCCTGTCTCATGCCACACTAGTTTAGCTCAATTGTGAACATTTTAACCAAACTTAAAGATAGATATGTTGGTAATAACTGCAGTTGTTGACATGTACTTGGCTGAGTCGCTGTGCTCATCTTAGTGGTACACGTCAACAGTAAAGTTACATGAGTGGTCTCACGGCTGTTGCTGTACTCTTTCCTCAGTGTCGAGAAGCACTTACAACCCGCCAAAAGCTGATTGCCCAGGATTATAAAGTCAGTTATTCATTGGCCAAATCCTGTAAAAGTGACTTGAAGAAATACCGGTGCAATGTGGAAAACCTTCCGCGATCGCGTGAAGCCAGGCTCTCCTACTTGTTAATGTGCCTGGAGTCAGCTGTACACAGAGGTAGCATTCATATTTTTTTTTTAATTATCATTTCTGTTCCTTTTTGGATTCACACTCTAAAGCTTTATATATATAAACGTTAGTTTCCTCCCATATTTGCTTCTTTGAGTATTTTTCTTTTTTTTTTTTTTTTCTTGAGACGGAGTCTCTCGCTCTGTCGCCCAGGCTGGAGGGCAGTGGCGCAATCTCGGCTCACTGCAAGCTCCGCCTTCCGTGTTCACGCCATTCTCCTGCCTCAGCCTCCCAAGTAGCTGGGATTACAGGCGAGTGCCACTGCGCCTGGCTAATTCTTGTATTTTTAGTAGAGATGGGGTTTCACCATGTTGGTCAGGCTGGTCTCGAACTCCCAAACTTAGGTGATCCGCCCACCTTGGCCTCTCAAAGTGCTTGGATTATAGGTGTGAGCCACCGCACCTAGCAATTTTTTTTTTTTTTTAATAGAGATGAGGTTTTGCCACGTTGGCATCCCGGGTCTCAAAACTCCTGCCCTCACGTGATCCTCCCACCTTAGCTCCCAGAGTGCTAGGATTACAGGCGTGAGCCACTGTGCCCAGCTGAATAGTTTTCTTGTCTTTTCTTTTTTTTTTTTTTGAGACAGAGTCTCGCTTTGTCACCAGGCTGTAGTGCAGTGGCACAATCTCAGCTCACTGCTACCTCCGACTCCCTAGTTCAGCCTCTGGAATAGCTTGGATTACAGGCACGCACCACTATGCCCAGCTAATTTTTGTATTTTTAGTAGAGATGGGATTTCACCATGTTGGCCATGATAGTCTCGATCTCCTGACCTCGTGATCTGCCTGCCTCGGCCTCCCAAAGTGCTGGGATTACAGGCGTGAGCCACTGCGCCTGGCCTAGTTTTCATTTTTGAAATACACATTGTGCAACATTTTGAGGAGACTCAGGGTAGCATGATTTAGCACATGGGTCAGACTTGGCTTCAAATTTTGGCTTTATCACTAAACAAACCGTCTGGGTGACCTGTTTTTGTTTTGTTTTGTTTTGTTTTAATCTTTTTGTTTTAAGTTTTCCTGGCCAGGCGCGGTGGCTCACGCTTGTAATCCCAGCACTTTGGGAGGCCGAGGTAGGCAGATCACGAGGTCAGGAGATCGAGACCACGGTGAAACCCCGTCTCTACTGAAAATACAAAAAAATTAGCCGGGCGTGGTGGCAGGCGCCTGTAGTCCCAGCTACTTGGAGAGGCTGAGGCAGGAGAATGGCGTGAACCCAAGAGACGGAGCTTGCAGTGAGCCGAGATCGCGCGCTGCACTCCAGCCTGGGTGACACAGTGAGACTCCGTCTCAAAAAAAAAAAAAAAAAAAAGTTTTCCCCATTGGCATTTACAGCTCAAAGAAGTTGGGGGAGCTTATAGTGAATATCTTAAATGTAGTCTTTTCTAAAAGCTTTAATTGTGTAGGCCAATGGAGATTGTTCTTTGGCTTTCATTTTTACCCTAATAGTTATCTTATTGATAGGATTTCCATGGGCAAAGCATTTGCATTATTAGTGCAGTAGTATAAAACCTGTTTCATGCAGAACAGTGACAGGAGAAGCCTGAATATCTGGAGTCTAAGCCTATTTTATGCTGCTAAAGCTTTTGCTAATTCTAAACTTTTCAGATGTTAGCATGTCTGATAGGTATATTGTATTACAGATAGAAATATGTACTTTTAATAGGTGGTGATTTCTGATGCTAATACATAGCATCACCCTTCGTAATGTTATGACTTACATCCTAACTTAGGGCGACAAGTCAGCAGTGAGTGCCAGGGGGAGATGCTGGATTACCGACGCATGTTGATGGAAGACTTTTCTCTGAGCCCTGAGATCATCCTAAGCTGTCGGGGGGAGATTGAACACCATTGTTCCGGATTACATCGAAAAGGGCGGACCCTACACTGTCTGATGAAAGTAGTTCGAGGGGAGAAGGGGAACCTTGGAATGAACTGCCAGCAGGCGGTAAGGAGACATTGCTATTGCCATTTTGAATGTCACATTTATCAGCTGAAGAGCCTCTTCCTGATGCTGTCCCACCTTGCTTTATATGGATCATCTGTGGTATCACATTGAACATTAGGTACTAATGATCAGAGACTGAACGTTGCTTCTTCAGGCATATCTTAGTAAGAATGTGACATTTGCTACAGAGCAAAAGTTTGAGCTCATAATCAATAAAAAGAATTGTCTTCTTAGATAGATAGAATGCATTATTTGCTAGAGTTCCTAAAGAAAGGGCAGCTTGCTAGACTGGATTTCCTAAACTCAGAATCAAGGCAAACCAGGTTCCAATCAATGACGACAGGCCCTCTACCAAGAGAGAATTTGCCTGTTGTAATAGATTTGATTGAGTTGAGGCTGAAAAAGAGTTGATATGAATTGAAATTTTTTCTAAGTTTCTAAATTTTTTCTGTTACTAATTTACCGCATGGCATGAATTCCTGGCCTGAAGGATCAAGAGAGCATGTCATTTTTGAAATCACACTATCTTTTCTTCATATACTAGGGCAACTATGCATGGAAGAGCCATTTTCTTTTTAATTTAATTTAATGTTAAGTTCCAGGATACATGTGCAGGTTTGTTACATGGGTAAACGTGTGCCATGGTGGGAGTCCTTTTTCTATCACTAAACCTCACAGTTAGCATACTTTGCTTGGGGAGATAAAGTTCTTCTTGATCTAGCGTTTATAAACAGTTGAATAACTGTAGGTCAGGTACAAAACACAAGTTAATGTATTAGAGATTTAGTACATCCCTTTCATTCCTGTTGTCCATGTTGATTACTTTTTACTGGATAGGAGTCTTAGAGCAACTTAACGTACCATGTGCACCAGTGTGCCCTGTGCAGTGAACTTTCCTTTGGGGAGCACAAGAGATAGTTTCGCTTTATATCCTAGAATAGTAGAAACTTGAGGCTCTCCTCCCTCAGTGTAACTTTAGAAAGCCACAATCAGTCTATTATTTTATAGTTAGCATTTTTATTAAAAACTGGATATCAACTCGAATTTTATTTTCCTGATAATCGTGTAAAATCAGATTTTTACAGTCTGAAACAAAACTTTGCGGTCTGAAACACAACAGTTTTACAGAATTTGGATGTGGAGTAAAATTATGTCTTAGCTTTAGTTACTCACCTTGACCCAGAGTAGACACCAGTGCATGTGTGCACGTGTGTCTGTGTGTGTGTGTGCGCACGCATGCGTGTCTATGCATCCCATGGTGGGAAAACAGACAAATGTAACTTCTTTAAAATACCAACCTGGGCAGGAGGGAAGGCTTCTGGAATCTGCCGTTTGATTTTGCCACAGTGTTGTTTCTAGGGTGCAGTTGTTACTGGTGACTTCCTTGGGAAACCTCTGTGCCAGTGTGGGTCCTGGGACCCAGACCAAAAATGAATCAGGAGACAGCCTATATTTGCACTTCATCCTTAAAGCAGCACAGAAAGGTTGTTGTGGCGGGGGTTAGGAATGAACCTACCTTTTTTTTTTTTGAGACAGAGTCTCACTCTTGTTGCCCAGGCTGGAGTGTAATGGCGCAACCTCTGCTCATAGCAGCATCCACCTCCCGGGTTCAAATGATTCTCCTGCCTCAACCTCCTGAGTAGCTGGGATTACAGTTGCCCACCACCACACCCAGCTAATTTTTGTATTTTTAGTAGAGATGGGGTTTCATCATGTTGGCTAGGCTGGTCTCAAACTCTGGACCTCAGGTGATCTTCCCGCCTCAGCCTCCCAAAGTGCTGGGATTACAGGTGTAAGCCACCATGCCCGGCCTAAACCTGTCTTTTTACTGAGGCTACACTTGTAGTAAGGGATACAGAAAAAAGAAAATAGACTGGTTTGACTTTATTTCGAGGCACCTAATTCACACCCAGGGCTTTTTAAAATGTAGCTTGTTGAAAGAACTAGTGACTCAGCTTGAAAGATACATAAGTACTTCCCACATCACCCTGTGTGTCCAGAAGAAAAGTACTTTCCAAATCTAGAGGGTGGCTTCAAGTAGTGAAACATATGGTTTTGCCCATATTAAATTTAGCCAAGTGAGGCTGGGCATGGTGGCTCACACCTGTAATCCCAGAACTTTGGGAGGCCAAGGCAGGCAGATCACTTGAGGTCAGGAGTTCATGACCAGCCTGGCCAACATGGTGAAACTCAGTCTCTATGAAAAATACGAAATTAGCCGGGCGTGGTGGCATGCACCTGTAGTCCCAGCTACTCGGGAGGCTGAGGTAGGAGAATCGCTTGAACCTGGGAAGCAGAGGTTACAGTAAGCTGAGATCACACTACTGCACTCCAGCCTGGGCAATAGAGCAAGACTCCACCTCAAAAAATAAAAAATTAAAACATTAAAATAAAATAAAAAATAAATTTAGCCAAGTAGGGAAGAAGCGCTTTATTTTTATTTTTATGGACCCAGGGTTTTTAGCTTTTGCCCACAAAAATTGAAGGCCTAAATGATCCAAAGGGAGAAAAATGTCCTTAGTGTTCTACTACAGTAGCCATCCCCAGTCAAATTGACGAATGTTTTAAAGTAATTCATTTTGGGGGAGCTTATTTTTATTTCTTTTTTGTTGTTTTGTTTTTTAAGTGATGGGGTCTCGCCGTGTTGCCCAGGCTGTTCTCAAACTACTGGGCTCAAGCAGTCTGCCCGTTTTGGCCTCCCAAACTGCTGGGATTACAGGCATGAGCCACTGTTCCTGGCCCCTTTTTTCTTTCTTTTTCAAATTTTTCTTCCTAATACAGCAGACTTCCATACCTGTCTGTGGTTGACCATTAGTTTTCCCTGTTCTCTGCTTGGTGATTGATTTAGTGATTTCTCAGCAGGTAGTAAGCTGTAAAGCGTAAGCATAATTATCATCTTGTTCAGTACTTACTCTCCCAAATGCACCATAATCATGAACTGTGAAATTCTCTTCGTTCATGGCTGAGTAAGTGTGGGCCCAGGCTCTCCTAGGCCAAAGATAACTGCCAGTCTTATTCTCTAGTCATCTCTCTGAAGCATTTTCCCAGGTTTTCCTAGGCATGCCAGGGGCTGGAATAGGTGTATAATCATGTAGCAGTTCACATTTTCAGTGTTTATTTCCCACGCTACTGTCACTAAATTCCAGAGTGGCAATGATAATGATCCCTGGAGCTGTTAGCCCACTAGGCTCTAGAGGGCATTCATTTTCGCCTGTAAATATTTGCAGTCTAGTGCATGTATTGTTTCTTGACGTTTGCCTGTCAGTCATGGATATTTAACTGATACAGTTCTTGCAGAGACTTGCAGACTCCCATGTTGCTTCCAACTTTTCTCAGAAAAAGATGTAAATGCTTTGGTCTTTGTCAACAAATGTCATAAGTAACATTGGTAATCATTCGATAGTAATTTTCCTACCAGCTAACCACAGCATTTTGTAGGTTTCCCAAATTGCCACCAATAATTTTTGGTATAAATAACTTCTATCGTAGAATATTGGAAATCTTTCATGTTTCTCTCTTCTGGATTACCAGCTTCTTTCAGGATAATAGAAGTTTGTGGTTTTTTCCTTTATTTCCTTTTGATTATGGTTCTCTGATAAATTTGTGATCTAACCTATGATCCCACAGGTGCTCCAGTGAAGGCCCTGTGGGATCATAGGTTAGATGTATAAGGATCAGAGGACAAATCAGTGACACAACAGGGTTCCAGTTTTTTAACTTGGCAAAAGGGAACGCAAACCAGTAAGGATTATAGTTTTCAAATTCGCTTTCTATTATTAAAGATTTCTACCCCAGGTCTGGGTGTGGTGGCTTACGCCTGTAATCCCAGCACTTTGGGAGTTCGAGGTGGGCGGATCACTTGAGTTCAAGACCAGCCTGGCCAACGTGGCGAAACCTCATCCCCACTAAAAATACAAAAGTTAGCCGGGAGTGGTGGTACATGCCCGTAGTCCCAGCTACTTAGGAGGCTGAGGCAGGAGAATCACTTGAACCCGGGAAGTGGAGGTTGCAGTGAGCAGAGATCATGCCACTGCACTCCAGCCTGGGTGACAGAGCGAAACTCTGTCTCGGGGGGGAAAAAAAAAAGATTTCTACCCCAAAACACCATCTGCTACTTATCTGTAGTAATAATCATCTTTCATGTCTGTAAAATGCTTTGCAGTTTACCTAATATTCTCCCATATATTATTATTTCTTACAATTTTCTGCAGTTAAAGAAACTAAAACTTAGAGGTAATCAATTTGTCCATGTTCTCAAAGCTAATCTGTCAGAGCCAGAACTATTAATAGAACTCAGTTCTTTTGATTTTAATTTAGAGCTTTTTCATCTATGCCCCAAGTGCCTTAAAGGCAGGAAAAAAAATGTGAAGTACCTATTCTCCTGTCTTTCCTTTGTTCCATGACAAGATGGAAAAGTAAATGATAAAGAATATAGTCTCATTTCCAGCTGCATAATGACAAGTATTTTTCTATGTACTTAGAATGAGCAAGCTCTGGTTTACCTCTTGGTTATAGAAAAATAGTTGAGGAAAATGGGAAATTATAAATACCATAATCCTGTTTTTTGTAATTGATATTTCTGCAAGTTAAATGAAATTGCACATCTGCTTTTAATAAAGCACAGCACACTTGACTTAATACCAGTGTCTTTGCAGCAAAATTCAAATTCTAGATTCTTATGACCCAATTAGGTCTCTAAGTGAAAATGTTCTTTATTTACTCTTTTCCACTTAAATCTGGCTTTGCCGGGAGCACCAGGTTTAGTAATCTGATTAACAAGTAGGCAGATGAAAGCAAAGAGGCAGCCTTCATATTCATGTTGTAAAGACCTCCAGGGATTACTGAGAACAAAGATAAGCAGTCCCCATCAATGACTCAAACAGAAAAACCTGCAGTCAAGGTAGAGAAACCAGTTGGAAAAGTATTTGGCAAATGCTCTTGAGCTTGGCTAGTGACAACTGTAGACAACTTTATTGGAGTACATTGTGGTAAATAGGACTGAGCAACTGAATGTATGAAGACACTGCTCTTACCTAGCACCTAAGTGACTTTCTTTCTTCCTTCTTAATTTATTTTAATTCAGCTTCAAACACTGATTCAGGAGACTGACCCTGGTGCAGATTACCGCATTGATCGAGCTTTGAATGAAGCTTGTGAATCTGTAATCCAGACAGCCTGCAAACATATAAGATCTGGAGACCCAATGTAAGTTATCTTCTCCATGGTATTTATCCATATTGTATTTCATTTGGCAGCACAGGGAACATTCCTTCAAATGACTTTTGGGTGGTTGTTGACATCTTAACTGAAATTTTGTTGAACAAGTTGAACATACACCAACTTTTATTAAAACTAGTATTGGAATGAAAACCTAGGATCTGCCTCATCCATGATATAGAGACACCTAGACCCAATATTGTGATGGTGTTTACGGACAATGACTGAGCATATATGGACCTATATATTAGGTTACTGAATAATTTTATATCACGATCAAATTAAAATGAAAGAGAGAAACACTCAGGATAGGTGGTACATACTTTGGCACTCTGTACTTTTCATCCTAGTTGTATATTGACTCATTGTATACATTGACTACCTGGTAATCATCAGAAAATACTTGAAACAGAAAATAGAAATAGAAAACAAAATGTGGTAGTTGAAGGGAGTAGTAATGGACAAAATGAATACTAAAGTTGCAACCAAGATCTAGAAAAGCTGAATAAATGCTATATTAAAGTATTCTCATTCTTTAGTTTTATTTTTTATGATGTAAAAACAGCTCTTAAACCATGGCCGGATGCAGTAGCTCATGCCTGTAATTGTAGTGCTTTGGGAGGCCGAGGTGAGAGGATCACTTGAAGCTACGAGTTTGAAACCAGCCTGGGCAATATAGCAAGGCAACATAAAAGTTTTTAAAATCAGCTGGCGTGGTGGTGCATGCCTGTAGTCCCATCCCCTTGGGAGGTTGATGTGGGAAGATTGCTTGAGCCCAGGAGTTCAAGGTTACAGTGAGTTATGATCATACCACTGCACTCCAGCCCAGATGACAGAGCAAAACCCTGTCTCAAAAAACCAAACCAAGCCAGGCGTGGTGGCTCACACCTGTAATCCCAGCACCTTGGGAGGCTGAGGCTGGCGGATCACGTGAGGTCCAGAGTTCGAGATGAGCCTCTAACCAACATGGAGAAACCCCGTCTCTACTAAAAATACAATTTATTTTTATTTTTATTTTTAGACAGAATCTTGCTCTGTAGCCCAGGCTGGAGTACAGTGGCGCAATCTCGCTTAGTGCTGCCTCTGCCTCCCGGATCCCAGTTCAAGCAGTTCTCCTGGCTCAGCCTCCCGAGTAGCTGGGATTGCAGGCACATGACACCATGCCCAGCTAATTTTTGTGTTTTTAGTAGAGACAGGGTTTTACCATGTTGGTTAGGCTGGTCTTGAACTCCTGACCTCATGACCCACCCGCCTCGGCCTCCCAAAGTGTTGGGATTACAGGTGTGAGCCACCACGCCCGGCCAAAAATACAAAATTAGTGGGGTGTTGGTGGCGCATACCTGTAATCCCAGTTACTCGGGAGTCTGAGGCAGGTGAAGCCAAGATCGTGCCATTGCATTCCAGCCTGGGCAACGAGGAAAACTCGATCTCAAAAAAAACAAAAACAAAAACAAAAAAAAACAGTTGCAAGTAAGAGCAGCTTTCCCATTCTGCAAAAATCTTTATAGCCTGCATTTGGCCATACCCAACAACAAAGTGAGTATAGTCCATGTTTATCTCATGCTGCTATGCAAGAACTCCTGCTGTTCATGCTGTGCTAGAGAATTAGAAAATCATATTCTTCCTCAAAGCTTTCTGTGTGGTTAAACTAATTAGGAATATTTACAGTGTAAAAATAACCACATCAAGCAAAGAGGGGGCAGGGGAGAGGGAAGAAGGAAGAACTGCTACAGATGAAAATACATTTAAGATACTTATCAGTTAACCTTTTCTGGATCCTGATTTGAACAAACTTGTGAAAAAAAAAGATAATTGAAAATATCTGGGCCGGGCACGGTGGCTCACGCCTGTAATCCCAGCACTTTGGGAGGCCGAGGCGGGCAGATCACGAGGTCAGGAGATCGAGACCATCCTGGCTAACACAGTGAAACCCCATCTCTACTAAAAATACAAAAAAAATTAGCCGGGCGTGGTGGTGGGTGCCTGTAGTCCCAGCTACTCGGGAGGCTGAGGCAGGAGAATGGTGTGAACCTGGGAGGCGGAGCTTGCGTGAGCCAAGGTTGCGCCACTGCACTCCAGCCTGGGCGACAGAGCGAGACTCCATCTCAAAAAAAAAAAAAGAAAAGAAAAGAAAGGAAAATATTTGAAAACTAACAGGGTATTACATGATAGTAAAGCTTTTAAAATAATTGCTTAGTGGTGTGATAATGGTATTAAGTCCTTATATTTTAAAGAAACATGCTGAAATATTTACAAATGAAATGATGGAGTATCTGGGATTTTGCTTTAAAATATCAGCAAAGAGGCCTAGAGTTAAAACAGACTTGGCCACAGATTGATAAAGTTATGGGGAGGGAAGGTGGCTGTTACATTATTCTCTACTTCTTTGTGTGTTGGAAAGTTTTCATAACCAGTTAAAAATACAGCAGCTGCACACTGCCCTTGTGCATGCATAGTCTTCAGTGCTGAGTGGCTCTGAAGTTGATCGAAGGTATAACCACTGTCAGGTTCAGTTAATTTGAGTGATTCTTAGAAAAATAAATCTGATTGCCCTAAGAAAATAACTAAAAGCCGCCTTCTACAGACCAGGGAAATACTATATTGACATAGAGTTCTGAACACTTCTCTCTTGTTACAATTTTACACATTTAATGGCTAGGATCTTGTCGTGCCTGATGGAACATTTATACACAGAGAAGATGGTAGAAGACTGTGAACACCGTCTCTTAGAGCTGCAGTATTTCATCTCCCGGGATTGGAAGTGAGTATTTTGAAGCCAAAGTAAATGTATTGCCTCAGCCTCTTCTCCTGTGTAGTCATAATTACCTGTATTTATTAAAATAATCAGTAGGAAACTCTTTTTGTTCAGTTCTGGGACAGCTAACACACTCCAATCCCCTGAAAAACTATTCTTTATCACTTTCAGAACATTATCTAAAAGCAGAGTCAGCCCACTACCAGCCTGTACCACACATCCTTGTTCACCACGACTTTGGAAGTCAGGGTCAAAATGTTTCTGATACTACAAAGATCTGTCTAGTAAGAAGTATGGCACCTGTGGGGGTGGCAAAAGCGCCTTCAGATATGTCTCTAAGAAGATAATAGTGCAGTTGTATTTTTATTGATTTGCAGTGGATATGGTAATTGGCTTTTATTTATTTATTCAGAGTTACTGAATTAAGTCTGTCTTAAGGGGTTTTTGTCAATAAGTGACAACTTGATTATCTAATTTCCCTCTCATTCTGTTAACAAAAAGCGGTGGGGGTGGGAGGATGAACTAGGAGAAGGATCCGTATTACAGCCAGAATCACTGAGTTCATTGGCTGTCATTCCCCTCCTCTTTCCGCATCTTGCTTTCTCTCCCCACCTCCAAAGCAGCCAGTGCTGGATCCAACTGCTTCTCTAGCTTTTCAAGTTCAGTGGCTTCTCCATTCGGTTGTTAAGCCACCATGGTGTGGTAGTTAATTTTTTTTGGTGATTAATATATATTTTGGCCAGGCACAGTGGCTCACACCTATAATCCCAGCAGTTTGGGAGGCCTAGGCAGGGGGATAGCTTGAGGCCAGGAGTTTAAGGCCAGCCTGGTCAACATAGCAAGACCTTGTCTCTATAAAAACTAAAAAAAAATCAGCCAGGTATGGTAGTGTGCACCTGTAGTCCTAGCTACCTGAGAGGCTGAAGCAGGAGATTCACTTGAACCGGGCGCGGTGGCTCACGCCTGTAATCCCAGCACTTTGGGAGTCCGAGGTGGGAGGAGAACAAGGGCAGGAGTTCGAGACCATCCTGGCTAACACGGTGAAACCCCATCTCTACTAAAAATACAAAAAAAATTAGCCGGGCGTAGGTGGTGCATGCCTGTAGTCCCAGCTACTCGGGAGGCTGAGGCAGGAGAATGGTGTAAAACCCGGGAGGCGGAGGTTGCCCTGAGCCGATATCGCGCCACTGCCCTCCAGCCTGGGAGACAGAGCGAGACTCCGTCTCAAAAAAAAAAGGAGATTCACTTGAGCCCAGGAGCTGTAGGTTACAGTGAGCTGTGATCATGCCACTGCATGTTAACGGTGAGACCCTATCTCAAAAGACGTGTGTGTGTGCATGTGTTTTGCCCACATACTTTTTCTAGAAAGAGATTACTTGAAGATTCAATATATTCTTATTTCTATTCCTTCAGATTAGCTCTGGAAAGGACTACAGAAAGCTGGGCTGTAATTTCCCTTTGCTTACTCAGGCCATCTCAACCTAAATAGTCTACTGAGTGTATTGCCTTAATCAAAATCACGTTTTCTCCTCTTTAATTCCTTCCCCCATAATAAAAAAAAAAGTGCTGCATAGTTACTCATTAAATATTAGTTCTTAATAGTTACTCATTAAATATTAGCTTTTTTCTCCCATTAACTAGCCATCTACCAAAGTTGACAATATAATATGGACAGAATTAAGCATGCCCTGGTCTGATGTGGAGAAGAAGCAGGCTCATTGTCTAATCCACTGTCTCCAGATTCAGAGTTAAATGTCAAGTCTCATAAATTGATAAGCACACTCAAGTAACCAAAAAGATAACCACCTTACCTGGCACAGGAAGAAGAGAGAAAACTGAATAGGAGACTATTTATCTTGCCATTTCCTGATCTTACTGAATCTAATACATTACATAGGATTGAACTTCATTCCTACTTAGAAAAAGGTATTTAGTAAAAAGTATTAAGTAAAAAGTTGTGAATTGCCTGGTGGTGGCTATAACTCTAGTTTTCTGTTTTCACCCAGGGCATGTGAGTGCTGTCTATTAAAATGTTAGGTATCTAACAAAGCCAAGATATCTTTGAGAGAGACTTTAAATCTTCTGTAGAAGGTTAACAAACTTCTATAGAAAGTTATTCTCCTGCCTAGGCCTCCCACAGTGCTGACTACTGTGTGTTCATTAAGAACAAAATTCACGGCTGGGTGCAGTGCCTTATGCCTGTAATCCCAGCACTTTGAGAGGCCAAGGCAGGCTGATTGCTTGAGCTCAGGAGTTTGAGACCTGCCTGGACAACATGGCGAGACTCTGTTCTACCAAAAATATCAAAAAAGAGCCTGGTGTGTGCCTGTTGCCTCAACTGCTTGGGAGGCTGAGGTGGGAGGATTGCCTTCAAGCCCCGGGGGACGGAGGTTCCAGTGAGTCAAGATAGCACCACTGCACTCCAGCCTGGGTGACAGATTGAGAGATCCTGTGTCAAAAAAAAAAAACAAAAGAACAAAATTCAGGAATATACTTTTACATATCTTCTGTCTCCACGCCCCTGGAAGTGATTATCAATGAGTATACAAGCAAACACCTCATAAAAACCCTGAGCCTGTGTTAGAAGGAAATGTCTATTAATTAGTGGTTATCTTTTAACTCTTAACCTTATAGGCTGGACCCTGTCCTGTACCGCAAGTGCCAGGGAGACGCTTCTCGTCTTTGCCACACCCACGGTTGGAATGAGACCAGTGAATTTATGCCTCAGGGAGCTGTGTTCTCTTGTTTATACAGACACGCCTACCGCACTGAGGAACAGGGAAGGAGGGTATGCAGTGAATATCGACTTCATTTCTTCTTCTTGTCATTTGTTTTTTAAATTGTTTGCTGTATATTCTTCTGATTTCAGTCATATTAGGAAAACTTTTTAGACTATTTTGTGGGGAGAAGATTGCTGCACTTCTAGAAACTTCTTCCTTCCGTGAGTGCACTTAGAGTTGCCCTACCAGCTTCTATCATCTGATTTTATGTTTTTAACAAAGTGGGTGGGGGAAGATTTCCAGATTTTTTTTTTTAATTCCCAAAATCTGAATCACAAATGGACAGTTAAATTCTGCTGTCCTAACTTTATTTAGGTTTAAGGATCCATTAGAAGCTTTTAGCCAGGCTACAAATGGATTTTAGGCTTCTCCTCTTGGCAGCTGAACACATTTGCATTGTCTGCCCATGGACTGGTTGGAGCAGAAACCTCCATACCTCAGTCTCTTGGTATTTGTCTGCCCCAACTGCTGCTTTTTGTTGGGATGTTTGTGTGTGCTGGGGTCTCGGCAGCATCGGCTGCTTCCCGGTGCGCACTGACATGCACTTGTTCTCCACGATGGCTTTCTCTACCTTCTGAGATGCTCCATTATCAGTCCTGCCTTTGTTCCGGAGAGTTGAGATGGTATCACTTCTCATCCATCCTTAGAAATACCCCTTCTGAGCTTAATGCAAAAGCCTGGCTATCTCAAATCCAGAATGAGGGGACTCAGAAGGAAATGGCATACATCAGTTGCTGCTCCCTAACCCAGTGTTTATACTGCTGTGTGAGAAAACGTGGGAATTTGTTTTTTTTTTTTTTTTCTCTCCATATAATGAGCCTCTCATTAACCATGGGGGCTCCCACATCCCGGCATCTTTCTGGTCACTATAGTGACTAGGGGGTAGGAGGTTTATTCTCTTTTAAATAAGAAAGAGTTGGAGTCTGTGGTGCTGGTTTTCTTTTCTTTTTTTTTTTAAATTGAGGTGAAATTCACATAACATAAAATTAACCTTTTTTTTTTTTTTTTTTGAGACAAAGCCTCACTCTTGAATGTGTCTCACTGCACCCCAGGCTGGAGTGCAGTGGTGTGATCTTGGCTCACTGCAACCTCTTCCTCCTGGCTCAAGTGATTCTCCTGCCTCAGCCTCCCGAGTAGCTGGGATTACGGGTGCCTGCCGTCATGCCTGGCTTTTTTTTTTTTTTTTTTTTTTTTTTTGGATTTTTAATAGAGACGGGGTTTCTCCATGTTGGCCAGGTTGGTCTTGAACTCCTGACCTCAGGTGATCCACTCACCTGGGCCTCCCAAAGTGCTGGGATTAGAGGTGTGAGCCACTGCGCCTGGCCAAAATAACCCCCCCCTTTTTTTTTTTTTTGAGACGGAGTTTCACTCTTGTTGGCCCAGGCTGGAGTGCAGTGGTGTGATCTCGGCTCACCACAATCTCCGCCTCCTGCCTCACCCTCCAGATTAGCTGGGATTACAGGCATGCGCCACTACGCCCGGCTAATTTTTGTATTTTTAGTAGAGATGGGGTTTCTCCATATTGGTCAGGCTGGTCTCGAACTCCAGACCTCAGGTGATCTGCCCGCCTCAGCCTCCCAAAGAGCTGGGATTACAGGTGTGAGCCACCGCTCCTGGTCTTAACCATTTTAAAGAGAAAAATTCAGTGACATTTAGTACATTTACAGTGTTGTGTGGTCATCATGTCTGTCTAGTTTCAAAACACTCCATGACTCCAAAAGGAAACCCTGTGTTCATTAAACAGTTACTTTCCATCCCTCCTGCCCCAGGTATGCTGGCTTTTTTTTCTTTTTTTGCAAGAGAGACTAACTGTATCTGTCAATAACAGCTTTGTCATGGCCCTTGGAAAAATACTAGTTTTCACCTGCTTTACCCTCTGCTAATTCTTCATAGCTCATCTAGAAGAGTCCAGTCCTATCTCATAATGTTATATCTACATTTTCCTGCTTTTTCTGATTTAGGTCAATTTGAACTCATTTCTCCTGAGTCAAGTGTATATGCTCTCTTGAATTGGATCTGACCTTCTACCTGGTGTTCATAGACTGACACATTAGTTTTGCTAAGCAAAACAACAAACACAAAACTTTCCAACTAACCTAGTCTGAATGAAGCCAGTTCACTTTTATCAGGATACTGTCATAAAAGAATGTTGTTTATATAGTATATTAGAAACTGCTGAATATGTATAATCGCATTGCTAAAGATATGGGCTTTTCGAAGCCTCTTGCACATTTTATTTATTTATTTATTTATTTATTTATTTATTTATTTTTTTGAGACGGAGTTTCGCTCTTGTTGCCCAGGCTGGAGTGCAGTAGTGCAATCTCAGCTCACCACAATGTCCACCTCCCGGGTTCAAGCGATTCTTCTGCCTCAGCCTCCCGAGTAGCTAGGATTACAGGCATGTGCCACCATGCCTGGCTAATTTTGTGTGTTTAGTAGAGACAGGGTTTCTCCATGTAGGTCAGGCTGGTCTCAAACTCCCGACCTCAGGTGATCCGCCCGCCTCGACCTCCCAAAGTGCTGGGATTACATGCGTGAGCCACCGCACCTGGCCGCAACATTTAATTTTTATTCTGGAAGATATTTGAGGTATAAAATTTGGGAGATAAAATACAGGGTTATTTGTTAGTTTCCTCATAGCAGGTTTATCTCATATCTTTGTGTTTTTGTTTTGTTACCTTTCAAGTATTTAGCTCATTTTTTCTCATGCAGCTCTCACGGGAGTGCCGAGCTGAAGTCCAAAGGATCCTACACCAGCGTGCCATGGATGTCAAGCTGGATCCTGCCCTCCAGGATAAGTGCCTGATTGATCTGGGAAAATGGTGCAGTGAGAAAACAGAGACTGGACAGGTAGGTGACATCGCTTTCTGTTTGTCTTACAATAATGATGATGTTAATGTTTAACATTTTATGCAGAGTACAAACACCATAAAATCCATCTCTCTTTACCTTACAGATGTGATTTGTTGTATTGTTCAATATTTTCTCTGGAAGAAATTCTCAGGAAAATTTTCTCTCTGGTCTTTGTATCAGGAATAGTTGGCAGTGAGTTTGTGTTTGCATTATAGTTATTGTATTTTGTAATTGATTATTTTCCCTCTTCCTGTTGCTTATTAAAACTTCTAGAGCCAATGGTATGGCCTGCCTCTTACAGGTATATAAGATTTCATGGTAGGCATTTTTGTAGAAAGCTTACTACTGGCTCCATTTCACATCCTCTTTCCTTTCCTTTTTGTTTCTCTTCTTTATTCATTTTACTCATTTTTAATTCATTTTCTCCATTAAGTCCTTTTGAGATAAGCAGGGTGTAAATCTGTGCGTATGTGAGTACTGGTCTGCATGAATAGTGGGCATGCCCTAGAACAGTCCCAAAAAACATGTAGAAATGGAATTTTTTCTCACCTGGTTGACAAATTGAAGCTCAGAGAAGTTAAGTGTATACATTCCCTTACCTAAAATTCAGTTCAGTTCATTATATAGCCTCTCCATCTAGGAAGCAGAGGGAAGGAGCAGCCCCCAAAAATTCCCTGAGTGCTGTGATTGGCTCCTTAGGATTGTGTCCCAGTTTAAGGGAAAGAAGGAAAGATGCATGACTGCAGGTCATGTGGGAAGCTAGCTGTCTTCCATCTGAATGCAGGATACTCAGCAGTAGGAATACTGCGTGTTTAAAGCCACATAAATAAGGAGTGAACTCAGGTTTCTGGGTTCCATTTGTACCACTACAAAACCCCCTCTGGAAGTACAGTATGAAAAAGTCACACGTACAGGAATTGGACATTTTAAAGGAGAAACATGGTTGCCTACTCAGGTCTGTTGAGCATAGGACTATCATGTTCAGCAGTCTGTTTCCTGAGCCTGCTACAGTTCTGTTGGGTATATTGTTAGAAAATGCTTATAGTTGAGCTTTCTGTTGCCTCTGTCCAATGAAACAAGGGATATGGTGATTTGGAATCCCAGAAAATAGTTTCCTTTAGAACCCCGAGTAAAGTAAACTTTAGAAAGCTGCACTACATTGCAGCCCGTCATGGAGAAGCTAAACTTAAGAATTCTTTTTTTTTTTTATTTTGAGACAGTTTCACTTTGTCACCCATGCTGGAGTGCAGTGGCACGATCTCGGCTCACTGCAACCTCTGCCTCCCGGGTTCAAGCAATTCTTGTGCCCCAGACTCCTTAGTAACTGGGATTACAGGCACCTGCCACCACACCCACCTGATTTTTTGTATTTTAGTAGAGACAGGGTTTCACCATGTTACCCATGCTGGTCTCTAACTCCTGAGCTCAGGCAATCCACCTGTCTTGGCCTCCCAAAGTGCTAGGATTACAGGTGTGAGCCACTGAGACCAGCCAGGATTCTATTAATAGGATGTTTCTCTTAGCCATTTATTTTACTCCCAAAAGTTTGGGGTATTTTCCTTTAGCTTTTTTATTTCTTCTTCTTCTTCCATTCTGGCTGTTGTATAATTCCTACAACTCCTCTCTTCCCCTCACATTCTAATTCTGAAACAGAGAGATTCTTGCAGAATAGTAAGTTAAACTTGATCCTTTAACAGAGCACTTTGCTAAGAAATAGCTGTTGATATGCTTTGTGAAAGTGAGCTGATATTATACTTGAAACCTCTAAACCTGTAAACCTCTAGAAGGAATAGTAATAGACTAATGCTACAGATAGCTCCAGCTCGGTTTCCAAAGCCCACACAAGATAGCTTTTAAGTACCCAAACCCTAGTGTGTTCACTTGTTTTTCTTCAGAGGACCCTTTTGATGTGTACTGGAGTTAGAATCCCAGATCTGACTTGCAGGAGCTATCAGTTGTATCCTGTGTTCCAGACCCCTGGTTCCCAATTACTTTGCCAATAAAGAGTCTTAAAATAATCTGTGCTCTTCACTGTGAATTTGTCTGATGATCATTATTAAAGTGCATATTTAAAATGAGAGATGAGAAATTATCAAAGCACAGATTGAAAATAGAATCAAGGCCTGATAAGGTTTTTAGACTTTGAGGACACTTGAAGATTGATTCTCCTTGCACTTGTAGATTTGGTCTTCTGAGGGATTTGCACAGCTCTTTTTTTTTTTTTTTTTTTTTTTTGAGACGGAGTTTCACTCTTGTTGCCCAGGCTGCAGTGCAGTGGCACGATCCTGGCTTACTGCAGCCCCCGCCTCCTGGGTTCAAGCAATTCTCCTGCCTTAGCCTCCTGAGTTGCTGGGATTACAGGCACCCACCACCACACCCGGGTAATTTTTGTATTTTTAGTAGGGATGGGGTTTCACTGTGTTGGCCAGGCTGGTCTCGAACTCCTGACCCCAGGTGATCTGCCCACTTCAGCCTCCCAAAGTGCTGGGATCAAAGGTGTGAGCCATCATGCCCAGCCTTTGCATGGCTCTTGTGCCCACTTGGCCCTCATAACCAACCTGCTACATGAAGTAATTATCTTTTCAACAATCTCAGTCTGGGGAATTAAACAAAGCTTTTGTGTCCTGTTCAGTGAGGTAATTTTAAAAAGAAGAGAAAGGAGGACCACTGAAAAGGGAAGTGTCATGACGCTGATATCTCCCCTTGCCTTGTTCATGTATGTGACTGATAAATGCCAGTGGCTTGCCTTTATATTTGCAGGAGCTGGAGTGCCTTCAGGACCATCTGGATGACTTGGTGGTGGAGTGTAGAGATATAGTTGGCAACCTCACTGAGTTAGAATCAGAGGTAAGTGGTATGCAGCTTACTCATTGGAGGAGAGTGGCTGCCAGCATCCTGGCCTTTTGTGTTTGATTCTACTGTTTCTAGACTCCTGAGAGTGCAGATTTTCTGTCAATCAAAAGAAACCTGATCAAATTTTCCATGTTTGCTTTATAAAGAAGTATATTGTGTTGCTTTGTGAGCTCCTTCCCTCATTTCTCTAGAACAACACTCTATACAGCCCTTTGGTTTTCTTCATAAATTAGGTTTATCATAGTCATTAGACTTGCCTCTGTTTCTCCCTTAAGATAGCAGCTGTACGGCCGGGAGCGGTGGCTCACGCCTTGAATCCCAGCACTTTGAGAGGCCGAGGCAGGCGGATCTCGAGGTCAGGAGTTCGAGACCAGCTTGCCAAACATAGTGAAACCCCGTCTCTACTAAAAATACAAAAATTAGCTGGGTGTGGTGAAACACGCCTGTAGTGCCACGTACTTGGGAGGCTGAGGCAGGAGAATCACTTGAACCCGGGAGGCGGAGGTTGCAGTAAGCCTAGATTGCGCCACTGTACTCCAGCCTGGGCAACAGAGTGGGAGACTGTGTTTCAAAAAAAAAAAAAAAATAGCAGCAGTACTTCACATCACAGTCACATTCAAGAGCAATCTACACATTCCCGTTCTCTCATCCCTCGCTCTTTTAGTTAGGTCATTTGGTAATGTTTGTGTGTTTCAGAACATAAAAGCTGAGGACTTCCAGCTAAGCATGGAAGATTGAATACGTATGTTTATCCCTGTTCCATCCTGAAACCCACTAAAATATTTTAAAAATGGGATTAGAGGCCAGGTGCAGTGGCTCACACCTGTAATCCCAGCACTTTGGGAGGCGAGGCGGGCGGATCACAAGGTCAGGAGATCGAGACCATCCTGGCTAACACGGTGAAACCCCGTCTGTACTAAAAATACAAAAAAATTAGTCAGGTGTGGTGGCGGGTGCCTGTAGTCCCAGCTACTCGGGAGGCTGAGGCAGGAGAGTGGCGTGAACCCGGGAGGCGGAGCTTCCAGTGAGCCGAGATCACGCCACTGCACTCCAGCCCGAGCAACAGAGCGAGACTCTATGTCTCAAAAAAAAAAAAAAAAAAGGTCAAGACCATCCTGGCCAACATGGTGAAACCCCGTTTCTACTAAAAATACAAAAATTAGCTGGGCGTGGTAAAACATGCCTGTAGTGCCAGGTACTTGGGAGGCTGAGGCAGGAGGATCACTTGAACCCGGGAGGCGGAGGTTGCAGTGAGCCGAGATTGCACCATTGCACTCCCGCCTGGGCCACAGAGCCAGACTCCGTCTCAATAAAAAGAAAAAAAAAAAGGGGGATTAGAAACCCTCATAAAGCACTGGGATGTTATTTAGAAATACAGAGGAGGGCAGCTAAACATGTTAAAGTTATTTTGTGGGGCCAGAAATCAGAGAAGTGGGGAACTACCATTTTGTCTTAAACCTTTTAGTACTCTATTTGAATTGTCATAATGTAAAATTACGTTTCTCAACCAGTTCTTTTTTGCTTTCTAGTTTTCAGAAGTTCATTGCCTTCTCTCATTTCGTCGTCATCTCTCACATTATCATTGTCATCATGGACTTATGAGAGCAGTCTGGGTGTATAGCTCTTTAAAGGAAGGTGTTTTTTCAGGAGCTAGTGTTGCACGGGTTTCTCTCTTTAAAGGCATTATTAGTATGTGTTCCCCAGTAACAGTGGTTTGGCATCTGCTTTGAGGGCAGTGCTCTGGCTTATGAGCTTATAAACTGAAGATGGATATCAGTTACCCCTGTTTTCATTTTGAACTACTTAGCATTTTGGGAAAATCTGCAAAGGCTTTGCATACTCTAATGTTATTGCTACATGTGTTTTTACCTCACTTTTCTTAATTCTGCCTTCTCATTTGTTCAGGCCGAAAGGGAATATGTCTTTAAAAATTTGCCTTTCAAAGTATAACGGAGGAGCAGTTCTATATTTATTCTGGGGCTATCTACTTCAAATACTAGAATCGTTTCCAAAAGTATGTATTAGATTATTTGCCCATCAGATATTACTGATTCAGAAAGAGAAACTGCTCCTCCTCCACCCTGGCTCTTTCTAAAGCAGAAGTATTAATATATTTAATTTTCTACAGGATATTCAAATAGAAGCCTTGCTGATGAGAGCCTGTGAGCCCATAATTCAGAACTTCTGCCACGTAAGTGATGTCTGGAGGAGCAAGGGTTAAAAACAGAAACAAATTGACAGGGACTCTCCCCTGAGTATCTCAGACTCACCTCTGTCTGCAGCATGTATTACTCTTGAGTGTTAGCCAGCTTTGACAAGTTAAAATTAAAAATGTAAACAGGCCGGGTGTGGTGACCAATACCTGTAATCCCAGCACTTTGAAGCCAAGGAGGAGCACTTGAGCCCAGGATTTCAAGACCAGCCTGGGCAACATGGCAAAACTCTGTCTCTACAAAAAATAGAAAAAATTAGCTGGGCGTGGTGGTACACACCTGTAGTTCCAGTTACCTAGGGGGCAGAGGTGGGAGGATCACTTGAGCTCAGGAGGTCGAGGCTGCAGTGAGCCGTGATTGTGCCACTGCACTCCAGCCTAAGCAACAGAGTGAGACCCTGTCTAAAAAAGAAAAAGTAAACAAGATCGAGAGAGAGATGCTACCATCCTGGAACCTGTGTTTGATTAGCTTTTGTAGGTAAAAACAGGTATGTGGCCAGCAGCAGTTACTGAGTTGCCCTTTTTAAGAAGAGATGGAACAGGGAAACCCCCATTAGTATGCAGGGTTGATTCCAGTACATCAGCCTAGGAATTGTTAGCATCTGCCCAGGAATTGTTAGCAGTAATAGTGGCTCCTTCTTCCAACTGTCTCCTAGTACCTCAATATTGAGTGAATTCTGACTATTTCATATTCATTTACTGAACTATTTAAATTGTGGGAGTGAAACATACCCAGGAACCATTAGGATCTGACAGTTGGGAGGCTATGTTAGATATTGTCCCAAAAGCCAGCTGCTTTTCGGAAAGTGAAAAAAAAAGCGTATATCATGTCTTATACGGAACACAGTGCTGTGTTAGTTTTATGCCACTGAATGTATACCATTGTGATTCTTCAGGCTTATTTTGATTACAATTTATGGTGTGTCTTTTTTTTGTGAGGGCTTCTAGAACTAACCTTGCTTGCATTTGTTTCGGACTGGGCTACAAGTTTTGTTCATTAATTGTTACCAATGAAGTGTAAATGCATGCTGTCTTCCCCAGGATGTGGCAGATAACCAGATAGACTCTGGGGACCTGATGGAGTGTCTGATACAGAACAAACACCAGAAGGACATGAACGAGAAGTGTGCCATCGGAGTTACCCACTTCCAGCTGGTCAGTGACACCTGGCTGCCAATATCCCATCATAGCTGCCTGGATGTTGACTGAATCCTTTCCTTTTTTGGAACATCAGAGCACCTCTGATGTTCTGTTAAAAGTCATTTTTTTCCAGCCAGGCGTGGTGGCTCACACCTGTAATCCCAGCACTTTGGGAGGCTGAGGTGGGTGGATCACTTGAGGCCAGGAGTTCAAGACCAACCTGAGCAACATGGTGAAACTCCGTCTCTACTGAAAATACAAAATTAGCCAGGCATGGTGGCACACACCTGTAATCCCAGCTGTTTCAAAGGCTGAGGCAGGAGAATTGCTTGAACCTGGGAGGCGGAGGTTGTAGTGAGCCGAGATCGCCACTGCGCTCCAGCCTGGGCAACAGAGCAAGATTCCATCTCAACAGCAACAACAAAAAAATCATTTTTTCCAGCCGGGCATGGTGGCTCACGCCTGTAATTCCAGCACTTTGGGAGGCTGTGGCAGGCTGATCACCTGAGGTCAGGAACTCGAGACCAACCTGGCTAACATGGTGAAACCCTGTCTCTACAAAAAATACAAAATTAGCCTGGCGTGATGGCGGGTGCCTGTAATCCCAGCTACTCGGGAGACTGAGGCAGGAGAATCACTTGAACCCGGGAGGCAGAGGTTGCAGTGAGCCGAGATCGCACAACTGCACTCCAGCCTGGATGACAAGAGAGAGGCTCTGTCAAAAAAAAAAAAAAAAAAAAATTACAAATATATGTCCTATTTTTATTTAGGATGGATGGATGGAAGGAGGGAGGGAAGGAAGGAAGGAGGGAGGGAAGGAAGGAAGGAGGGAAGGAAGGAAGGAGGGAAGGAAAGAAGGAAAGGAAGGAAGGAGGGAGGGAGGGAAGGAAGGAAGGAAAGGAAGGAAGGAGGGAGGGAGGGAAGGAAGGAAGGAAGCCTGCCTGTTGTAGGGGGAGTACTGGAGAGATGAGCAGGTCGTGATGTCTCACGTGTGGGTCAAGCCATGCAGGGTCTTGTAAACAGGCTTGTGAGAGCTATATGAAAAAGTGCGCCCTACCACTACTGACCACAAGTTGCCACAAAACTTCTGACTTTCTTTCTCTTTACCTTTCAGGTGCAGATGAAGGATTTTCGGTTTTCTTACAAGTTTAAAATGGCCTGCAAGGAGGACGTGTTGAAGCTTTGCCCAAACATAAAAAAGAAGTATGTAGCTTGTAGTTGTTTCATTCCACTTTCCCGAAGTTCCTCTTAGCTCCGGAATGAGTATGCGAGATGTTAGGCAGCCCTCCTGCTGCCTCGTGGGGTTAGCCCTGGAGGCCTCCCGCATCTCTCCTTTGATTAGCGTGGCAAACACTCGGACTGTCTGGACAGAGCATCTGGCGATGGTAGTTCTCACATGGAGGTCCCATAGGCTAAAGGAGCATTTTTAATTTTTCCAGGTCAGGCCATCTAACTGACCAAGTAGGGCTGGATTGTGTACTTAGAGAAGCAGGGTGCAGTGTGAGTGAAAGAGGCGAACTGACCTCTTCCCTGCGTCGTCCCGTTATGTCATCTCATCTAAGATGCAGCAGTTTTTGTATTGGATTAGATATTTAGTGAAGAAACAGAATCTTTATTCATTTAAGAATTAAGTCTTTTTGAGGAAACTGATGAGCTTTTTCAGCGTGACTGTCCAAATTCTTCCATGTTGCTCTTTGAAAGGACCATTTCTAGAACACTTGCCCTCATACAAACCAAATTCCCAATTTGCTCAGGTTTCTCTACCTTTCAGGAGTGAGTTTCACAGTAGGTCAAAAGTACAGTCCTAGAGTTAAGAGCAGCATTCCTCTGTGGTCACATGTTTTTAACACAGATGTTGAACTGTCGTTGCACACATGTGCCCTGTGTGGCTTCCCCTTCTGTCAGGAATGTAGTCAGCATTCATGCTGCTGCCTGCCTTTCATGACACCCACAGTCAAATTGCAGCTTTTAGCACCCTGAAAAAAAATACAGTGAGCCTTACAGGAAAGACATTCCCCCAAAGGGCATCTTGAATTCTTAATGGTGTGACCCCCCCCAAGCCCAGCTCTCAGGCCATCTGCCCTTGTGTGGCCCCAGCCAGCCTCAAGCTTCTTTCGTCTGCAGGGTGGACGTGGTGATCTGCCTGAGCACGACCGTGCGCAATGACACTCTGCAGGAAGCCAAGGAGCACAGGGTGTCCCTGAAGTGCCGCAGGCAGCTCCGTGTGGAGGAGCTGGAGATGGTAATGCCTCCCAGCCTCTGCTCCCAGAAACCACAGTGGGCCAGGGCTTGGAAAGCTGGGGAGAGGCTAGGGCAAGGGGGAGGCATTTTATCCACTACTGTGATGGTTAAGACTTGAAGTCCTGTGCAAAAGTTTTAACATACGACCATTAGCTTCCTGTGTCATTCTTTTGATTTTGAATGATAAAACCTTTCTTCCCACATGTAACTGGAAGTCCAGCTGTAAGACAGGCTCTAACTAAGCATGTGATCCAATCACTGGATCAGTAATGTCCTCAGGGGCTGGGTGCTGTGGCTCATGCAGGTAATCCCAGCACTTTGGGAGGCCGAGGCAGGTGGATCGCTTGAGGTCAGGAGTTCAAAACCAGCCTGGCCAACGTGATGAAACCCTGCCTGTACTAAAAGAGACTTAGGCCAGCGAGGTGGCTCATGCCTGTAATTCCAGCACTTTGGGAGGCAAATGCGGTCAAATCACTTGAGGTCTGTAATTCAAGACCAGCCTGGCCAACATGGCGACACCCCATCTCTACTAAAAATACAAAATTTAGCCAGCTGTGGTGGCACATACCTGTAATCCCAGCTACTTGAGAGACTGAGGCAGGAGAATCACTTGAACCGGGAGATGGAGTTTGCAGTGAGCCGAGATGGTGCCACTGTACTCCAGCCTGGGTGACAGAGCAAGACTCTGTCTCCAAAAAAAAAAAAAAAAAAAAAAAAAAAGACATTTCAAGCTGGAAGATTTGGTTCCCTAACTTTGAGCCTAGCTCTTTCATTAAAGTAATAATAAAAGTAGAACTCTACATTTATATAATGGTTTTGACTTTCCAAAGTGATTTTCACATCTCAGCAGTCCTGTGAAGGACTAAATAAGGTGTTTCAGGGTAGACTTGGCATTGTGTTTTGCAAAGAAGGTCCAAGGCCATGCAGCTATTTGGTGACAGAATTGAAAGTAAAGCCTGATTCTCTTGCTGCAAGGCGACTTTGCTATGTAGAAGCCAGGGTCACTAGACAAGATGCAGTCAACAAATAAGTCTCCAGAACATATGACATCTCCAGCCTAAACCAAGCTCACCTTTCCATGCTGGCTCCCTCATGCAGACGGAGGACATCCGCTTGGAGCCAGATCTATACGAAGCCTGCAAGAGTGACATCAAAAACTTCTGTTCCGCTGTGCAATATGGCAACGCTCAGGTAACTTTTTGCTTTTCTTTTGTAATTGTAAAAGTAATGTGAAGGTAATATTTAATGTTTTCTCAAAAGCTAGTGCCCATAAGGTAACATTTTAGTCATGAATTTTTTGCTGGTGAGACAGGACCCATCTCATCCCTTCCAACCTAATCCCTTCTTAAACTACATCAGGCTGCGTTTCCTTGGGTTCTTCACCTGCACTCCTCTCTAACTCATTTTCTTCCCTCTTTCAGGTTACCTCATCCTTCCCTACCTTGTCTGCCTAGTAAGCTCCTAATGATCCTTCAGATGCCTCCTCCTCTGTAGCATTCTCAATGCTCTGCACCTCCAAAATTAACCGTTACTTCACTGTGTTCCCATTGCACAGAAGTTCTTAACTAGACGTCACATCAGAATCACCTAGGACACTTTTTTTTAATAGACAGAAGCAGGACCCTATCCAGAATTGTCAGGAGTGAAGTACATACAAACAAATGATTTTTAAAAAAATGTTCTCGTTACTACTCGGCTACCTCTTCTAGTTAAGGGCATTGCCATGGGGCTTCAGCCTTTGAGATAATTACTTCATTGTCCTCTTGTATCAGACTGTTGCTGATGCAAAGTCTGATGTCAATATAAGTCTCATTGCTTTGTAGTTAATCTGTTTCTGATAGGTTTTAGAGTCTTCTCTTTGTCTGTAATGATCTGTAGTTTCAGTGTGATGTGGTTAGGTATGGTTTTTGTTTTGTGTGTGTTTCCGGTTGGCTCTTTCAATCTCACAATCTATGTGTTCCTTCAGTTCTGGGACATTCTCAGTCATTGCTCTTTCACATACTGCTTTCCCTTTCCTTCCTTCTGGAACTCGTGTTAGGCAATTGGAGCATCTGAGTCCGTCTTCCATGTCTCTTTAACTTTTTCTTTGGTACTTTTCATTTCTTTGTACTACATTTTAGGTAACTCCTCAGTTCTCTTTCCCAGCATATAATTTATTCTTCAGCTTTGTCCATTCTGCTCCAGGAGACCACCAATCAAGTTTTGTTTTTCATTTCCTAGCTTTCTCATTGCTTCTTTTCATAACTACCTATTCTTGATTCTTATTTACTGTTGTCTTCTGTGTTGTTCTGAGGATTTTAAGTATATTTTAAAATTCTGTTTTGATTGCTCTATTACCCCTTTCCCTCAGTTTTTGACTCCTTGGTTCATTTTATTTATCATCTTTCTTATGATATTAGTGTTCCTCAACTAGTTAGTGATTCTTGGCCATGCCTTGACGATTTCCCGGAAGTCTCATGGCTTCCTGCGATAGCCCCAGCTGCTGCACCTTCCCATCTGCTTTCCTTCTTTCTTTTCATGATATCTGAAGGTTTAGGGAAGGGAAGATTTCAGGATATACTTAATTCACTACCTTAAAATTCATTTCATGACACTTTATGCTTTTGTATTTTGAGTGATAACTCATCTTTTTCTAATCATAGTTACTTGTTTACATAAGTTTGCCCTGTGTAGCTGTGAATTTATCAGGCTGAGAATTGGGTCTGATTCATATCTAGCATCCAGTAGTCTTTCTCAGGTGGTAAATAGTGGGTTGAATTGAACCTCCTGGTTTGTGCCCACTGTCTAGTCGGAGCTGTTGCTCTGGGAAAATGCAGAGAGCCTATCTCCAAAATGAATGTGGACAAGGAGCAGCTCTGGAAGGCAGAAGAAACCAGAAATCGTGGGTGTGTTTCTTTTCCATTAGGCTGGAGCACAGCCTGCCAGTCATCCTGAGTTTTTGTCTAGTTGGGTTTGCTGTCAGCTGTAAGGTTGTAAATCCTTATCTTTGGTAAGGAAATCCTGATTCCGATTGCCTGGGAATGAGAAATGGATAAAGAAATGGGAGGCACAGTGGAGCTGAATGTTTCAATCAGAACACATGGATGAGCAGTCTCTGACATCTCTCAACTTGACTATAACTCTTTTGCCATAGATTATCGAATGTCTGAAAGAAAACAAGAAGCAGCTAAGCACCCGCTGCCACCAAAAAGTATTTAAGCTGCAGGAGACAGAGATGATGGACCCAGAGCTAGACTACACCCTCATGAGGGTCTGCAAGCAGATGATAAAGGTGAGAAGCCGACACCAAAGGCCGAGCACGGATGAACAACAAAACAACAAAGCACAAACAATGGCAGCAACTTCCTCAGGCTCAGCTTTCTCAAAGTGTGGTCCCTAGACGAGCAGCAGCAGCAGCACCCCCTGGGAGCCTGCGGGTTCCTGGGCCCCCCTCCAGATCTGCTGAATCAGAAACTCTGGGAGTAGAGCACGAAGTCTGCCTTAGCTGCCTCCCTAGGGGGTTCTGATGCAGGCTCAAGTTTGGAAACCACAGAGCTGGGATAACTGACCTCACTTTGACCTGAGGCACAAGTAAATGGATGTGCAATAAATAAATGATTGGTTTTGAGGACGATTAATAGTAGCTGTACTAAGAAAGTCACCATCTAATGTCCTGATCATCCATCTGGCACATTCAGAAGATTTTTCTGTTTTACAGGTTGTTTTGCTTCATTCCCTCCTCCAGCAGGTATTCCCTGCAGCAGGGCTGACCTGAGTACCTAGATGTCAGTTCCCTGATCTCGCCACACATACATTAAACTCAAGGTTCGGCAGGGCACGGTGGCTCACGCCTGTAATCCCAGCACTTTCAGAGGCCAAGGCGGGAGGATCACCTGAGGTCAGGAGTTCGAGACCAGCCTGGCCAACATGGTGAAACCCCGTCTCTACTAAAAATACAAAAATTAGCCGGGTGTGGTGGCACATGCCTGTAGTCCCAGCTATTCAGGAGGCTGAGGCAAGAGAATCGCTCCTGGGAGGCGCAGGCTGCAGTGAGCCAAGGTCATGCCACTGCACTCCAGCCTGAGCGACAGAGTAAGACTCTGTCTCAAAAAAGAAAAAAAAAATTTTTTTTAAACTTAAACTAAAGGTTCTAGCTCCTTTATTTCAGCTTTCCTTTAAAGTAAAATGCTACTTTTTACACTATCAAATAAATTCTAGAGAGAATTTTGAAAGTTAGAATGTAAGTCTTTTTAACTGGCCTGATGAAATTGAGTCATATGTAAAAATGGAAATGTCAGGCTCTGATGTGAGAGAGCTTTGGAAAATTTTCTAAAAGTCAGTGAACAATCCATGTCTCCATAACAAGATGTCAGCAGGTTATAATCACACTCTTTAGAGAACTAGAAACAGAACTAGGAAGAGAGGCTCAGTGCTCAAGTGTCTCAACCAGAGTTTATCAGACACTGTGACACTTGAAGACTTGCGGATTAGCAGAACGGATAGGGAGTTTATTACTAGTCCACAGCTGATCCCTGACTTAAAGGACAGCAGTAAGTGTACAGGACCCTACCCTTTACTGCTTGGTAGGATTATAGCCCTGTAATTAAGATGAACCAAGTGGGTCCTTAGCCCACATCCTTGTTCACATTGGTTAGTGGAGAATTCCTAGGTTTCCCCACTAGAGTTGGGTAGGTAGGGCTTGAGGGCTGTACAGCCACCTGGTACAGTGTTACATTCATGCTTAAACAATAAGTTCCTCAGATGCCATTAAACTTAACATCACCCTCTAGATAGGGAACCAATCCTGTGTAAGAACCAGTGAGGCAGTAGAAAGAAATGTGAGAAATAGTAGAGAATAAGAAAGAAAGGGGAAGTTGGGGTGGGGTGCTCTTTCAGGCCTACCTGCTCCTCTTGTACCACGTGATGCCTTCAGGCTGCTGCTTTCATCAGCTTTTGGATAGATGTTAAGGGTGACCACAGGCTGGTCCAAGTGCGGTGCTGTTTACAACTAATTGATCACAGCTACTTACAGATTTATTTGTTCTTCTACATTCCTGTTGCTTCACTTGACTAGCCTTAAAAAAAAAAAAAGTGGCCAGGCGTGGTGGCTCATGCCTGTAATCCCAGCACTTTGGGAAGCCCAGGTGGGTGGATCACCTGATACCAGGAGTTCAAGACCAGCCTGGCCAACATGGTGAAACCTCATCTCTGCTAAAACAACAACAACAACAACAAAAAAAACACAAAAATGAGCTGGGCGTGGTGACGCACGCCTGTAATCCCCGCTACTCAGGAGGCTGACTTGGGAGGCTGAAGCAGGAGAATCGCTTGAACTCGGGAGGCGGAGGTTGCAGTAAGCCGAATTGCGCCACTGCACTCCAGCCTGGGTGACACGGTGAGACTCCGTCTCCAGAAAAAAAAAAGTGGTCGCAGATGGAGTTAATCGCCATGTTTAGATAGCTGTTTTTATCAAACTGTTTCTTTGCAGAGGTTCTGTCCGGAAGCAGATTCTAAAACCATGTTGCAGTGCTTGAAGCAAAATAAAAACAGTGAATTGATGGATCCCAAATGCAAACAGATGATAACCAAGCGCCAGATCACCCAGAACACAGGTAAGATCTTGGCTTGGCTCTCCTGGCCCCGTGGAGTATCTGAAAAGGAATTCAGTGGCTGTAGAGTGACCTGCTCAAACTCCCAGGGCTTTGTTGCCTGGGAATTTTAAGGGAGGAGTCTGAGTGTAAGCAGGGCCTTCCTCCTTTGAGGAGCATCCAGAAAAATGGAGGGAGAGTCAGGGGAGAGAGGAGGCCACAAGAACCAGAAAACTGCCCTAAAAGAACGTTCAGAAGGAATCAGGCCGGCAGTCCTTGGAAAGAAAAATCTAGAAATTCAATAAAACTTCATGAGTGTGCCAGGAGAATGTACGGGTAATCTGATTCGGAACAGAAACATTTCACCTCTGAGTTGGAAGACCTCGTAAGTTAATGGTCACAGTGAGTTGGATATTGTATTTCTTTTTCAGTGTTCTCAAAAGTGTCTGTTATGGGGAAGGTTGCTGATGTCCCCTTGATTTTTCTGAGGACTCCTTAGAGTATTGGAGTCTGCACAAAACCCCGCAGAGTAGAAAGATTCCTGAGGACCTCCAGAAGTACTCGTTAACAAGTCATATTGCTGATTAAAAACAGTGTAGTGAGAGCTCAGTAAATGTTTATTGAATAGATAAATCCATGGTTGTAGTCATGATCATTGACATAATATGCTCCCTTTAGGAAGGTGGATATCTAAAAATGTGTGAATCAGGTGGAATGTTTTGTCACATGCTCACTGCTTTCTACTCTAGATTACCGCTTAAACCCCATGTTAAGAAAAGCCTGTAAAGCTGACATTCCTAAATTCTGTCACGGTATCCTGACTAAGGCCAAGGATGATTCAGAATTAGAAGGACAAGTCATCTCTTGCCTGAAGCTGAGATATGCTGACCAGGTAAACTGGCCTGGGCTCTCCACAAAGGTGTATTTATGGAGCCTCTGTCCCTGGGAATTTTCTCTTTTGAAATCCCTAGCTTGCTCCCGTTTTCCCAAGACCTTTTTCATATCTTCCCGAACCTGGGGGGCTAAGGGGCCAGATCAAAAGCAGGCATTTTGTTTTTTCTTGTTCTTTTTGTTTTTTTCTTGTTCTTGTGGTTGTTGTTGTTTGTTTTTTTTTTCATGTCCTGCTTTTGTAGAAAAGCTTCGTTTTCTGATCAGCCCATGTATCCTCCCTTTGTCACATGCAGCGCCTGTCTTCAGACTGTGAAGACCAGATCCGAATCATTATCCAGGAGTCCGCCCTGGACTACCGCCTGGATCCTCAGCTCCAGCTGCACTGCTCAGACGAGGTGGGATTTGCGTGCAAAACTGGTTACGCACAGAGCTGCTCAGAGAAGTTTCCACTGGAGAAAAGTTGTTTACTTTCTCTCCCTTCAGCCGTGAATGATCTGGTGAATTGAAGGCCATCTTCTAGGCTCTCCATGGTCTGCATTCCTGTTCTTTGTAACACTGAATTCAACTTGGCATTAGTCCTGACACTCTAAAGCGTTGTTCCATATTTCTCTGTTGAACAAGGGTGTTCTTTCATTATAGCTCTCTGTAAATTTGTTCTTCCCTTCTTCTTATTCTGGATGGTAAACCCAAGACCTGCCAGAAAGATAAAAGTGCTTTCAGCTGGGCACGGTGGCTCACGCCTGTAATCCCAACACTTTGGGAGGCCAAGGAGGGTGGATCATCTGAGGTCAGGAGTTCAAGACCAGCCTGGCTAACATGGAGAAATCTGTCTCTACTAAAAATACAAAAAATTAGCCAGGCGTGGTGGCGTGCACCAGTAATCTCAGCTACTCAGGAGGCTGAGGCAGGAGAATCACTTGAACCCGGGAGGCGGAGGTTGCAGTGAGCTGAGATCATGCCACTGCACCCCAGCCTGGGCGACAGAGGAAGACTCTGTCTCAAAAAAAAAAAAAAAAAAAAAAGCCCGGGCGAGGTGGTTCACCCCTGTAATCCCATCACTTAGGGAGGCTGAGGCGGGCAGATCATGAGGTCAGGAGATTGAGACCATCCTGGCTAACACAGTGAAATCCCAGCTCTACTAAAAAAAAAAAACATTAGCCCGGCCCGGTGGCGTATACCTGTAGTCCCAGCTACCCGGGAGGCTAAGGCAGGAGAATGGCATGAACCCAGGAGGCAGAGCTTGCAGTGAGCCGAGATTGCACCGCTGCACTCCAGCCTGGGCGACAGAGCGAGGTTCCATCTCAAAAAAAAAAAAAAAAAGTAATTCTATAATGGCCGTAAGGAAGTGCCCATCTTTGGAGATTATTGGACTTCTTAGCTAGAAAAGGCCTTGTGGAGAGCGTGTTCAACATATGTTAATTTCAGGAGCTCATAACAAAAGCTGTTACAAAAAAGCTCACTCATAAAACTGTCCAAAGAAACTTAATATTTTTGTCTTTGCTGTGGGCTGTGTTTCTCAACTCCTGTGTATGTGTGCGTGTGTGTGCGGGTACGCGCGTGTGCACACTTTCAAGTTGAGAGTCTGGTTTGACCCTGAACCTATGTGAATGTCAAGCGTTTGCTTTTCGTATTTGATTTGGTTATATATAACCTTGCTCCTGTGGAATCAAGTAGCAGCCTTCTTTTTGACAAGTCCTGAGATCTGACTCAAGTCTCAGTGTTTACAGTGTAAAGATATGACATTTATTGATTTTCCACTCTGTGTGCCAGTCCTTGTGAAGAATGAAGCCTGGCATCCAATATAGGAGGAGGGGCACGAAACCCCCAGGAAACTGTTTGTGATGAGCCCTGGCACAGGTGTGGGACGATCATCAAACTGACATGTTTAGAGACCAAGGGTTCTGGTGATAGCAGTGCTACTGCCCCTGGCTTGTAAAACAGCAGTAGGCCAGTGAAGAGGGGGCACAGATCCTGCGGTGTCCAGAGCTGATTGGAATCACCGGACTCATCTGCTTTTGAAACTGTCAGTTCAGGCCGGGTGTGGTGGCTCATGCCTATAATCCCAGCACTTTGGGAGGCCAAGGTAGGAGGATCACCTGAGGTCAGGAGTTCAAGACCAGCCTGGCCAACATGGCGAAACCCCATCTCTACTAGAAATACAAAAATCAGGCCAGTTGCGGTGGCTCATGCCCTGTAATCCCAGCCCTTTGGGAAGCCAAGGTGGGCAATCACCTGAGATCAGAAGTTCGAGACCAGCCTGACTAACATGGAGAAACTCTGTCTCTACTAAAAGTACAAAATTAGCTGGGCATGGTGGTACATACCTGTAATTCCAGCTACTCAGGAGGCTGAGGCAGGAGAATCACTTGAACATGAGAGGCAGAGGTTGCGGTGAGCCGAGATCGTGCCATTGTACTTCAGCCTGGGCAACAAGAGCAAGACTCTGTCTAAAAAAAAAAAAAAAAATCAGCCAGGCATGGTAGCACGCGCCTGTAGTCCCAGCTACTCAAGAGGCTGAGGCAGGAGAATCACTTGAACCTAGGAGGCAGAGGTTGCAGTGAGCCGAGATCGCACCACTGCACTGCAGCCTGGGTGACAGAGCTTGGCTCTGTTTCAAAAAATAAAAAAAAAAAAGAAGAAACTGTCAGTTCATTTCTGTGCTCAGTGGGGTAGCTTTGTTTTTTGTGTCTCCTGAACAGATCTCCAGTCTATGTGCTGAAGAAGCAGCAGCCCAAGAGCAGACAGGTCAGGTGGAGGAGTGCCTCAAGGTCAACCTGCTCAAGATCAAAACAGAATTGTGTAAAAAGGTAACCACCGTCACCTTCTTTTCCTCACTTCATTTCTTTTTTTTTTTTTCTCTTCTTCCTTTTAATGCTGTAGTCTGCCTACCTTGGTAATAAAACCAAAAATCTCAACCTTCTGCCCAGCACTCTTTTCTTGCTGTTCCTTCTTACCAAACTTTCATTTGATTTTGACTGCTCATCTCCTATAATGTGAATATTCTTTTCTTTTCTTTGAGACGGAGTCTCGCTCTGTTGCCCAGGCTGGAGCGCAGTGGCGTGATCTCACTGCAACCTCTGCCTCCCGGGTTCACGCCATTCTCCTGCCTCAGCCTCCCAAGTAGCTGGGACTATAGGCGCCCGCCACCACGCCTGACTAATTTTCTGTATTTTTAGTAGAGACGGGGGTTCACTGTGTTAGCCAGAATGGTCTTGATCTCCTGACCTCGTGATCCACCCGCCTCGGCCTTCCAAAGTGCTGGGATTACAGGTGTGAGCCACCGCGCCCAGCCAAAATTAACCTTTTAAAAAAGAATTTCACTGATGTCATTATTGAATAATTGAGAACATTGTGTGCACATTTTTTCGTCTGTTAAAAATGTGGAAAGCTAGATCCGTATATTTTCCTTTGCCTCTTTTATCATCACATGATCCCATATAACTTTGGGGAGGATTTTAGAATATTATTTGGCCTTTGGTTTTTGGTTTTTATTTCTCTTACTGTTGTTTTATAGGGACTAGAGTCTTGTCTGGAGCATACTAACTTTTATTTATGGAAACATTTCTGGCCTATCTTTACCTCCCATAGTTCCCTTATGTATAAATGGAGAATCTGCAGAGTTGATTTCAGTTCCATCATGTTGATATTCCTCTCATTCAGGACATCTGTAAACACAAATAAGAATTGCTCTTGTAGTAGATGTTATGCCCTGTCCTTTCTGTTTTTCTTTCTGAGGACAACAGAGGTAAAGTAGAACATTTTGTAAACAAATGTGCCTTTATCTAATTGGTATTTTTTTGTTTTTGTTTTTCTTTGAGATAGGGTCACACTTTGTCTCCCAGGATGGAGTGCAGTGGTGCAGTCATAGCTCACTGGACCTCAAACTGGGCTCAAGCAGTCCTCCCACCTCAACCTCCCAGGTGGCTAGGACCACAGGGCACACGATTATGCCCAGCTAATTTTTTTTTAAATAATTTTCTATAGAGATGGGGGTCTTGCTGTGTTACCCACACGGGTCTCAGACTCCTACCTCGGCCTCCCAAAGTGCTGGGATTACAGGCATAAGCCACCACCCCCAGTCCCGATTGAGAATTTTAATATAGCATATTACTCTGATTTTAAGATTTCACGTTTTCATATTTCTTAAAGTAACACAGTAATTGTATCACACCAATAAAAATATTAACGTTTAGGTATTTTAAAATGATACGACATGACATACGGGAATGCCAAAAACACAAATCTGATCTTACAGTCACTTACAGTCCCCTGCTTTTTTCCAACACACAGTTTTGTATCCCTAAAAGTAGTTAGTTACTCAATTAAATTCTGCATTCTGTACATCATCACCACCTTGCAACCTGTCCCAAAGTGGTCTCTGTTGTTAGCCCTCAACTTCCCCCCTTTTTTATTAGTATATGAAGTATTTACAGACAACAGATCTGATGCATTTCCCCTTCAAAAGCTCTGTCTGCAATGACCCTCCCTTTCCAGGAAGTGCTAAACATGCTGAAGGAAAGCAAAGCAGACATCTTTGTTGACCCGGTACTTCATACTGCTTGTGCCCTGGACATTAAACACCACTGCGCAGCCATCACCCCTGGCCGCGGGCGTCGTAAGTCTCTGTGTTCACTCTTGATCCTGTCTGAACTCTCTTGGGAAGAGCAAAGACTCCCTCTTAGACATCAGTTGCAGCTACTGTGGTCTGTATGGTCTGTAGTTGTAGCCCAGTCATAGACAACATTCCCTGGGGACCTGGGTGATGCCAAAACTAGACCTTTATGGCATCATGAATTTAGGAATAAGCCTGCGAGTTTGAACTGGCCTTGTCATGACTGGAGCTAAAGATTTGATGAACAGGGAGAATTGAGGTATTTATTAGGGAAGCAGAAGTTAAAGTCATCATCATGGTCCTTTTCCTGGTGCCGAAACTAGAAGCCAGCTTCACACACTTCCCCGGTGACGACAGTGGACTCAGTAGACAGGTTCTGTGTGAGGAGGGAGCCAAGGCAAGTGTGAGAGTTCTTTTTGAGCCACGTATACCCAATAAAACTAATAGAAGTTGTTTGTTTGTATTTTTATTTATTTTTTTGAGACAGAGTCTCACTCTGTCACCCAGGCTGGAGTGTGGTGGCATGATCTCAGCTCACTGCAACCTCCGCCTCCTGGGTTCAAGTGATTTTCCCACCTTAACCTCCTGAGTAACTGAGACTACAGGCACCCACCACCATGCCTGGCTCATTTTTGTATTTTTTAAGTACAGACAGGGTTTTGCCATGTTGGCCAGGCTAGTCTCAAACTCCTGACTTCAAGTGATCCACCCACCTCGGCCTCCCAAAGTGCTGGGATTACAGGCATAAGCCACTATGCCCAGCCTGTTTTCGTTTTAATTTTTTGAAACAAGGTCTTACTATAATGTAGTCTCAAAGTCGTGGGCTCAAGGGATCCTCCTGCCTCAGCTTCCCAAGTATCTGGGATTACAGGTGTTTGCCACCACACCTGGCTCTAAAAATAAGGAGGTTTTAAGAGAGGCTTCGGACGCCAACCCTGGAGGTTACATATCATTTCTCTCCATTGTTGGATCCTGGATCAAGTTTCCTAGTATGTATTTAACTTTGTTGAGCCTGCAGATCTGAATTCTCTGGTGGTTGTGCACCCTCTTCCTCATCTTTACAGAAATTTCTCTATTCTGTACAGTTTCAGGTTCTTCTTATTATTCATTTCCTCCCACAGAAATGTCCTGTCTCATGGAAGCACTGGAGGATAAGCGGGTGAGGTTACAGCCCGAGTGCAAAAAGCGCCTCAATGACCGGATTGAGATGTGGAGTTACGCAGCAAAGGTAATGACCAAGAGAATCTCCTTTTTTAAAAAAACAAAAAAATATGGAACACTTCACCAATTTGCATGTCATCCTTGAGCAAAGGCCATGCCACTCTCCTCGCTGTGGCTGTCCAGCCTCTTTTAGATATCGCACTGGTCTTGTCCTTATTGTGAGACTAGCAATAAGTGCGTTTGAAAACGTGGTCAGGGCCGGGCGCGGTGGCTCGCGCCTGTAATCTCAGCGTTTTGGGAGGCCGAGGCAGGCAGATCACGAGGTCAGGAGATCGAGACCAACCTGGCCAACACGGTGAAACCCCGTCTCTACTAAAAAACAGTAAACATGGTCAGTGTGCTTTTAGAATTCCTTGGCTGCCCGTGAGCCTGGAGCCGTCTCCCTGTGCATCGGGCTGTCTGCAAGGCTTTGCCAGGGCCCTCCTTTCTCATTTCGCCCACTGTTCACCGCTGAAAAGTGAGTCACCCAAAGACAAAAGAGATGTCACACCCATGGCAAAAGAAAGAAATCCAGCCTCGCCTATGATGAAGCTTGCTTTTATCATTTTACAGTCTTTAGGAGAAAAATACATATTTGAGGCCAGTACTCATCTGGTCTGGAACATGGAGAAGAAGGGGATGAAGAAAGACTGTAGGACACTCATGAATGTGTATGATACCCAGGTAGACTTGGGCTAGGGGTAATTTTTCCTACAGAGGTTCAGCCTCAGTGAGAAGAATAACAGTTCTTCTCGTGCATACATTGCTTTGTAGTTTACATAACGCTTTGGTGGACGTATTGCCTGATTTGAACTTTGAAACCCTGTGAGGTAAGTATAATGACTGTTTCGTCACTTTACAGTGAAGGAAACTGACTTCAGAGGTCACGACTTGCCCAGAGTCCCTCTGGTTTTTAGAGCCATGCTTTTGTATTGACTCATATTGGGATAGACATCTGCAGTGGCCTAAGATCAAGAGAGTAATCCCAGGACCACCCCTCCTTCCTGGCCAATTTTATCACCCTTTTACTTCCAAGTCAAGGGTAACAAGTCAAGAGGAACAATCAGAGAAAGTCTTCATAGGTCGACAGCAGGAAGGTACAAGGGAGGGCTCCTGTCTGTCACAGTAGTCAACACTCTCCTCACCCTTCTGCCAAGGGAAGAAAGTTGCCTTTAAAGCCGGTGGCTCAGGGAAGCGGCAGCAGGAGATGCTGCGTTACTTCATTCTGCCTCATTGTGTCCAGTCCTTTGAGCTGTGTATTATTGCTTCAGAGTGACTCAGAGTAATTCACGGCTTGTTTTGTGTTGGCAACTATTGGAGCTCAAATCTCATTCATCTCACGCCTCCCTACTCTGTTCTGTGTACGTGATATGAGCATAGAAACAGCCCAGATGCCTCTGGGCCACACCATCTCAGCAGCCAGGCTGGGATGCAAAAGAATGGGGACATGTGCACCTGGGGACCCTTTTGGTCCTGATTCTGCCATAGCAGGCTACCATCAAGGTCCGTTAGGGAAAGCAGTGGAAAACTGAGGATGAAAGATAGCTGAGGTTAAATTATAAATGTCCACAAGTGGAGGGCGGTTAAATATATTCTGTCAATATAAGTCTTGTTTGCGGTGCAGTGGTGTGAACATGGCTCACTGCAGCCTCGAACTCCTGGGCTCAAGTGATCCTCCTTGAGTAGCTGGGACCACAGGTGCACGCCACCACACCCAGCTAATTTTATAATTTTTTGTGGAGACAAGGTCTTGGCTATGTTGTCCAGGCTGGTCTCGGCCTGCACATTGTTTTTGATGTGGGAAATGCTTATGATATAATGGTGAATGAAAAAAGTCAAAATACAGGCTGGGTGCAGTGGCTCACACCTATAATCCCAGCACCTTGGGAGACCGAGGCAGGAGGATCACTTGAGCCCAGGAGTTCGAGACCAGCTTGGGCAACATAGGGAGACCCCATCTCTAACAAAAAAAAAAATTTTTTTTTTTTTTTTTTTTTTTTTTTTTTTTTTGGGGACGGATTCTCGTCCTGTTGCCCAGGCTGGAGTCCAGTAGTGCAGTCTTGGCACACTGCAACCTCCGCCTCCCGGGTTCAAGCAATTATCCTGCCTCAGCCTCCCCAGTAGCTGGGATTGCAGGCGAGCGCCACCACGCCCAGCTAACTTTTGTATTTTTAGTAGAGACAGGGTTTCACCATGTTGGCCAGGCTGGTCTTGAACTCCTGACTTCATGGTCCACCATCTCAGCCTCCCAAAGTGCTGGGATTACAGGCGTGAGCCACCATGCCTGGCCAAAAAAAATTTTTTAATTAGCCAGGCATGGTGGTGCACTTGTAGTCTCAGCTACTCAGGAGGCTGAGGTAGGAGGATCCCTTGAGCTCAGGAGTTTGAGGTTGTAGTGAGCTGTGATCGCACCACTGTACACCAACCTGGGCAACAGCGCGAGACCCCAACTCAATGAAAAAAAAGCCAAAATATAAAATTTAGAAATAATATAGAATTTACAAGGCCGGGCGCAGTGGCTCATGCCTGTAATCCCAGCACTTTGGGAGGCCGAGGTGGGCGGATCACGAGGTCAGGAGTTCAAGACCAGCCTGCCCAACACAGTGAAACCCCGTCTCTACTAAAAATACCAAAAAAATTAGCTGTGCATGGTGGCGTGCACCTGTAGTCCCAGCTACTCATGTGGGTGAGGGAGGAGAATCGCTTAAACCTGAGAGGTAGAGGTTGTGGTGAGCTGACATCATGCCACTGCACAATGCCTGGGTAACAGTAAGACTTTGTCTCAAAAAAAAAAAAAAATAGAATTTACAAAATATAGAATATGTAAAACGATGTCAACTTTTATCTTTGTTTTTTAAAGAAAGGCAGCAAACGCATTTAAAGAGCATAAACCAAAAGATAGAAGAACCCATGGCCTTATAGAAGTCATTTAACCACACTCACCCCTGGGCACTGATTCTCCATCCAGAGTATGGGAGTGGTGAAATCTGCTTGCTAGGCTTGGTGTGAGTGCTAAATGAGTGAGGGCAGGGGGAGCCCTTCGTCCAGGGCCCGACACATCTTCAGTGTCCTGGTGTTAGTGGTGATCACTGTGATGGAATTGTGGGTGACTGCACCACTTTGTCTCTTTCTGTATTTCTAATTTTGTGCAGTAGACGTGTGTATAGTTTTATGATCAGGAAAAAGAGTTGTAGCTCTGTGTTGATTTTTCTTATCTCCTGCCCTCCCTCTCCAAAAGAAAAGACATAAATTAAACTAGGAACTGAGAGGGATAAGTTAGACCTAGCACTGCCACCAGCCCAGTGCTCTCTCAGAGAATCACATTGCCTTGTGTCATTCTAGGTGGCCCCAGCAGATGGCTTCTCTGATCTTGCCATGCAAGTAATGACGTCTCCATCTAAGAACTACATTCTCTCTGTGATCAGTGGGAGCATCTGTATATTGTTCCTGATTGGCCTGATGTGTGGACGGATCACCAAGCGAGTGACACGAGAGCTCAAGGACAGGTAGAGCCACCTTGACCACCAAAGGAACTACCTATCCAGTGCCCAGTTTGTACAGCCCTCTTGTATAGCATCCCCACTCACCTCGCTCTTCTCAGAAGTGACACCAACCCCGTGTTAGAGCATTAGCAGATGTCCACTGCGTTGTCCCATCCAGCCTCCACTCGTGTCCATGGTGTCCTCCTCCTCCTCACCGTGCAGCAGCAGCAGCTGGTCGCTGGGGTTACTGCCTTTGTTTGGCAAACTTGGGTTTACCTGCCTGTAGACAAGTCTCTCTCATACCAACAGAACTTCCGGTACTTCCAGAACCAACTCACCTGACCTGCAACTCAAAGGCTTTTTTAAGAAAACCACCAAAAAAAAAAATTTTTTTAAAGAAAAAAATGTATATAGTAACGCATCTCCTCCAGGCTTGATTTGGGCAATGGGGTTATGTCTTTCATATGACTGTGTAAAACAAAGACAGGACTTGGAGGGGAAGCACACCACCCAGTGTGCCATGACTGAGGTGTCTCGTTCATCTCTCAGAAGCACCTTGGGGCCTCGCCAGGGCCGTGGTCTTCACCGAGGCGTGGGTGGGCAGCCGTTCCCCAGGCTGTGTGGGGTCCTGCTTTCTTCTGCTGAGACAGTGACGCTTTCCAGTTTCCACCCTAATCAGCCACTGCTGGTCACAGCCCCACAGCCATGGGTATTTCTGTGGTCTCCTCGCTTCATTGAAGCAAAGCATGAGCCTTCCTAGACAAGGGCAGCTGGGGAGGGGAAGGGACCGGAAGTTTGTGAAGTTGAACAGTCCATCCATCTGCACTGAGAGGCTGGATCCTGAGTCCCGGGGCAGCAGGATCCCAGGAACCTTCCTCCTCCAGGGCAGCACAGGACTCAGCCATGTCTGGACCGGCCCTGCTGAGGCTACAGTCACTCTGGAAGCTCTGCGCTTCATCAGGAGGCAGGACTGTGGCGGGAGGGGTCCTTGAAGATGGGTGTGGGGAGCAGTGGGTCAGGAAGTGGGAGCCAGAGGTTTGACTCACTTTGCTTTATTTTTCAGGCTACAATACAGGTCAGAGACAATGGCTTATAAAGGTTTAGTGTGGTCTCAGGATGTGACAGGCAGTCCAGCCTGACCTTTCTGCACACTCCAGACAAACTTCCCAGACAAGCTCCTTTGTGCCTCTACGTGGAGAGGGTGTGGAAAGTTATCACATTAAAAGATGGAGGATTTGCTCTGTTTTTTTTCTTTCTGTCCATTTGCTGCGTGTACCCACTCTAGTAGGCATTGGCTAAATGTTGTATTTTGGCGATTCATCAACCTTTGCAGAATATGGGCTTTATAGAAGCAATATTCTTGGCCATCCCGCCTCATTCCTCCAGTGTGGAGATGACAAGTCTGGGTGTGAGAGGGAGGGGTCCGGGCATCATGGTTCAGCGTGGCACTCCTTTGGTTGAGTTTGGGGCATGAGATCACAGTGGCTGCACAAGAGAGCAGTGTGTACAGTAGGAGAGACATTTATGTAATATATATTTTATTAACCTGTTAGATGTCCACAAAGTATTATAAATCACGTGCCTAAAACTGTCCATGTAGACCAAGGCCTGCCCTCGGCGCCCCCCACTCTTGCCTCTGCTCTGCACAGTCCACGTGCACTGCAGGACCGGAGCGACACATGTCTTCCCTGAAGGGTGTTCAGTACAAGGCGTGTCAGTTTGTGGATCAGTTGATCCAAGTTACTCCTTGTCTAACCTGACTGACATATATTTGAATACTGTGGTTTTCTTTCTTTTTTTTCTATTTGCTGCCCTTCCTGGAGGCAGTGGGTTCCAGAAGCCAACTGATTGTCCCCCTGCCAAGTCACCAAGGGAAGCTGCTAAGCTGCTTAGTCCCCTCGGTCCTGCTTGTAGGGTCTTCCTGATTGTCAACAGCTGTCTGGGATGCTTCAGTCTCCTAAAACTGGAAACGCAGGGTGCGAGCAGCACACACTGCCTCCCGCCACTGCCAGCCGGAGTGAGCGGCCCGAGAGTCTCTGCAGGTTCCCCTGGGGGCTGGGGGCCGCTGAGGCCTAATATCAAGAGCCAGGAATGTCATGTACATGGAGGTGCCTACGGACGTGCCTGGTGTGGTTTGCAGGTAGGATGGATGTTCACTGTTTGACCGGGTGGGGTATCCTTCCTCTCTGCAGTCTCCTTCCCAGTATGCGTAAACACCCTTATAGTTCTAATTGTGTTGATATTTCTGTTCTTTCTGAATTGAGAGAAAATCCCATTCGTTGTCTGCAGATTTGGAAGTTTGATGAGGAATTTGGTTCTTGAAACATCTGTCTTTTTTTTTTTTTTTGAGACAGAGTATCTCTCTGTTGCCCAGGCTGCAGTGCAGTGGCGCGATCTCAGCTCCCTGCAACCTCCACCTCCTGGGTTCAAGCAATTCTCTGCCTCAGCCTCCTGAGTAGCTGGGATTCCAGGCACCCGCCACCACGCCTGGCTTATTTTTGTATTTTTAGTAGAGATGGGGTTTCACCATCTTGGCCAGGCTGGTCTTGAACTCCTGATCTCATGATCCACCCGCCTCAGCTTCCCAAAGTGCTGGGATTACAGGTGTGAGCCACCCTGCCTGGCCAAAACATTTGTCATCTTTATAAATGGTCAGAATAGAAAAGTTAGCTCTGCCAGTATCTTCAATTACTTATTACAAGAATGTCTTTCATCATCTTACTTGGAGCATTTTCCAATGACTGGCTCTTGAGAGCCCCAGGCAGGGCCCCGAGCAAGTTTTTCTAAGTGCCAAGGCCAGCAAAGTCTGAACTGGCCGCACTCATTAAGTCCCTCATTTGGCAAAACAAAACAGGGCCTGGGGCACCCCTGGTTCCTGGCCTTATAGGTCAGTCAACTGGCTGAGAAATGGTCAAGAAAAGAAACAATGACCCTTCTGTGGATGTGAGTGGATGATGGACTCTGGCCTGTGTCTACTCTCCTGATGTGTAGCCCACCAACAGTAATAGAAGTAGAGGGTAGGGGGTTTTGCCAAGGCTAAGGCTTCAGGTACTTGCTAACAGTTATAGCAGCTGGGTCACTGTCATCTGGACTTACCAGTTCATGCCAGTGTCCCTGTGACTTATGCATAGTGTGCGCCACAGCCCTCTAGAGGTACCTGGAGCCCGGACTGCCAGGCTGGAGGCTCTGGGGTACTGAAGGTGAGCTGTCTGGGCAAACTATTAAGAACAAGACGAACTGTTCACAATGGAGCTTCTCCCACAGATGGGGAGCTCTGTGAGGCCTTCACCTGGGTGCATGTTGGACTTCCATTGCTGTTGCTGTTGTCCCTAGACAAGCCCGTTAGCAAGAAGCACCGGCAGGGGAGCCATGCACTCCATAGGCTTGGGATCACCCCCGGGAAAGCGATCTTCCCCGGGCTACCACCCCCAGCTGCAGTTCTGTGTTAGTGCATCCTTCAAAGCTAGGAGAATTCTAGGGTGACCAGTGAGCTAATGTTGAGTGAGCAGGTATTGACTTGAACACACTGCAGGCCTTTGGCTGTCTCATGCTGTCCTTACTCTTCTTGGGAACAGTGAGTCACTCAGCTGGCCAGGGTGGGGATGCATCCTGGTGAAGAGACAGCTTTCCCTGAAGATGCTACAGAAAGTTACTGTCAGATTTCATTTGTTTCTGTTTCCTGAGATCAACTAACAGAAGAATCTAATGGTGAGAGTGTCTTCATTCATGTTTTACGTTTTATCAAGGCACACTGGAAAGGGAATTATGTGGCTGACTTCCCTTGGCCTTCCCAAGAGAAGATTCTGTTCTTATGTCAGTGTGGCTTCTGGAAGTGTCTCCTATCCTCCCATCCTCCAGGCCTGTGGTGTGACTTCTGCCCCGAAGTTCCTACTATAGTGAGTCATCTGGGGAGAGGCCACTGAAAAGAGGCCTTCCCTTCCCATTTCCTCCCCTGCCTCCTTAGAACACACTCTAAGTCAGAACTTAATCTAAGAAGAAGGAAGCTGGACCAGGAACCTTGGAAGTCAGCCAGCCCTAGAACAGTCAGCCTAAATTTTGGCCGTAATGGCTTTTTTGGTTTTTTGTTTTGTTTCTGAGATGGAGTCTCACTCCGTTGCCAGGCTGGAGTGCTGTGGCGCTATCTCAGCTTACCGAATCCTCCGACTCCCTGGTTCAAGCGATTGTCCTGCCTCAGCCTCCGGAGTAGCTGGGATTACAGGCATGCACCACCACACCCAGCTAATTTTTGTATTTTTAGTAGAGACGGGGTTTCACCGTGTTGTCCAGGATGGTCTCCATCTCCTGACCTCATGATGTGCCCACTTCGGCCTTCCAAAGTGGCCGCAAAGTGGCCCACTTCGGCCAAAGTGCACTTCGGCCTTCCAAAGTGCATTACAGGCGTGAGCCACCACGCCCGGCCTGGCCTTTTTTTTTTTTTTCTTTTGAGACACAGTTTCACTCGTTGCCCAGGCTGGAGTGCAGTGGCGCAATCTCGGCTCACTGCAACTTCTGCCTCCTAGGTTCAAGCAGTTCTCCTGCCTCAGCCTCCCAAGTAGTTGGGATTACGGGCATGCACCACCATGCCTGGATAATTTTTTCTTATTTTTAGTAGAGACAGGATTTCATCATGTTGGCCACGCTGGTTTCGAACTCCTGACCACATGTGGTCCACCCACCTTGGCCTCAATTATGTGCATTTTGGTATATTTACTTGTATTTCAACATCTTGTGAGTTTGAAAAACCTGAAAGGCCAGAATGCTTCCTTTTATTTCTCACCATTTGGGCAGCACCTAAGTGGTTTTGTAAAATGCAGCATCTGGTGCTGTGGGTCTCTCTCAGGCCTTGAGGGACACTTCCTTCCTCCCCACTCGCCTCCTCTCCACTAGACTTTGGTTCCTAGAGGGCGTGGGGCCGGGTCTGAGGTTCTTGCCTGCCTTCCCTCCCATTGGTCTTTGGTTGCTCATCCCTCTAACTGCACCCCTTCTTGGTCCTTCCTCCACAGACTTCAGATAATAGATAAGTCATTAGCAAACCAGACCGAATCTTTAGGGTGAAGAGCTCCCCAAAGCCATCTGGTGAGGTCATTGTGGGGACCAGGGACTGATTATTTGTCACCTGGATCACAAAGATGGGACTGTCTGCTCAGGCTGGTGGTGACAGGATCCTGACCCGTGGTCCTCTCCCGCTCCCTCTGCTCCACCAGGACACATGTATAGGACACTGTGCTGTGTGCAGTGGAGAAATCTCCCTGGGCCAGGGGAAAGTTCAGACAGTGCCTCTAGATTGTGTTTTGCCTCCTCCAATGTAGAGTTGACATCTGGACCCCAGAGCCCAGCAGGGCTTTCTGTCAGACATGCTAGGGTGGTAGAAATGGGCCCTCCAGGTCCCCCTGCAGTGCACTGGGCAGAGACCTCCGGAAAGCCGGCAGCGGGAGCGCTTCCTGGGCAGCTTCCCCCAGCACAGTGTTCCCAAACCAGTCCATCCGGAAAACAGTCTGTACAGCAAATGCTGTGTGAGATCTTAGGCTTTTCACTTTTTTTGTTTTGTTTTGTTTTTGAAAGAAAGAAAAAAATACAATTAACAAGCCTCTTTTGTAAATGGGTTTCCTTTCTATGTATAAAATCGTGGTGGTCCCTTGTTTTTACATGTTCATGCTGTGTAATTTTGAGATGTTACTGAGATATGTTCTGAACATAATGTGCATTTTTTTCTGTACAGATGAAATGGGAGAATTTAATAAAGAGTTTGCAGGTTTTTACTTGTTAAATCTTCTCTGTGGTGACTGGGAGGAACCTCAACCACCTCTCTGCTAGTGGAAGCAGTGGCCTTGAACTTGCCAACTGATGCTCACAAACCTTGCTGATCAGGTCCTTAGTTCTTGACCAGTTAGGTTCAGCAGAGTAGGACTCAAGGACTTTTAGAGGACTAGGGACCTTGATCCCCTTGGTTTCTGTATGCTGCTAGTAGCAGAGCTGGAAGTCACGTCTGGGGTTTTCTGACTCTTGAGCCAATGTGTCCAGAATTATTCATTCTACTGATATGTTTAAGCCCACATCATGAGGCTCTGTCCTGGGGAGAGCAGAATCTGGCAGCTCTGTGTACAGATCTGACGTGTGGATGGCTGGTCCTGAGAGGCGCCTGATCTTCAGTGGCCACCCTTCCCCATCACCCCCTTGTCAGTCTTCTCCCTCACATTCCAGCAGCCCAGTCCCTGCGTCAGTAGCCTTTCCAGACCTCCTCCCTGAGCCTTCTGCTGCTGCCTGTCTCGGCGAAGTTAATTTGCGTCTGCGTGTTAAAAATGAATGGCTTCAGGAATTTGCATGGTAGCAGGGGTTTCTTGAAGTGGTAATATCCATACTACGATTTGAGGAATGAGATGTGCTGCGAGAGGAGGCAGATACTTGGGACCCAGGGTTTGTTCTCAGAACTCATGCCCATCATAGGCAGTTGTCACCTAGGAGGCTGTGGGCCCAGACATAGAGGAGAGACGGGGAGAAGGTGAAGAGTAGAGGAGGAAGAAGGAGGAGGGACTTGGGGTCCTTGTGAGTCATCACTGCAGATCTTGCTCTGTCTAGGGAGCCCAAGGCAGCCATCAGTCTCTGCATGTGGGGAGCCTGTCCGTGAGCGTCTTGGAGAGGCTGCCTGCTTTGATCTAAGCTTAGGAAGGTGGGGTCCATGGTTCAGGCTCCTTGTCACCAGTGCACCCTACAAGGGAGATTTTGGTTCACCTACCCCAGCTCCACTCTGCCCCATAAGTGGACGCCACAGCCCCAGAGGCCCTGGCGGTGATGGAGACAGCTGCCCAGCTGAAGCCTTAATAGTCTGAATGTATCGCCCCCACCCTCACATTTTATGTGTGAAGATGTTTCTGGTAAAAAATCCTTGGCCAACATAATCCTCAGAGGCATTTGGCATTTGTCCTCAAAAGGGGCTAGGAATTAAAGAGTTTTAGCCAAAATGAGGAGAACCTTAGACATCCAATTCTCACTTGATGAAAAAGTGAGGTGCAGAGAGGGGAGGCCCTTCTCAGACAGCTGATCAGCAGTGCCCAGGAATGCCTGCCCCACCAGGCACTGTCCCTCTCACTGGCCAGATTAGCCTGGGGACCTGAATGAATGACCAAACTAAAACCCCAGCTGCCATTGGGTTGTAGGAGAAGATAGGAACATCCCCAACGCAGGATGCTGCAGACTCCCCAGACAGGCCTTCCCTGGGAGCTCTCGGCCTCGGCCCTAAATCCCTACCTCACTTGCCCACAACAACCCACAGCAGAACAGTGTCTTCTCAAACACTCTGTACTTGGGGAGACACTTGGACGATGTGGAAGAGAAAAGCCAGGAGGAGAGGGGCAACAGGGGCAGCAGACTAGGAGGAAGTTGGCTCAAATGAGGAGGTAGGGGCTGGAGCACAGGCCGCTCTTCTGAGGACTAGGCAGTTGCTAGTGCTTGGCTGTCATACTCCAGGGCCCTGGCAGGACTATGCCTTTCTCCTGCCTGGGTCTTGGAGCCAGGGACTGCTCCTTGACCCATTTGGCTGGGAGACCCCTTAGGGTGGGCCAAATAGCAGGGATTTCTTCAGAGAGCAACCAGGATCAGGCCATAGAACTGAGCTGCACCCAACAGCCCCAGGTAGCAGTAGGTGACAGCAGTGAAGATCTGTTCAAGTTTCACTGCAGGGCACACAGGCCCAGGTGAAAGGTTGGGCTGACCTCTGACATTGTGTTTCCATGGGCTTTTCCTGTCTGCCACTGCCACCTCCCAAAGAGCAAGCTCTCTGGCTCACTTACTCTCCGGGAGGTTGTAGTATCCCCATTTTATAGATGGAAAAGTTAGGCTTAAGTTCTGTAAGGACAGCAGTGGTTTTCTTTTCTGTTCACTCTGTAGCCTCAGAACTGGGTGTAATAGGTAGGCGGGTGGATCTGAGGCCCAGAGAAGGTAAAAGACTCACCCAAGGGGCCCCAGAGAGTTGGGGACAGAACCAGAGACTGAGTCTAATACTTTCCCAGATGTTTTTCTTTTTTTCTTTTCTTTTTTTTGAGACAGTCTCGCTCTGTCACCCAGGCTGGAATACAGTGGTGCAATCTCAGCTCATTGCAACCTCTGCCTCCCAGGCTCAAGCGATTCTCCTCCTTCAGCCTCCTGAGCTGGGATTACAGGCACATGCCACCATGCCCAGCTAATTTTTGTATTTTTAGTAGAGATGGGGTTTCTCCATGTTGGCCAGGTTGGTCTTGAACTCCTAACCTCAAGTGATCCACCCGCCTTGGCCTCCCAAAATGCTGGAATTACTGGTTTCTTTTTGAGACAGGGTTTCACTCTGCCGCCCAGGGTGGAGTGCAGTGATGCGATCTCAGCTCACTGCAACCTCCACCTCCTGGGTTCTAGCGATTCTCCTGCCTCAGCCTCTCGAGTAGCTGGGATTACAGGCACCCGCCACCATTCCTGGGTAATTTTTATATTTTTAGTAGAGACGGGGTTTTGCCATGTTGGCCAGGCTGGTCTTGAACTATTGACCTCAGGTGATCCTCCCTCCTTGGCCTCCCAAAGTGCTGAGATTACAGGCGTGAGCCACCTCGCCCGGCCTGTGAAGTCCTTAAGATGGAGATTTACAAAGGAAAATGAAAGCCAGAGGTGAGGTTTTGGTTTAAGTGAGTTGCAGAGGCAACAGTAACTAAAGGGTCAGGATTGTAGAGAGGAGAGCTGACAGCCTGCAGCCACTTGCATTTGCCAACTCTGGCCAGAGGCTGAGGATCCAGGTTTTTTATGTTTTTATAGTCTCACCAGCCGGAGTGACAAAATTTGGAGGCTTGAATGGCCTCGAATAGATGGCTAGGTCTCAAGCCATCTGGTGAAATCTGAATACACAAGATGCAAACCTGAAACACTAAGCTTAGACCTCTCTAAAGCAGAGCGGAATTTTGCAGAGTCACAGTGCTGAGTAAAAAAATTACCCAGGAATGGTGGCAGGTGCCTGTAATCCCAGCTACTCGAGAGGCTGCGGCACGAGAATCGCTAGAACCCAGGAGGCAGAGGCTGCAGTGAGCTCAGATCGCTTCACCGCAGTGAGCTCAGATCGCGTCACTGCATTCCAGCCTGGGCGGCAGAGTGAAACCCTGTCTCAAAAAAAAAAAAAAAAAAAAAAAAAAGAAACCAGTAATTCCAGCACTTTGGGAGGCCAAGGCGGGTGGATCACTTGAGGTTAGGAGTTCAAGACCAACCTGGCCAACATGGAGAAACCCCATCTCTGCTAAAAATACAAAAATTAGCCAGGCCTGGTGGCGTGTGCCTGTAATCCCAGCTCAGGAGGCTGAAGAAGGAGAATCGCTTGAGCCTGGGAGGCAGAGGTTGCAATGAGCTGAGTAGACAGTTTTCAAGATCTCTCAAAAGGAGGGAACCTGGGGAATACTATGGGATTTCAGTTGAAAGACTTGGAGAGCTAGGCCCTGGGAACAGAGGCAAGTGAAGTAGACAGAACCCTGTCAACACTGCATCCCATAGACCTTGAGCTAATAAACACAGAAGGAATTACAGAATTAGAAAGTTACCATTTGATAACCAACATAGTAAAATCGTCTCAAGCAAGTCGAGTCAGTGGATAATAAAACTAGTGAGGCTGGGTGTGGTGGCTTATGCCTCTAATCCCAGCACTTTGGGAGGCCAAGGCAGGCAGATCACTTGAGGTCAGGAGTTCAAGACCAGCCTGGCCAATATGGTGAAACCCCATCTCTACTAAAAATACACAAATTAGCTGGGTGTCGTGCTGTGCACCTATAATCCCAGCTACTCAGGAGGCTGAGGCAGTAGAGTCGCTTGAACCCAGGAGGCGGAAGTTGCAGTGAGCCGAGATCATGCCACTGCACTCCAGCCTGGGAGACAGAGTGAAACTCTGTTTGAATAAAAATAAATAAATAAAAATAAAGATATCAGTTTATGTAGCTATACTATATCAGACAAAGTAGACTTTAAGACCAGAAAACATTATTAAAGATGTATACTTAATAATATAAAGGAGTCAATCCATCAGAAAGACATAGACCAAACCATGTCAACAACTGTACTGTAAATGGTCTAAACGCCTTTATATGGTTTGGCTCTGTATCTCCACCCAAATCTCATGTCGAGTTGTGTTCCCCATTATTGGAGGAGAGGCCAGGGGGGAGGTGATTGGATCATGAGGGCGGACTTCCCCCTTGCTGTCCTCTTGATAGTGAGTTCTCACAAAACTTGGTTGCTTAAAAGCATGTAACTCTTCTCCCTTCTCTATCTCCTGCTCTGCCATGGAAGATTTCCCTGCTTCCCTTTCGCCTTCCCCCATGATTGTAAGTTTCCTGAGGCTTCCGCAGCCACACTTCCTGTACAGCCTGCAGAACTGTGAGTCAATTAAACCTCTTTTCTTCATAAATTACCCAGTCTCAGGTAGTTCCTTATAGCAATGCAAGAACAGACTAATACCTCAAATAAAAGTCAGATTGGATTTTTTAAAATGAAACACCAGCCTGGGCAGCATAGCAAGACCCACCCCCAATCTCTACAAAAAAAAAACTTTTTTAATTGGGCGTGGTGGTTTGCGCCTGTAGTCCCAGCTACTCAGGAAGCTGAGGTGGGAGGATCGCTGGAGCCCTGGAGGTTGAGGCTACAATGTTCCGTGAACTCCACAGCCTGAGCAATATGGTGAAACCTCATCTTTACCAAAAATACAAAAATTAGCCAGGTGTGGTGGTGCATCCCTGTAGTCCAAGCTACTTGGGAGACTCAGGTAAGAGGATCACCTGAGCCTGGGGTGATCTGTGATCATGCTACTGCACTCCAGTCTGGGTGACAGAGTGAGGCCCTGTCTAAAACAAACAACAACAACAACAAAAACCACTTGAGAAAAGCTTTAAAAAAAAAATTTTTTTTTTTTGGCTGGGCGTGGCGGCTCATGCCTGTAATCCTTGCACTTTGGGAGGCCTAGGCAAGCAGATTGCTTGAGCCCAGGAGTTCAACATCAGCCTGGGCAACATGGTGAAACCCTGTCTGTACCAAAAGAGATACGAAAATTAGCCGGGTTTGGTGGCATACTCCTGGAGTCCCCGCTGCTCAGGAGGCTGAGGCAGGAGGATCGCTTGAGCCCAGGAGGTGGAGGTTGTGGTGAGCGGAGATCTGACACTGCACTCCAGCCTGAGCGACAGTATGAGACCGGTCTCAAAAAACAAACCAAAGCATAGATTGGAAAGGAAGAAATAAAACTTTTATTATTTCCAGACAACTTGATGGAATATACAGTAAATTTTTAAATGTATAAACCATTAGAATTAATAAGTTAGTTTAGCAAGGTCACTGAGTATCAGGTGAACACAGAAAAATAAACTGTATTTATACCTAACAGCTACAAATAGAAAATGAAATTGCCAAAACAATATAATTTATGATAGCATCAAAAAGCATCAAATACTTAGAAATAAGTCTAACAAAATGTAACTAAATGGAGGGATATACTATGTATATGCATTGGAAGACTCAGTATTATAAAGTTGTTGGTTCTTCCCAAACTGATGTGTGGTGTCAAAGTCATCTCAACCAAATCCCAGCATGGTTTTTGTGGGTGGAAAAATGGCAAGCTGTTTCTAAAATGTTATATGGAAATGTAAAGGACCTAGAATATCCAAGGTGATCTTGAAGAACAACAAACCTCCGACTTATCCTACCAGGAACCAAGACTAAAAAGTTACTGTAATGTGAAGACAGTGAAGTATTGGTACAAGGATGGACAGATGGACTAGTGGAACAGAATACAGAATACAGACAACAGAAACAAAAACACCGAGCTTCTGGCCTTTATGAATGTCACTGTCAAGAAGAAGGAGGAAGGTGCAGAGCGTTAGATTCATGTCAAAAAATCAGGGAACCAAAGGTTATCCCTTACAAAGTCCTCCATGTCTCACCATGTCCAGCAGCGTTCCTTCGCTTTCACTGCACCTTGGAGAAGAAGGAAAACTGTAAAACAGTTTGTAGGCGGATCCCAGCTTTGGCTTGAACTTCGGAGAGCCTCCATCAGTGACAGGTATGAAGGCTCTGCACAAAAATCCTGGGCAGCTGCCATACCAAAAATAATCCCGGATGCTCACAGAACAGGGTCGTTGCCTGCCACTGTGGGGTCAGAAACCTGGCATCTTAACTTTTTTTAAAAACAGCTTTATTGAGATATAACACACTTCATTCAATTCAGCCATTTAAAGTGTACCCCCTGGCCGGGTGTGGTGGCTCATGCCTGTAATCGCAGCACTTCGGGAGGCCGAGGCAGGCTGATCACTTGAGGTCAGGAGTTCAAGACCATGCTGGCCAATACAGCAAAACCCTGTCTCTAATAAAAATACAAAAATTAGCTGGGTGTGGTGGTGCACACCTATAATTGCAGCTACTTAGGAGGCTGAGGCAGGAGAATCACTTGACCCAGGAGGTGAAAGTTGCAGTGAGCCAAGATTGCACCACTGCACTCCAGCCTGGACAACAGAGTGAGACTCCAGCTCAAAAAAATTAAAATGTACCCCCATTCACCCCAACTCCTTTCATTCCCATGAAACTTTCTGTCTTTATGGATTTGTCTATTCTGGACACTTCCAATAAATGGAATCACATAATGTGTCACCTTTTGTGGCTCTGGATTCTTTCACATAATGTTTTCAAGGTTCATTCAGGTTGTAGCATGTATCAGAAATGTATTCCTTTTCATTGTAGAGTAATAGTCCATTGTGTGGATGTATTTTTTTTTATCCATTGATTAGTTGATGTTTGCATTGTTTCAGGCCAGGTGCAGTGGCTCACACCTGTAGTCCCAGCACTTTGGGAGGCTGAGGTGGGTGGATCACCTGAGGTCAGGAGTTTGAGACCAGCCTGGCCAACATGGTGAAACTGTCTCTGCTAAAAATACAAAATTAGCTGGGCATGGTGGCGGGTGCCTGTAGTCCGAGCTACTCGGGAGGCTGAGGCAGGAGAATTGCTTGAACCCAGGAGGCGGAGGTTGCAGTGAGCTGAGATCGCGCCACTGCACTCCAGCCTGGGCGACAGAGCCAGACCCTGTCTCAGAAAAAAAAAAAAAAAAAGATGTTTGCATTGTTTCCACCTTGGCTCTTAAGAGTAATGCTGCTGTGAACATTCTTGTACATGTTCTTGGCACCTAATTTTTAAAACACATTACAGTAGCCCAGTCCCCTAACGGGGGCCACTGATGTAATCGCAGTTCTTGTAAAGGAAAGTGGGAAGTCCTGGACAGCACTGAAGCGAAGCGCTTCCTTAAGAGGCCAACATGGTGCAGCACTCACTGGACACAAGTGTATGGGTCACTCCTCCAAGCAGCAGAGAACACTGAGAGGCATCTGCTAACAGCTAACAGTGGAGGGTTTTCTGTTGCTCTCACTCTGCCGCAGAGAAGGAAACTGTAAAATAATTAGTAGGTGGATCCCAGCCCTTTTTTTTTTTTTTTTTTTTGAGACAGAGTCACCCGGGGTGGAGTGCAGTGACGCAATCTCAGCTCACTGCAACCTCCGCCTCCCAGGTTCAATCGATTCTCCTGCCTTGGCCTCCCAAGTAGCTGGGATTACAGGCATGCACCACCATGCCCAGCTAATTTTTGTGTTTTTAGTAGAGACAGAGTTTGACCATGTTGGCCAGGCTGGTCTCAAACTCCTAACCTCAAGTGAGCCACCGTGCCCAGCCAAGTGGATCCCAACTTTGGCTGAACTTCAAAGAGCCTCCATCAATAACTTGCCAGAACTTGCTGGTTACAGGTTGTCAAGATGTCTGTGCGTTTGGCCCTGTCTAATCAGCTGCTTCCTGGGGAGGATTCTGTTGTCGTTGCTTTCATTCGGTTACAGTTTGTTTCACTCAGCTATAATTGCAACTCGCAGGGAAAAAAAAGAGGCTGAGGTGGGAGGATGACTTGAGGCCAGGAGTTTGAGATCAGCCTGGGCAACATAGTGAGACCCCATCTCTTAAAAAAATTTATCTGGATGTGGTGGTGCACGCCTGTAGTCCCAGCTACTCAGGAGGCTGAGGTGGGAAGATCGCTTGAGCCAGCAGGTCAAGACTGCAGTGACCGTGATTGCACCACTGCACTCAGCTTGGGTGACTGAGTGAGACTTTGTCTCAAAAAAACAAACAAGAAAACATAAGTCTCCTAACTGAAGGACAAGTCACTAAGCATAAACTGACCAACGGGCAGACTGACGTGAGAGTCAGTAGTATGAAAGGTCAACTCGAGGATCTGCTATGCCTTAATGACGGGGTAGGGTAAGAGAGGGGAAAGCATTCGAGTCTTCCTGAGAAGGTTAAGTCTAGTCACTTGGCAATGCCTGGTAGGAAACGCAGGAAACAATTAAAAACACTCCCACAACCCTGAGGTTGGAGCTTCTCGATGTGGAGTATCAGATCGCCTGATGAGCACAGGCAACTTTAAAATAAAGGCAAAGCGAAGTTTGCTCAGTTACATATCAGTGTAACTGTCAGTGTTCAAAAGTGTTCACAAGAGCAGCAGTAAAAGGATTTAATTACATGTTGATAGGAAAAGACTATTCTGAGAATGACCACTGTCAGATATGAAACAGGAAACCCACAGCTCTATGGGGCTGTTGGAACTGATCAATCAGCAGATAAAGCCAGAGTGGTTTTACATAAGCATTGTGATCATAGGCTATCATCAGAGAGCCTAAAACCAAACCCCAAGGGGAAGGAGAGGAAGAAAAGCAAGAATTTTCTTTTTTTTTTTTTTTTTTGAGACAAAGTCTAGCTCTGTCGCCCAGGCTGGAGTGCAGTGGTTCAATGTTGGCTCACTGCAACCTCCGCTTCCTGAGGTCAAGAGATCCTTCTGCCTCAACCTCCTGAGTAGTTGGGATTACAGGCGTGCGCCACCATGCCCGGCTAATTTTTTGTATTTTTCTTAGTAGAGATGGGGTTTCACTATGTTGACCAGGCTAGTCTCGAACTCCTGACCTCGTGATCCACACCCCGCTTAGCCTCCCAAAGTGCTGGGATTACAGGCATAAGAATTTTCCATTTTTAGTTAGGTGGACTTTAAGAGAAGTATTGCCTTATGGAGCAAAGCACACATATGCATCACTATGTTCCCAAAAAATCACGTAAAAAGAGAAATGATTCACTTGTGCTTTTCATTATTAGTACGTTTTACCAAAAAACAAAGCTATAAATAAGACTGATCTCTAGGCTGGGTGTAGTGGCTCATGCCTGTAATCCCAGCACTTTGGGAAGCCAAGGCCAGAGGCTCACTTGCAGTGAGTTTGAGACCAGCCTGGCCAACATGGTGAAACCCCGCGTCTACTAAAAATACAAAAATTAGGCAGGCATGGTGGCACATGCTTGTAATCCTAGCTACTTGGGAGGCTGAGGCAGGAGAATCACTTGAACCCAGGAGGTGGAGGTTGTAGTGAGCCAAGATGCACTTTAGCCTCCTAGCCTTGGTCTCAAAAAAAAAAAAAAAAAGGATTGATGATATAAAAGGTGAAGTATTTGGGAGATGGGTTATCACTTCCATTTTAGAGGAGAAAGCTAACAAGCCATCTTCTTTCAAATACTTACTTGCTCTGGATAATATTGAGAAAAGAACTACTCAAGAGCTCTGGAAACTGAACAAAAGCAGGCAGTTTTCAGAGGGGAGTCAAAACTTGGAACAAACAATCTGTAGCACCTGGGAGCTAAAACACCAATAGTGGCTGGGCTTGGTGGCTCACACCTGTAATCCCAGCACTTTGGGAGGCTGAGGCGGGTGGATCACGAGGTCAGGAGTTCAAGACCAGCCTGGCCAACATGGTGAAACCCCATCTGTGCTAAAAATACAAAAATTAGCCAGACGTGGTGGCGCGTACCTATAATCCCAGCTACTTGGGAGGCTGAGGCAGGAGAATCACTTGAACCTGGGAAGCAGAGGTTGCAGTGAGCTGAGATAGCGCCATTGCACTCCAGCCTAGGTGACAAGAGCGAAACTCTGTCTCAAAAAAAGGCTGGGCGCAGTACCTTCCGCCTGTAATCCCAGCACTTTGGGAGGCCGAGGCAGGTGGATCATGAGGTCAAGAGATCGAGACCATCCTGGCCAACATGGTGAAACCCCATCTCTAGTGAAAACAATTAGCTGGGTGTGGTGGCGGGTACCTGTAGTCCCAGCTACTCGGGAGGCTGAGGCAGGAGAATCACTTGAACCCAAGAGGTGGAGGTTGCAGTGAGCCGAGATCGTGCCACTACACCCTAGCCTGGGCAACAAGAGTGAGACTCTGTCTCCAAAAAAAAAAATAATCACTAGATGGGTGTCTTATTCTATTTGAGCTGCTATAACAAAATAACTGAAATTGGGTGATGCATAAATAATAGAAATTTATTTCTCACAGTTCTGAAGACTGGGAAGTCCAAGATCAAGGCAGGTTTGGTGTCTGCTATGGGCTGCTCTCTGTTTCTGAGATGGTATCTTTTTGCTGTATCCTCCAGAAGGAATGAATGCTATGTCCTCACGTGGTGGAAGAGCAGAAGAGAATGAGCCCACTCCTGCAAGATCTTTTATTAAGGACCCTAACCCCATCCATGAGGGCTCCAACCTTATGACTTAATTGCCTACTAAAGGCCCCAATTCTTAATACCATCACATTGTCCATTAAGTATCAATGCATGAATTTTGGGGGACACATTAAAACCAGAGCAATGAGCTTACTAGTAAAACAGAATTGAAAAAGAAAAGTCAGTGAAAAAAGAAAAAAATAGAAAAAAAAATTTTTTAAAAACCAACAAAAGAGTGAGTGAAGATGAAGTTGGATAATAGAAATAATGAAATCTGAAGGACAGAAAAAAATTGATAGGAAAGACAACATGGAAGAAAAATATTTAAAGAAATAATAACTGAAAACATCCCAACTTTAGTAAATAAGTTTACAGATTAAAGCTCAATAAGGTCAGACGCAGTGGCTCACGCCTGTAATCCCAGCACTTTGAGAGGCCGAGGCAGGCAGGTCACTTGAGATCAGGAGTTCAAGACCAGCCTGGTCAACATGGTGAAACCCCATCTCTACTAAGAATACAAAAATTAGCCACAAAAAAATGGTGGTGCATGCCTGTAGTCCCAGCTACTTGGGAGGCCAAGGCACGAGAATTGCTTGAACCCAGGAGGTGGAGGTTGCAAGTGAGCCGAGATCATGCCACTGTACTCCAGCCTGGGTGACAGAGTGAGACTCCATCTCATAAATAAATAAATATACTCAATAAGCCCCAAACAAAATAAATTTGAAGAGAACTATGCCTAAGCACCTCATGATCAAACTATTAAAAATGCAAAATAGTCTGGGCGCAGTGGCTCACACCTGTAATCCCAGCACTTTGGGAGACCGAGGCTGGTGGATCACCTGAGGTCAGGAGTTCAAGACCATCCTGGCCAAGATGGTGAAACCCTGTCTCTACTAAAAATACAAAACTTAGCCAGGCATGGTGGCAGGTGCCTGTAATCCTAGCTACTAGGGAGGCTGAGGCCAGAGAATTGCTTGAGCCCAAGAGGCAGAGGTTGCAGTGAGCCAAGATCTCAGCACTGCATTCCAGCCTGGGTGACAGAGCGAGACTCTGTCTCAAAAAAAAAAAAAAAAAAAGCAAACTGAGAAAATCTTGAAAACAGAGAAAACAACAAATTTAAGGCAGACAAGGATTTGAATGACTTGGACTTCTCATCAGAAATCATAGAGGCCAGTAGAACATCATTAGGGGTTGAAAGAAAAGAACTGTCAGCTCAAAATTCTATATCCACCAAATATATCATTCAAGAATGAAGGTGAAATTAAGACGTTTTCAGTTAAAGGAAAACTAACAGAAATGTAATTAGAGTATGTGGTATGCCTCAAGTAGTGATATTTGCATAATTAAAACAATGTAAACAATGAATATTGATTGAACCCCAGAAGGAAAAAACAATCAAATTTAAAGGATGGGTGGCAAGAGGGGCGATGAGTGTCTGTGTGGTCTGAAAGCAAAATCATCTTCCTAGTTAGTGGAGAATATCTGAAACCTGAAAACCAATAAAATAACAGTATGAGCATGAATTAATAGTTAATTACCATAAGAAAGAGCTCTAAGAGTTGAGAGTTATTACTCCTGAGGATTGAGAATTGCAAGGGTTTGGTGAGTCAGGGAGCTGCTGTTCATCATTATAAGCTTTGTAGTATTACTTGACTTCAAACTAGTATTTATATATCTGATAAAAATTAAATTCTAGCGGCCGGGCACAGTGGCTCACGCCTGTAATCCCAGCACTTTGGGAGGCTGAGGCAGGGGGATCACGAGGTCAGGAGATAGAGACCATCCTGGCTAACACGGTGAAACCCCATCTCTATTAAAACTGCAAAAAATTAGCAGGGTGTGGTGGCATGCACCTGTAGTCCCAGCTACTCATGAAGCTGAGGCAGGAGAATTGCTTGAACCCGGGAGGCAGAGGTTGTGGTGAGCCAAGATTACGCCACTGCACTCCAGCCTGGGCAACAGAGTGAGACTCCGTCTCAAAAAAATAATAATAAAAATAAATTCTAAAAATTAGCCACAAAAAGGTAGTGCCTTTAAGAAAAACACTAACCTGGTCCTATGTGAGTCAGCAGCCTTATTGGGTTGGATGGTCAGATGGGAGAACTAAGTTGCCCAAGGCTGGGCTGCTTCTCTGGAGAGCCCCTGTCATGGTTTCTCTCGGTGTCCCCATCCAAATCGCATCTCTAATTGTAATCCCCAGGTGTCGAGGGAGGGACCTGTAAGGAAGGGAAGGGAAATCATTGGATCATGGGGGCGGTTTCCCCCATGCTGTTCTTGTGATATGAGTGAGTTCTCACAAGATCTGATGGTTTTATAAAGCAGTTTTCCCTGCTCTGGCCGCCTTTTGCCTGCCACCATGTAAGATGTGCCTGCTTCCCCTTCCACCATGATTGTAAGTTTCCTGAGGCCTCCCCAGCCATACGGAACTGTGAGTCAATTAAACCTCTTTCATTTATAAACTGGTGCTGAGGGGTTCTGGGGCTGGAGGTTGCAGAAGGCTGCAGGCTGCACCCTGTCTACCTCTCTCGTTCTCTTGGCTCCTGACTGGATGAGTAGCTGCAGCTGGAGATCTGGAAGCCTGCCTGGAGGAGGAAAGCATGGCCTGGCTAGGCAAAGAGGATTTCACATCTGGGATGAGGTGTTGTACCAGATCATATGAAGAGAGTCTGTGCCTTATTTTATTACCTGAAGAATAGCGTTAACCCTTACTCCAAAGAGGATGGGGACCAGGCATTTATAAAGCATTTTGAGAAGAAAAAGTGGAGCCTGGAACAAGCAGTGTGTTGTGAGGCGCAGAGCTCTGGCACTAAGTGGACCTGGAGAGGAGAGGTCCTTTTCCTTGCCCGAGTCCTCACTTGCTGACGCTAGGATTTCTCCCTCCCATGATTCCACTAAGCTTTGGCTTAAAAGCTGTCAGGTAGTGGCTGGGTGCAGTGGCTCATGCCTATAATCCTAGCACTTTGGGAGGATGGCTTGAAGCCAGGAGTTCAAGACCAGCCTGAGCAACATAGTGAGACCTTGTCTCTACAAAAATTGAAAAGGAGCCAGGCACAGTGGCTCACGCCTGTAATCCCAGCACTTTGGGAGGCCAAGGCCAGTGGATCACCTGAGGTCAAGTGTTCGAGACCAGCCTGGCCAACATGGTGAAACCCTGTCTCTACTAAAAATACAAAAATTAGCTGGGCGTGGTGGTGCATGCCTGTAATCCCAGCTACTCGGGGGGCTGAGGCAAGAGAATCACATGAACCCGGGAGGCAGAGGTTGCAGTGAAGCAAGATTGCACCACTGCACTCCAGCCTGGGCAAAAGAGCAAGACTGTCTAAAAAAAAGAAAAGAAAAGAAATTAGCCAGGTGTGGTGTTGCACACCTGTAGTGTCAGCTACTCAAGAGGCTGGGGTGGGAGTGAGGCAGGATAGGTAGTTAAGGAAATGACCATGTTCTGGGAACGCAGCAAGCGTGGTGACTGTACAATCAACACAATAAGCCTCAGCATTCACATTGTAATCGAGCTCATTCAAGCAAAGCTGTCTTCAGTAGGCGATTGCCCCTGTAGAGAGCATGCACATTTTGATTTCACCTGTCCTCAAACCGACACACTGCTCATTTTAATAGTAAAAAATACACCCCTGGGTGGAGATTTAAGATGCTAAAGATGCCAGGTGCGGTGGCTCACACCTGTAATCCCAGCACTTTGGGAGGCCAAGGAGGGCAGGCCACTTGAGGTTGGAGTTCGAGACCAGCCTGGCTCTGCTAAAAGTACAAAAATTAGCCAGGGGTAGTGGCACGTGCTTGTAATCCCAGCTACTCAGGAAGCCGAGTCAGGAGAATTGCTTGAACTTGGGAAGTGGAGGTTGCAGTGAGCTGAGATCGCACTACTGCACTCCAGCCTCGGCGACAGAGTGAGATTCTGTCTCAAAAAAAAAAAAAGATGCTAAAGAGACATGCGATGTATAAACAAGCATGTACAACTACTGCACATGTGCACCAAGAAGACCACCCAGACCATGCCTACTAGTAACGCCTCTTCCCACCCACTTACGAATAATCATGAAAGGCTTCCAGAAAGGGAGCCTCCCTAGCGCCAGTCTTTGCTGTCTCATCCTTACGAATGCTGTTTCTCAGTGCACTGTCTATTCCATACTTAACTTTTTTTTTTTTTTTTTTTTTGAGATGCAGTCTTGCTCTGTTGGCCAGGCTGGAGTGCAGTGGCACGATCTCGGCTGACTGCAACCTCCGCCTCCTGTGTTCAAGCAATACTTCTGCCTCAGCCTCCCAAGTAGCTGGGACTACAGGCGCTTGCCACCATGCCCGGCTAATTTTTGTATTTTTAGTAGAGACGGCATTTCACCATATTGGCCAGGCTGGTCTCGAACTCCTGACCTTGTGATCCACCCGCCTCGGCCTCCCAAAGTGCTGGGATTACAGGCGTGAGCCACCATGCCCAGCCTATATATAGTTAACTTTCAAAATACTCTTTTCTTTACAGTAAATGACTCTATGCTGCACTTCTTTTGCTGTGTGTCTCTTGTTTAAATTCTTTTAAACCAAGAAGACAAGAACCAAGGCCTCACAATAGCTGTCAACAGGAGGGTCACTCCAGCCCAGGGGTCGAGGCTGCAGTGAGCTGTGATTGTGTCACTGCACTCCAGCCTGGGAGATAGAGTGAGATGCTGTTTTAAAAAAAACAAAAAAACAAAAAACTGCCCGGTAAAGGAGAATGTGGAATGGGTCACAAGTATGGGCTCTCCTCTCTGGATGAGACTCTAGCCAGCCTTCCCCATGTCTGCACCCTTTTCTGTGGCCAGCCGTCCTGGCCACCTTTGCTCTGCAAGGCTGGCAGCAGTTGGTCCCCGTGCAGATGGGCTGTGGAAGACTGGGCACAAAGCTTTCCTGTGAGGCTGCTGAAAGGTTCTAACCCAGACGATAGGTGCAGAGGTTGGGTGTTCAAACTGGTCACACAGTGGAGAGGTTCTGGAGCACAGCAGCAGAGTGGGCCAGCCAGTCTGAGGAGGAAATGAAGCACAAACTTCGAGCTACATGCAGGGCCCGGAAGATGCTGGAAAGCATAGGGCCCATGCTAGCCAATATCCCCAGGGGCCAGGAGGAGAGCTGCTCACATAGGATATGCACCCAGGGGCATGTCCTGGGCATGCAAAGATACCTCCCTGCAATCAGACCATTGCACCAACTCCCAGGCTGCATCCTAGAGGAAGTCTACACTAAGCCCACATAATTAGTAAACAGACACAAGGAGCTCGGTTAGAAGACATCAGTGCCAATGGCACTTGTGGACTCCAGCCCAGCGTTCATCACAAGCAACTGACCAACACACCTGGGCCTGGGTTATTTGCTTCTCGAGCTGAATGTTTCTGGGCCTCCTTGGGTCATTTCATTTTGCTCATCTCCAGTCATCTGTCACAACCTGGAAATCCAAGGGGATAGGCCATGCAGTTTGTCTTGCAAGAGTAATTTAAAAAGTAGGCTGGGTGCAGTGGCTCACACCTGTAATCCCAGCACTTTGGGAGGCCAAGATGGGTGGATCACCTGAGATTGGGAGTTCAAGATCAGCCTGGCCAACATAGTGAAACTCCGTCTGTACTAAAAATAAAAAAATTCAGCCAGGCGTGGTGTCAGGCACCTGTAATCCCAGCTACTTGGGACTTGGGAGGCTGAGGCAGGAGTACTGCTTCAACCCAGGAGGCGTAGGTTGCAATGAGCCGAGATCACACCATTGCACTCCAGCCTGGGTGACAAGAGGGAGACTTCATCTCAAAAAAAAAAAAAAAAAAAAAAGAAGGTAAAAAGCAGTTGTCATGTATGGGAAGATTTTTACAACAGGCCGCATATTTAATGTGCATTAGTTAAGTCTAAAAAAAAGGTGTGTCACTGCCCATTTTACAAGCAAGTAAGTGGATGCTGTGCTGGCTAATTTTATGTGTCAACTTTGCTAGGCTTTGGTGCCCAGACGTTTGGCAAACATCAGCCTAGATATTATTGTGAAGATACTTTTTGGATGTGATTAACATTTAAGTCAGTAGACTTTGAGTAAAGCAGTAAAGCCCTCCATAATATGGGTGGGCCTCACCCAATCAGTTGAAGACCTTAAGAGAAAAGACTAAAGTTCCCCCAGGAAGAAGGATTTTGGCTTCCAGACTGCCTTCAACTCAAGACGAGCAGCAACATCAACTCTTACCTGAGTTTCCAGCCTGCCCTGCAAATTTCAGACTTGCCGGTCTGCACAATCACGTGAGTCAATTCCTTATATAATTCTTCTCTATATAGAGAGAGACTAATACATACATCTGACAGTGTATCCAGAATATGTAAAGAAATCACACAGAGCAACAAAGAAAAGCCAGTGGAATCGATCTCCTGATGTTGTTGTTCGCAGGCCAGTAGGTGGCGCTGTGGCACGTGATCTGAGCCTCCTGGATTCACACAACTGTTCATGTGGAGAACCCAGTGCCGGGACACATTAGCACCCCAGTCAGGCTATGCGTCTCCCTCCCAAGGGTGCTCACCTGGTGTGGCCTCCATGGCACAGGGGGAGTGAGATGAGGCTCCTTTAGTACACCCTCCCTTGAGAAGAGCGACGTGTGCTTACCGTCCAGTGGCTTGTTCTCATGAAAGCCTCCACAGTTAGGGACCTTCAGATGCTTAGATCTGGGGTGTCACCTGACTCAAGCCCCTCAGAATCCCAGATTGTTGTGGTGGGTCAAGGGCATGGGGCTTTGGGTTTACTGGCCTGGGTCTGAATGCCAGCATTGCCTCTTCCTTGGTGTATACGACCTTGGGTGGTTACCTTTCCTAGGCCTCTGTTTACTTGTTTTAAAATGGACAGTGATGCCTACTTTATAGGGTTGTTATGAAACTCAAGTAATGAATATAAAATACTTGACCCAGACTGGCATGGTGGTTCACGCCTGTAATCCCAACACTGGGAGGCCAAGGTGGGAGGATCGCTTGAGCCCAGGAGTTCAAGACCAGCCTGGGCAACTTAGGGAGACCCCGTCTCTACCAAAAATAAAAAAATTAGCCAGGTATAATGGTGCGTGCCTGTAGTCCCAGCTACCCGGGAGGCTGAGGTGAAAGGATCGCTTCAGCCCAGAAGTTCAAGACTGCTATGAGCCGTGATCGTGCCACCGCACTCCAGCCTGGGTGACAGATCAAGGCCCTGTCTCAAAAAATAAATTAACAGGTCAGGCGCAGTGGCTCACACCTGTAATCCCAGCACTTTGGGAGGCTGAGGCAGGAGGATCGCTTGAGCCCAGGAGTTCAAGACAAGTCTGGGCAACTTAGGGAGACGCCGTCTCTACCAAAAATCAAAAAATTAGCCAGGTAGAGTGGTACGTGCCTATAGTCCCAGTTACCCGGGAGGCTGAGGTGAAAGGATCGCTTCAGCCCAGAAGTTCAAGACTGCAGTGAGCTATGATCGCGCCACTGCACTCCAGCCTGGGTGACAGATCAAGGCCCTGTCTCAAAAAATAATTAATTAAATACTTGACCCATTGCATGATCTTTCCATGCACGACAGCTGCTCTTCTATTATTCTTCCAGGATGAACTGCACAGCCTGCCCCCTTGGGTTTCCAGGTTGTGGGAGATGAGCAAAACTGAATGACCTCAGTAGGCCAAGAGCAAAGGATGTGGGTCCAGACCTGGTGGCCAGTTGCTTGTGACAGGAGCTGGGCTGGAGTCCCCAAGTGCCACTAGTGCTGACATCTTTTAACTGTGTTCATTGTGACTTGTTTATTTCTAAAAGTAACCACTGGTGCCTTGGTGCAGATGGAACTCCAGGTGCATGCGGTGAGTTAACCATGGTCTGGGGAGCTTTGTTTCCACGCCTAGGACATGCATCTGTGTGCATGATATGTGAGCTGATATAGCCATGCCTCTGGTGATTTGAACGCCTGCGCTTCCCAGCTGCTTCAGGGCCCTGAACATCGCTGGATGTTTGTACTTCATTCCCTCCTCAGCCCAGCTGGTCCCACTCCGCAGCTGTGCTCTAGGCATTTCATCTCAACTGGGTGATATATTTGAATACAGCAATTATAAGAACAGCAACCTCAGAAGAACATCTGGCATCCAGACCTCCCCAGCCTAGTTCCACAAGGTACCAACTTCCGTAAGCCTTGAAGAGCTAAGTAAGACATCTGGGCCGGGTGTGGTGGCTAATGCCTGTAATCCCAGCACTTTGGAAGGCCAAGGCGGGCAGATCACTTGAGGTCAGGAGTTCAAAACCAGTCTGGCCAACATGGTGAAACGCCATCTCTACTAAAAATACAAAAATTAGCCGGGTGTGGTAGTGCATATCTATAATCCCAGCTACTTGAGAGGCTGAAGGAGGAGAATCTCTTGAACCCGGGAGGCAGAGGTTGCAGTGAGCCAAGACCACACCACTGCACTCCAGCCTGGGCAACAGATCCCTTGGTATAGATACGGGGAGCTTGGGTGGTCTCATCACAGCAGAACCTCAGCTCTTGGCATGTTCTTTCCTTTGCTACCAGCTTTTGAAACTGAAGTGTAGCAGAGTCATGAACCAGACTTTGAAACATGAACCAGACAGAGAAACATTTTAAGAAGTAGCGGCTGACCAGGAGTTGGAGATTGCAGTGCACTATGATTGCACCTATGAATAGCCACTGCACTCCAGCCTGGGCAACATAGTGAGACCCCTATCTAAAAAAAAGAAAAAGAAGGGCCAGGCACGGTGGCTCATGATTGTAATCCCAGCACTTTGGGAGGCCAAGGCATGTGGATCACAAGGTCAGATCAAGACCATCCTGGCTCACACAGTGAAACCCCTTCTCTACTAAAGATACAAAAAATTAGCCGGGTGTGGTGGTGGGCGCCTGTAGTCCCGGCTACTCGGGAAGCTGAGGCAGGAGAATGGTGTAAACCCGGGAGGCGGAGCCGGGCGCGGTGGCTCACAACTGTAATGCCAGCGCTTTGGGAGGCCAAGGCAGGAGGATCGCTTGAGCCCAGGAGTTTTAGACCAGCCTAGACAACATGGCAAGACCCCGTCTCTACCAAAAATACAAAAAATTAGCCGGGCATGGTGGTGCATGCCCATAGTCCCAACTACCTGGGACGCTGAGGTGGGAGGATCACCTGAACCCCGGAGCCGTGAGCACACCACTGTACTCCAGCCTGGGTGACAGAGTGAGACCCTGTCTGGAAAAAAAAAAAAAGTAGCTGGGTATGGTGGCACGTGCCTATCATTCTACCTGCTCAGGAGGCTGAGGCATGAGGATGGCTTGAGCCCAGGAATTCGAGGCTACTCAGCAATTATGGTACCACTGCACTCCAGCCTGGGTGACAAAGTGAGACCCTCAAATAAAACAAAATAAATTGGCCATAAATGTAAGAGTTTTTTCCTGTATTGTTCATTCTGTTCCTTGATCTATATGTCTTGTCCTTTTTCCATATCTTATAGATGTGATTACTAGAAGTTTCATAGCAAGTTTTGAAATCAGGTAGTATACATTCTCCAGTTTTATTCTTTTTCAAATGTGTTTTGGTTATTCTAATTCCTTTGCGTTTCCATGCAAATTTTAAGATCCAGTTTTCAAATTTTTTTTGAGATGGATCTTGCTATATTGCCCAGGCTGGTCTCAAACTCCAGGGCTCAAGGGATCCTCTTGCCTCAGTCTCCCAAATAGCTGGGATTACAGGCGCATGCCACCAAACCTGGCCTCTCAATTGCTTTAAAATAAACACAACAACAACAAAAATCTTTTGGAAGTTTGATGGGCATTGCATTGAATTAATAGACAAATTTGGGGAGAATTACCATCTATCTTAACAATATTGAGTTTTCCCTGGCCAACATGGTGAAATCTGTCTCTACTAAAAATACAAAAATTGGCCAGGTGCAGTGGCTCATGCCTGTAATTTCAGCACTTTGGGAGGCCAAGGTGGGTGGCTCACTTGAGGTCAGGAGTTCAAGACCTGCCTGGCCAACATGGTAAAACCCTGTCTCTACTAAAAATACAAAAATTAGCCGGGTGTGGTGGCGGGTGCCTGTGATCCAAGCTACTTGGGAGGCTGAGGCAGGAGAATCACTTAAACCGAAGGGGTGGAAGTTGCAGTGAGCCCAGATCGCGCCACTGCACTCCAGCCTCAGTGACAGAGTGAGACTCTGTCTCAAAAAAAAAAAAAAAGAAAAGAAAAGAAAAAAAAGAAATTAGCTGGACATGGTGGCAGGTGCTTGTAATCTCAGCTACACGGGAGGTTGAGGCAGGAGAATCACTTGAACCCAGGAGGCAGAGGTTGCAGTAGGAAGAGATCACGCCACTGCAGTCCAGCCTGGATGAATGTGAAATGTCTATGCATTTTTTTAGATCTTTAGTTTCTCTCAGCAATGTTGTTTTACAGTTTTATGTGTATGGATTTTTTTTTTTTTTTTTTTTTTTGAGAATGAGTCACTCTGTCGCCTAGTCTGGAGTGCAGTGGCGCAATCTCGGCTCACTGTAACCTCCGCCTCCCGGGTTCAAGCAATTCTTCTGCCTCAGCCTCCTGAGTAGAGTAGCTGGGATTACAGTTGCCCACCACCACGCCTGGCTAATTTTTTGTATTTTTAGTAGAGATGAGGTTTCACCATGTTGGCCAGGCTGGTCTTGAACTCCTGACCTCAAGCAATCCATCTGCCTCGGTCTCGGAAAGTGCTGGGATTACAGATGTCAGCCACCGTGCCTGGCCATGTGTGGAACTGTTTCCTCAATTTCATTTTCGGATTGTTTATTGCCAATGTGTAGAAATGCAGTGGATTTTGGTATGTTAATTTTGTATTCTGAGACCTTTATTCTAGTAGGGTTTTTTTTTTTTTTTACACATTCCTTCGGATTTTCTACAGTAGAATTATGTCATCTGCAAATGAAGATAGTTTTACTTCTTTCTTTTCAGTGTGGATGCCTTTAATGTCTTTTTCTTAACTTATTGCACAAATTGCGCATTCAATAGTACAATGTTTAGTGGGACCGGTGACAAAAGACATCCTTGCCTTGTTTTGATCTTAGGGAGGAAAGTCTTTGGTCTCACTGTTAAGTGTGATATTAGCTGTACGTTTTGCGTAAGGGCTGTATTCGTTTGCTAGGACTGCCATACAAGGTACCACACACTGGGTGGCTTAAAAAACAGAATGTATTTTCTCAGAGTTCTGGAGGCATAAAGGCCAGGATCAAGGTGCCGGGGGGTTGGTTCCCTCTGAGGACCTCTTTCCTTGGCTTGTCTACAGCCGCCTTCTCCCTGTGTCTTCACAGGATCTTCCCTCTGTGTGTCTCTTCTTATAACGAGGCCAGTCAGACTGGATCAGGACCCACCCCAGTGACCTCATTTAACTTTAATTACCTCTTTAAAGACCCTATCTCTAAATACAGTGACACGGAGGTAATGGAGGTAGGGCTTCAACATACTAATATGGGGCTGGTTGTGGTGGCTCACGCCTATAATCCCAGCAGATGACTTGAGCTTTGAGACCAGCCTGGGCAACATGGTGAAGCCCCATCTCTACTAAAAATACAAAAATTACCTGGCATGGTGGCGCACACCCACAGTCCAGCTACTCAGGAGCTTGAGGTAGGAGGATGGCTTGAGCCTGGGATGTGGAGGTCAAAGCCCCAGAAGCAGAGGTCACAGTGAACCAAAATTGTGCCACTGCATTCCAGCTGGGCAACAGAGCCAGACTTCGTCTCAAGAAAAATTTAAAAATCAAATAGACATGATTTTTTTTTTTAGACAGAGTCTCATTCTGTTGCCCAGGCTGGAGTGCAGTGGTGTGATCTCAGCTCACTGCAACCTCTGTCTCCTGGGCTCAAGTGATTCTCATGCCTCAGCCTCCCAAGTAGCTGGGATTACAGGTGTGTTCCACCATACCCAGCTAATTTTTGTATTTTTAGTAGAGACGGGATTTTGCCATGTTGGCCAGGCTGGTCTCAAACTCCTGACCTCAGGTGATCCGCCCACCTCGGCCTCCCAAAGTGCTGGTACTACAGGCATGAGCCACTGCACCTGGCCTAATTTTTTTTTTCTTGAGACAGAATCTTGGTCTGTTACCCAGGCTAGTGTGTAGTGGCACGATTACAGCTCACTGCAGCCTTGACATCCCTGGCTCAGGCTATCCTCCCACCTCAGCCTCCCAGGTAGGTGGGACTATGGACACGTGCTACCACGCCCAGCTAATTTTTTGTATTTTTTTTAGAGACGGGGTTTCACCATGCTGCCCAGGCTGGTCTCAAACTCCTGAGATCAAGCAGTCCACCCAGCTTGGCCTCCCAAAGTGCTGGGATTATAGGTGTGAGTGAGCTACTACGCCTGTCCTGGACATGTAATTTTTAAAAGAAAATGTGGCCACAACTCTCCTAGAGTTAAATGGTTTTCTTTTTGTTTTTTTTTTGTTTTTTTTTTTTGAGACCATCAACAAGATTTCAAGGCTTTGAAGAAAGGAGCTGCTTCAGGAAGAGACAAAATGACTCGAACGCTATAACCTTCAAATGCAGACTGGGAGAAGAGGTATCAGCTATGCATGAGCTGGAGAGGGGTGGGATAGATAGAGACACAGGTGATAAAGAAAATATAGCAAAATGTGAATCCTACAGTCTGGGTGGTGGATGTAAACCCTGTAGTAGCCTCACCTGGGGAAAGCTGCCTTGCAAGAATGAGGCTGCCCATTCTCCAAACCCACCCCAGCCACCGAGCAGGCTCCACTAAAAAGTCTGAACCCAGGAGGGAGTACCATGGAAACCAAGTTGCAATGCCCTGGTTAGGGGCCCAGCAGAGGGGTCATCCCAGCTCTACGCCATTGGATACTGAGCTTCAGGAGTGGGAGTGCCATCCTCAGGGTCACACAGCGTGTCGGTTCCAGCCTAGGTCTTCCAGTGTCTCATTAATCTTTTATCCACTCAGCTTCTCTTCTGGCCCATGAACCTTGCTCTCCTGGGACTCTTTTTTTTTTTTTTTGAGGGGTCGGGGGTGGGACAGAGTCTCGCTCTGTTGCCCAGGATGGAGTGCAATGGTGCCATCTTGCTTCACTGCAACCTCCGCCTCCCAGATTCAAGCAATTCTCCTGCCTCAGCCTACCGAGTAGCTGGGACTACAGGCACCCACCACCCTGCCCAGCTAATTTTTGTATTTTTAGTAGAGACAGGATTTCACCATGTTGGCCAGGCTGGTCTCAAGCTCCTGACCTCAAGTGATCCGCCTGCCTTGGCCTCCCAGAGTTCTGGGATTACAGGCATGAGCCATCACACCCGGCCTGGGACTCTTCTTGCAGTGAGCCAGGGCCATGGGACCCTTCAAAAGTTGCTCCACCCTAATCCCCAAAATATCTTTTTCTCCCGCCTGTCCCAAGTGCCTGGCATCATACTATATGGGTCAACTGGCCGTGTTTGCCATGGAAGCCCAATTGTAGGAAGTGGGTCTTTTATCACCCGGCATAGCAGAGCTGTGGAAACTGCACTGGGAAAGATCAGGATGTGAATTAAAGCGTTGGGAATGGGAAGGCAGAGACCTTGGATTAGCTGGGATGCTCCATGCACTCGCTGAGTGACCTTGGACAAGCCCCTTAGACACACTAAGCCCGTTTCCTCATCTACACGACGGGCATCCCATCTGCTACTGCACCAGGTTCTTGTGGCAATAACTTGAACTCACACATGCAAACAGGCTTTGTGAGCTCCATAAACACAGGTGGCTCGGCCAGGTGTGGTGGCTCATGCCTGCAACCCCAGCACTTTGGGAGGCCAAGGTGGGAAGATCCCTTGAGCCCAGGAGTTGGAGACCAGCCTGGGCAAGACGATGAAATCCTGTCTCTACCAAAAAAAATAATAATAATTAGCCAGGCATGGTGGCACACACCTGGTCCCAGCTACTTGGGAGGCTGAGGTGGAAGGATCACTTGGGCCCAAGAGGTCAAGGCTGCAGTGAGCTGAGATTATAACACTCCAACCTGAGTGGCAGAATGAAACTGTCTAAAAAATAAAAATAAAAATACATCAAAAAACAGGTAGCTATTAAGCATTGCTAGGACCCACACGCAGTGACCCTGAGGGTGCTGGGTTTCTGTTTGAGGGAGAAGAAACTCCTGAGCCCCTAGGTATTGTGGGGGACATGCAGTTCCAGACCGCCTTCATGGCCTGTATGCCTGGCCTCATCCCCATCCCTGGCACCCATGACGATAGCCACATTCCACTGGTGTTTCCCCAGGAAAGCCAACCCTACCTGCATCTCAGCAGAGCTTCCACGGAGTTGGAACCCCGCTCCGAGAGGGTGTGGGCTCAGGGGCCAGGGGTCACACAAACTCCAGAAGGAGGACGTAGTTGGTTTGCAAGGCTGTCCTTTGCCCTGGTTGAATAACCTTCGGTCTGCCCCGAGAGGAACGTGGGCATTAGGCTGCAGCCCGCAGGAAGCCATGTATTTTCTGAGAAACTTGGCCCATGGTGCAGATCTGCTCCAGCTCACTCTGGTGGGATCACGCCAGCCACGGCCGGGCCACGGCACATCATGGCAACGTGCTGCCCACCTGCTACGCCGCCTGTTTTTCTAGAGGCGGACGTGATCCCAGCAGGACTGGAGTCAGCCCAGGGCATCACGTGCTCTGGTCCCCGCCTGCTTTGACTCCTCCTGCCTCACTCCCCCCCTGGCCTGTAGTCACGTGGGTGAGGGTGGTGGGCACCGGGGCTGGGCCCAGCCCCCGACCCTGCCCAGACAGACTTTCCTAAGGCACCCTTTTCCTCGTGCAGGTGCGGCCTCAGCCCACCCCCCTTTGAGCCCACAGATTGCACCCCTCTGGTGTGCGGTTACCTCTTGCCTATGTTTAATTCATGGCTGGGGGGTTGGGACGAGCTTCCCAAGAAAGGAAAGAACTCCCCTGGGGTCTTGCCCAGTTCCTGCTCACCAGAAGGACCATAGCCGAGGTCCTCCTCCCAGGGCCCGGGGCTGGGGAGCGGAAGCCATCAGTGGGCTCGGAGGACACTGTCCCAGCCAGGACACGGCCATCGGTCACTAATCTGCAGCACCGGAATGTCCCCAGGCCAATCAGCGGGGTCTCTGGGGGCTCCCCAAGGGTGCTAATAATCCCACAATGATTAGCAGGGGCCGCGGGGCAGTGCACGCCACTCTGCCTGCTGTCGGGGGCGGGCTGGCCAGGCCGAGGCCGGAGCAGGCAGGCATCCCCGGGAGTTGTCTCTTTTCATGCCAGCGCCAACAGGAGGCTGTCTGGACACACTGATTACTCACTCACCAGCCTCCTTCTTTTGTTCACCAGCCCCCCTCTTTTGTCCACCAGCCCAGCCTGACTCCTGGAGATTGTGAATAGCTCCATCCAGCCTGAGAAACAAGCCGGGTGGCTGAGCCAGGCTGTGCACGGAGCGCCTGACGGGCCCAACAGACCCATGCTGCATCCAGAGACCTCCCCTGGCCGGGGGCATCTCCTGGCTGTGCTCCTGGCCCTCCTTGGCACCACCTGGGCAGAGGTGTGGCCACCCCAGCTGCAGGAGCAGGCTCCGATGGCCGGAGGTAAGGGACACCTGGTGAGGAGGTAGGTGGAGGCACCATTATGAGCTCTGAGGAGTGGGTGCTAGGAGACTTCTGGAAGCCCGGTCCCAGGCCTGAGCCCCAGGCCGTGCGGGTGGTTTAATGAGGAAGCCCTGGGACAGCCCGGGGGCGGTGAGGGGTGGATGCTGGACTGGGGAGGAAGGAGGAGGAAGGAGGAGGAAGGAGGACCAGGGCTGGGGTCAAGGAGGAACGCCGAGGAGCGCTGTGGCTGGGGCCTGGAGAAATCCGTGGCCCGGAGGAGCCCCAGACAGGGGCCTGCGGGAGCCAGGGCTGGCCCCTACACCCAGCCCGCACCGCTGTTCCCTCCCGCCACCCCAACCCCAGCACTCAGCCCACGCCTGCTGTACCTGGTCTCTCTCTCAGCCTCGCTCCATTGCTATGCCCCACGTCCCCTGCACCCACCACACTCCTCTCCCATCTTGTTTTCCAAGGGCAGGGACACATGCTTATTCTGCCGTGTGTTGGGTTCAGGTCCCCCCATCCTCGGGCTGCCTGACCTTCTCTCCCCACCCCAGCCCTGAACAGGAAGGAGAGTTTCTTGCTCCTCTCCCTGCACAACCGCCTGCGCAGCTGGGTCCAGCCCCCTGCGGCTGACATGCGGAGGCTGGTGAGTACCCGACCCAGCTGGGCTCTGCCAGGGGGGTGGCCGGAGGCGCGGACCCCAGAGGGCGGCTCAGGAGGCCACGCCTGTCCAGGTGCCCTTCCACTTGACCAGGGTGGGCAGGCACAGCCAGCCACCTTGCCCCTGAGGGACGGAGGCCCTGGTTGCTGGGGGTCTCTGCAGTTTCTTAACCCCCCACCCTCAGTTCAGGAGGTCGGGCCCCTTGGCTCCCACTCGCCTGAAGGGCAGGACCTTGGGCCTTCCCTGGCATCTTGTTGCCACAGAGACCAGGAGCCACAGGAGGAGCCGGATCCCCTCCTCCAGGGAAGGGGAGCTTCACGAGGAGCCCTGCAGGATGGGCGGCCGGGCCAGGGAGGGAGAAGGTCGTGCTGGGCTGGGGAGGGGCTTCTGTGCGGCAAGGACCCAGCGCCTCCTCCTGAGCTTATCTGAGCCACTAGGACGGGCCTTGCCCATGTTCTCTGCTCACTCACTCGTCCACATTTTCCACATTTTCAGCAGGGGCCAGGGGTCGGGGGTATAGAGTTCCCCACCAGCCCGGCTGGGGCTGCGGGGTTGGGACTGTCATCTGGAGGCTCAGAAACGCTGCCCTCCATTGTCTGGGACCCCAGCAGCCCCAGCCCATGTTAGCAGGCCAGGGAGCCAGGGCAGGGTGGTGGGGGCGGGAGGGTTCCCCATGGCTGCTTCCCATGAACTCCTCCAAGGCAGGTGGCCACAGTGGCGACCTTGAACACTCTAGGGTCAGTTTCCCAGGAGGTGGGGGTGGGGTGGCTAAATGCGGGGGGTCGCTTCTCCCCCATTCCCAGCCCTGAGTGGCTCTGCCTCTCCTCAGGCTCAGACCCTGGGCAACCAGGGGTGCTCCCAGCTGTGACCTCCGTGGTTGGGTACTCCTGCCTGGGACCCCAGGAGGGGCTGCGGTGGTCGTTGGCTGGCAGCTGGCACCCTTTCCAGGGCCCTTTTGTCAAAGTCTTAGAAAACTTCATTTCCATAAAGGTGCAAATGGAGCTCCATGGCTCAGCCTCCCTCGTGGCCCGGCCCCGAGCACCCTCCGGGCCTCTAGGGCTCCAGGGCACCCCTTCTTTGGACACAGTGGAGACTGAAGGTCTTGTGGGGGTGGAGGGCTGCTGAGGGACCCCGGGGAGCCCCCAGCTCCTGGCCCCAGCCTTCATCAGAGGTAAAACCCCGATGGACATTAGTGCAGGATGAAGTTGGCTTGGGGTGCAGCCCCGAGGGGCCCCCCTCCCTGCATCCACTCTGTGCTTGTGAGTCCTATCCTGCAGGCACCTCCCTGCTCCGTTTACAGATGAGCTCAGGGAGTCTCGGGAGATCAGGGGACTGCACCAAGTCACCCAGGGGTGGTGATTGCCAGGCCCCTTGTTTAAGAAGAGGGAGGGGGCTGGGCACGGTGGCTCACACCTGTAATCCCAGCACTCTGGGAGGCTGACACAAGCAGATCACCTAAGGTCAGCAGTTTGACACCAGCAATGGCCAACATGGTGAAACCCCGTCTCTACTAAAAATACAAAAATTAGCCAGGTGTGGTGTCACATGGCTGTAATCCCAGCTGCTTGGGAGGCTGAGGCAGGAGAATTGCTTGAACCTGGGAGGCGGAGGTTGCAGTAAGCCGGGATTTCTCCACTGCACTCCAGCCTGGGCGACAGGGTGAGACTCTGTCTCAAAAAAAAAAAAGAAGAGGGAGGGGGCGGGGTCAGCTGTGCGTGGTGGGGAGCATATGAGGCCAGGCTCCTGGGGGCAGGAGACTAGGGCAGAGAGGTGTGGCTGTAGGGCTTTTTGCATCACAGGAGGGCAGCATGGCCGGGTGGGAGCAGTGGAGCCTTTCTGACAATGGCCAGGGCCCAAACACAGAACCAGTCTGCAACGCGTGGGCACTGCTCACATGACCAGATGGGAGAAAGACAGCAGGAGCGGGTCCCACTGCCTGGGCAGGGCCGAAGGATGCCCACGACAGGATTTGGAGATGGAGGCTCAGTCGTGAGAGGAGCTGGGCTCCTCCTGGAGGGACATCAGACAACACCAGTGCTTCCTCCAGCAGGACTCCTCATCCAGTGCTCTCTTTGCCACCTGACCTGGCACCCGGTGGATGCTCAGAGATGGCAGGGGAGTTGAATCTTTGAGGCCTGGCCCAGCAGTCAAAGGCCTCCCACAGATGTCTGTTTGTGCTGCCCCCAGGACTGGAGTGACAGCCTGGCCCAACTGGCTCAAGCCAGGGCAGCCCTCTGTGGAATCCCAACCCCGAGCCTGGCGTCCGGCCTGTGGCGCACCCTGCAAGTGGGCTGGAACATGCAGCTGCTGCCCGCGGGCTTGGCGTCCTTTGTTGAAGTGGTCAGCCTGTGGTTTGCAGAGGGGCAGCGGTACAGCCACGCGGCAGGAGAGTGTGCTCGCAACGCCACCTGCACCCACTACACGCAGGTGAGTGTGCTGCAGGTGAGGCCAGCGTGCCAGCTCCCAGATACAGACTTCCACTGGGCCATCTCAGAAGAGGCTACAGTTTGTCCTAAATGTTGGGATTCCTTTTCCTCCAATTGGTTTAGTTTTACTTTTTTTTTTTTTGATACGGAGTCTTGCTGTGTTGCGCAGGCTAGAGTGCAGTGGCGTGATCTCGGCTCACTGCAACCTCCGCCTCCTGGGCTCAAGTGATTCTTGTACTTCAGCCTCCTGACTAGCTGGGACTACAGGCATGTGCCACCAGGCCTGGCTAATGGCTTTATACTTTTAGTAGAGATAGGGTTTTACCATGTTGGCCAGGTTGGTCTTGAACTCCTGGCCTCAAGTGATCCACCCACCTCAGCCTCCCAAAGTGCTGGGATTACAGGCGTGAGCCACTGTGCCCCGCCACATTTTTTCTTTTTTTGGAGACATGGTCTCAGTCTGTCACCCCAGGCTGGAGTGCAGTGGCGTGATCTCAGCTTACTGCAACCTCCGTCTCCTAGATTCAAGCGATTCTTGTGCCTCAGCCTCACAAGTAGCTGGGATTACAGGTGTGCGCCTCTACACCCAGCTCATTTTTTTGTATTTTTAGTAGAGACAGGGTTTCACCATGTTGGCCAGGCTGGTCTCGAACTCCTGACCTCAAATGATCTGCCTGCCTCAGCCTCCCAAAGTGCTGGGGTTACAGGCGTGAGCCACCATGCCTGGCCTAAGCCACTTTTTTTCAATCTGAAATATAAATAATTTCAAACATAAACGTATTTATTTATTTATTTGAGACGAAGTCTTGTTCTGTCACCCAGGATGGAGTGCAATGGCTTGATCTCGGTTCACTAGAACCTCTGCCTCCCAGATTCAGGTGACTGTCCTGCCTCAGCCTCCCAAGTAGCTGGGACTACAGGCACGAGCCACCACACCCCACTAATTTTTGTATTTTTAGTAGAGATAGGGTTTCACCATGTTGGCCAGGCTGGGTCTCAAACTCCTGACCTCAAGTGATCCACCTGCGTGGGCCTCCCAAAGTGCTGGGATTACACGTGTGAGACACCGCACCCAGCCTCAAACATAAATTTAAAACGGCCCCACTCTTACCCACTACCTAGGTTTAGAAGATGCTACTAAACTAAAGCCCTGCTCCTCCCCTTTTCCCGCTGTCCCTCCCTGGAGGGAATCTTCCCAAAGTTCAGGAGCATCACTGCCAAGCAAGTTTCCATTTTTTCTCTTCATTCAACAAATATTTGTTGAGGGTCTTCTACACACACCTGGTGCTCTTCAGATGCACTGAAAAACACAAGCAAAATCCCAGGAAATATTTAATACCTCCACTACCTGTGCAAGTGGGTTGTGCATGTTTAAATATTACACAAGGCTGGGTGCGGTGGCTCACGCCCGTAATCCCAGCACTTTGGGAGGCCAAGGTGGCAGGATTGCCTGAGCCCGGGAGTTCGAGACCAGCCTGGGCCACATGGAAAAAACCTGCCTCTACAAAAAAATACATAAATTACCCAGGTGTGATGGTGTGCGCCTGTAGTTCCAGCTACTTGGGAGGCTGAGGTAGGAGAATTGCTGGAGCCTGGGAGGTGAAGATTGCAGTGAGCTGAGACTGCGCCATTGCACTCCAGCCTGGGCAGCAGGAGTAAAACCCTGGCTCAGTAAAAAGAAGAACATGTGCCCCTACAACTAGGTGCTGCCAAAGTGCTTACGCCAACTGTGCAGACCAGCAAACCAGTTCCCACTTCCCGAAGATCTTCTGGCTCCTTAATTTTTTTTTTTTTTTTGAGACGGAGTCTCGCTCTGTCGCGCAGGCTGCTGTGCAGTGGTGCGATCTCGGCTCACTGCAAGCTCCGCCTCCTGGGTTCACACCATTCTCCTGCCTCAGCCTCCCTAGTAGCTGGGACTGCAGGCACACGCCACCACACCCGGCTATTTTTTTGTATTTTGTTTAGTAGAGACAGGGTTTCACCGTATTAGCCAGGGTGGTCTTGATCTCCTGACCTCATGATCCGCCTGCCTCGGCCTCCCAGAGTGCTGGGATTACAGGCGTGAGCCACTGTGCCCAGCCTTGGCTCCTTAAGTTTTGTCAGACTCAAAGGTGTGAAAAACCTAACTCTGTTTTGTTGTTGGTGGTTGTTTTTTGTTTGTTTTGTTTTTGTTTTTGTTTTTTCGATTCAGAGTCTTGCTCTGTTGCCCAGGCCAGAGTGCAGTGGTGCGATCACAGCTCACTACAACCTCCGCCTCCCCAGTTCAAGAGATTCTCCTGCGTCAGCCTCCTGAGTAGCTGGGATTACAGGCGCCTGCCACCACACCTGGCTAATTTTTGTATTTTTAGTACTCCGGACGTCAGGTAATCCACCTGCCTCGGCCTCCCAAACTGTTGGGATTACAGGCTTGAGCCACCACGCCCAGCCTCTATTATTGTTTCTAATTTTCTTGATGTGAATGTTTAGATCATTAATTTTAAATCTTTTTTTGTTTCTACTATATACATTTAAAGCTATAAATTTCCCTTTAAACGATTTCAGCTGCATCCAATAAGTTTTGATGTTTTTTCTATTTCCAATCATGATGTTGTTTTTGTTTGTTTTGAGACATGGTCTGGCTCTGTCGCCCAGGCTGGAGTGCAGTGGTGCAATCTCAGCTCACTGCAGCCTCAATTTCCTGGGCTCAGGTGATCTTCTCACCTCAGGTCCGGAGTAGCTGGGACTACAGGTGTGTGCCACCATGCCTGGCTAATTTTTTGTATTTGTAATAGAGATGGGGTTTTGCCATGTTGGCCAGGCTGATCTTGAACTTCTGAACTCACATGATCCACCCAACTCAGCCTCCCAAAGTGCTGGGATTACAGATGTGAACCACCACACCTGGCCATGATGTTGTTTTAGATTTTGAAGTGTATCTTTAAGTTTCTAAACTATGTTATCTTCTCTATTTACTTGTAAATTATTTACTTTAAATTTCATTGCATTGAATTCATAGAATGTGGGCTGTAGGATGTGCTGATTCTTTGCTATTTGTTGAAACTTGCTTAGTGGTCTAATGTATGGTCCTCCTTTCTGGTTTGCAAAAGTCCCATGCATTCCTAAAAATGATACATATTCTTTAAGTGTTGGATACATGTATATGATCACATGTTCACATCTGCCTGCTACAAGCCAGTCTTGTACATGTCATTTTTAGTCTCTACTGGAGAGTTTGTTTCACTCTTCTTATATATTGCCCATTTGTGCTATTTCCAAGCTGTTGCTGATTCTAAGACTTTAAACTGGTTTGCAGACCTGTATCCATTAGGTTTTATTGCATGACATACTACCCCAAAATTTAGCAGCTTACGATTCTGCAGGTCAGCCACTTGGGTTGGGCTCAGCAGGGAGGTTTTCTGGTCTTGGCTGGGCCCACTCATACACCTGCAATCAACTAGGGGGCCGGCTGGGAGCTGGCTGTGCAAAAAGGCCTCTAATGGTTCATCTCTGTTCCATGAGGCCTTCCAAACTCCTATACTGAGTTTGTTCATGTGGTGACTGAGCATGGTTCTATGAGAATGAGTGGAAATGGCAAGGTCTCTTAAGGCCTAGGTTCAAAATCGGCTCAGTATCACTTCTGTGGCATTCTGGTGGCCAAACCAGTTACAGAGCCAGCCAGATTCAAGGAGCAAGGAAAGAGACACCTCTCTTTGCTGCAAAAAGCTGCAGAGTCACATTTAAAGGAGTGGCCTACTGCAAGAAATGAATGGTTGTGGTCACCATGCAGTCACAAGGCCCTTGACGTTCCAGTCTTTTTTTGGCTACTCCCCTCCACCCATCAACAATCTCCCCTCATTTCAGGTACCTCCCCTCTCCATCCCCCTCTCAACTAAGAAAGCCTTCCTAGGCTGGGCACGGTGGCTCACACCTATAATCCCAGCACTTTGGGAGGCCGAGGCAAGCAGTTCACCTGAGGTCGGGAGTTCAAGACCAGCCTGACCAACATGGAGAAGCCCTGTCTCTACTAAAAATACAAAAAAATTAACCGGGCATGGTGGCAGTCGCCTGTAATCCTAGCTACTCGGGAGGCTGAGGCAGGAGAATCACATGAACCCAGGAGGTAGAGGTTGTGGTGAGCCAAGATCAGGCCATTGCACTCCAGCCTGGGCAACAAGAGCAAAACTCCATCTCAAAAATAAATAAATAAATAAATAAATAAATAAATAAATAAGCCTTCCTGAACTATTCCCACCCATGCTTCTACCCCTGCCCAGGACAGCTGCTGCTCCTGAGCCCTCGAAGAGGTAAGGGAGCCCTCTGTTCGCCTGGATGATAGCGAAAGCTGTGTCCCCCTCCCCAGGGGTGGTTCACAATAGGGTTTCTGATCCCCTGTGTCTCCTGTAGCTCGTGTGGGCCACCTCAAGCCAGCTGGGCTGTGGGCGGCACCTGTGCTCTGCAGGCCAGACAGCGATAGAAGCCTTTGTCTGTGCCTACTCCCCCGGGTAAGCCCTGCTACACCTTCTGCTGGGATGTCTGGGAGACAGGGAGGGGTGCTTTCACCGAGGGTGAGATTCCCACACATCCACCCGAAAGTAGAGTCCCTGATGCCTTGCTCTGCACCCTTGGTGGGAGAGGGGAGGAGAGGAAAGGCAGAGGGTGCTAAAGATTCTGGCCACGCAGAAGGTGCTGCTCTGCGGATGTCCCTTCCTGGATACTGGTCCTGGTATCAGGGAGTTTGTCCAGGATTGGTTTGGAGGCCATCTCTTCTCTCCCAGGGAATCTCCCTATCTCACCCAGCTCCCTGACTCCCTGGCCTGGCCGCAGGAGCTGAAGGGGCCAGGGAGGTAGGCAGCAGGGCCCTGCCACTGCCTTGCCCAAGGCCAGGCCCTCCCACACCCTGTGGTGCCTGCTCGTCCTCACAGAGGCAACTGGGAGGTCAACGGGAAGACAATCATCCCCTATAAGAAGGGTGCCTGGTGTTCGCTCTGCACAGCCAGTGTCTCAGGCTGCTTCAAAGCCTGGGACCATGCAGGGGGGCTCTGTGGTGAGTGCATGAGGGCTCAGTCTGGTGACCCTGGGGTGGGGGTGGTAGCATCCTACTGGGCTGTCCCAGAAGCCCTGGCCCTTAGCACCCAGGGAGGTCCTGCCCGGCCTGCTGGGAGGCGACCCTTTTCTCAGAGTCCCCTCCTCCTCTGACCAGAGGTCCCCAGGAATCCTTGTCGCATGAGCTGCCAGAACCATGGACGTCTCAACATCAGCACCTGCCACTGCCACTGTCCCCCTGGCTACACGGGCAGATACTGCCAAGGTGAGGGCACTGGAGCCTGGGTGTGCCCAGCCCTGCTCTCGTGGCAGGTCCTAGGGCTGCTACACTTCCTGAGAGTCTCAAGGGTGTCAGAGGTGCTGACTGTGTACTCCCTGAGTCTGCCCACTGCATACATTCTTTCAACAAGCATTCACTGAGCACTAGCTGTTTGCCGGACCCTGAGCTGTGCAGGAGATTCAAAGTGAAATCAGGTTCAGCCCCTTAGGCTCTGGGAGGAGGACAGAATTAGGACCCAGAAGTGGATTCTTGCCCTACTGCCCCTCTACCCTAACCCACTCTGTGACCATGGGCAGGTCACCTCCCAAACTCCAATATGCCTCACTCTGCAATGGGGACCAAACCAAAGACACCAGGCGTGCCAGCAATCGGAAGCCTTGGTGGGTTCTGTCTCTGGGAGGGGTATTCTTGCTGTGGTTGGCATTCCCTGGATGTTCGAGGCCTCTGGGGGGCAGCGTGGGGTCCAGAAGGCTGGGGGCTGAGCCTCTGCCCCACTGCCCTGCCCTGGCAGTGAGGTGCAGCCTGCAGTGTGTGCACGGCCGGTTCCGGGAGGAGGAGTGCTCGTGCGTCTGTGACATCGGCTACGGGGGAGCCCAGTGTGCCAGTGAGTCCTGCCCCAGGGCCCCCAAAGAGCCAGCTCCTCTCAAGACCCCCCTTCAATGGGGCATCAGCTCCCAGGAGCCCGCTGTGTGCCTCTCTTTCCAACTCATTCAGTGACAACACGTTGAGATCTTGAAACTGGCCACAGCATGGATATTTACACCAAAGAAATTGGCAAATGCTATAAACCATGGATTTTTTTTTTCTTTTGAGAGAGAGCAAGCTCAATATTCCAACTGACCAGCTCACTCCTGACCCTCACCACCCACTCTTTTGGAGCAGGTGGCCAGAGGAAGGGGCACCCTGAGCTTAGCTCCCCGGCAGGGCAGGAAAGGGCAGGGATTCTGAAGTCCACACACAAACTCAGGCTCCCCTACCCCAGCCAAGGTGCATTTTCCCTTCCACACCTGTGACCTGAGGATCGACGGAGACTGCTTCATGGTGTCTTCAGAGGCAGACACCTATTACAGAGCCAGGATGAAATGTCAGGTGACAGTCACCCCTAGCTTCCTAGGAACCCCCTAGGGCCTCAAGTGAGGGTCTTAATGCAGGGACCCTGGAGTGAGAGGTGGTTCCTTCAACGTCTCTGACCTCACCCTATTCATCAGCATAAAGCAGGGGTCGTGGACTCCAAGGCTCATAGAAGCCAGGAGGTCACTTATTGACCTGAGGGGCCAAGGTCAAGACCAACCTCCATCTAAGGGAGTTCCAGCCACTGGTTGCCTTGCAGGAATGCAAGGTCAGGGTGGCCAGAGCTCGGGGTTGTTCAAGAAAACCAGCAACCCAGACTTCCACTGGCAACTCTCGAAACCACAATTAATTACTGGGGTTGGCAATCAACTCGGATATATTTAAGACACTGTGCAGGTGAAACAGAACCTCCTCAGGGGCCAGACCTTGCCTGGGCTTGTGGGCTGCTGGTCGCGCCCCTGTGCACAGGGAGAAGAGAAGCAGACGGGAGCAGAAGGGACCCCTGCTCTTGGAAGGGAGGCTGTGCGGGCTGGGGGTGATGATAGCCCGGCCAGCACACACACGTGGCATCTTAGGCCATGGGCAGGGGTGGCAGGAAGGGGCAGCCTGGGCTCTGGGAGACTTGCCTGTGTGACCCAGGGTGGGGTTACAGAGGAAAGGCGGGGTGCTGGCCCAGATCAAGAGCCAGAAAGTGCAGGACATCCTCGCCTTCTATCTGGGCCGCCTGGAGACCACCAACGAGGTGATTGACAGTGACTTCGAGACCAGGAACTTCTGGATCGGTGAGTGCCCAGCTGATTGGGGGTATGGCGAGTAAGGGGTTGTGATGCCCCACCCTGCTGCAGGAACCCTGGGCCATGGCGGCTGCCAGCAGATGGCAAGGGTGTGTTGAGGGCCTGGAGCCCAGAGCGGGGCCAGCTGCTCACCCCCTTTCCCGGGGAGGGCCCAGGTAGGGAGCACATGGGGGCTGCCAGCGCTGGGAAGAGGGGCCAGAAAGGCAGCTGGCAGCAGACTCCAGGGTCTGAGTGGGCCAACCTTGACTACCCCGGCCCAGGGCTCACCTACAAGACCGCCAAGGACTCCTTCCGCTGGGCCACAGGGGAGCACCAGGCCTTCACCAGTTTTGCCTTTGGGCAGCCTGACAACCACGGGTAAGTGTGGGGTGCCTCCCTCCCCTGGGCCTCCTTCTCACTTGGGCCTGCCTGGTGGAGCCCCCCCATCCCGCTGCCTGGCTGGGCCCTTTGAGGGTCTGATCCTTCCCTGGTGCCTGCCCAGGTGCCAGAGAGTTGTGGGCACAGCTGGTGTGGGCCGGTGGTGGGGTGAGGGAGATGCAAGCCGGAAGGCACGTCACGTGGGGGAGAGAGGGACCCAGGAAGCCTCCATCCATCTGTCCATCCCCAGTGTCCCCTGGCTGTGACTCCATCCCTCCAATTCTCATCCACTCACCCCTCCCTCTGCATGCCCTCTGCCTGCATCAGTTACACTGATGCCAGCATTCCTTAGCTGTCACCCACCTGCACTCATTCACAATACAACCCTGCACCTGCAGACCCACCAGCCATCCTGTAGCAAGAACCCTCTGGTCACGTGGCCCCACCCTGCTCTTCAAAGCCCAGCAATGCCCAGGGCCAGGGTGGAGGTGGTCCGGCTGCGAGGCCACCAAGGGCTCCAGCGATTTCAGCCAGCCCTCCTTGCCAACAGCCGGCCTGTGCCCCTGGCCTCTTGCCTGGAGGAAGTCTGGGCCTTGTTGGGTTCCCAGGTGTACCTCTCAAGTGGGCTGTCTATTCCAATCCCCACCATCCCCACAGGCTGGTGTGGCTGAGTGCTGCCATGGGGTAGGCAGAGCTGTTAACCCAGGAAGGGGCTTCCCTGAGAAGTGGAGCAGGGCTGGGGGCTTGGGGACGGGCCTGGCTCCCAGCAGCCCCGTCGGCAGGTGGGGGCACTGGAGCCCCTGAGATGCAGGGTCCTGATGGGTGGAGGGCTTAGGCCTCTCCCGGATCCCTGACTTCACTCTTGCCTCCTGACCACCACACCCTGGCCTGCAGGTTTGGCAACTGCGTGGAGCTGCAGGCTTCAGCTGCCTTCAACTGGAACGACCAGCGCTGCAAAACCCGAAACCGTTACATCTGCCAGTTTGGTGAGGGACTTCCTGAGGCTCCCCTTCTCTGATCCCTGACCCTGGGAGTGCTGCTGACCCGGTCCAGCCTGCAAGGGTATCTAGGTGGCAGGTTCAGAGTGGGTCTGGGCACACGGGGCCATAGAGGATGCCCTGTTGATGGCCTTGTACCTGTGGGCTCCTGAGCCCAGAGGGGCAATGACGGGCCCAGCTTCATACAGCAAGGCCACGCAGGAAGGACTAGAGCTACAGCTCTGCAGGGGATTTCTCCAAGGACCCTCTCCTGTCATGAAAGCTGCTTCCTGGGAACCTGTTGGGTTCCTTGGTGTTCCCGGGAGCCCCATGAACTGTGGTGGAGGCGGAGGTGAAACCTAGCATGGCACCAGCTCCCAGCAGCCTCTGCTAGGAAGGCCTGGAGCGCCACAGGGACCACGGCCATGGGCACTTCCAGACCGAGTGCAACAGGGCTGCCATCTTGGGACTGCCTGGGCTGCCATCGAGCCCTGCTCTCTTCTGCTTCCTTCCAGCCCAGGAGCACATCTCCCGGTGGGGCCCAGGGTCCTGAGGCCTGACCACATGGCTCCCTCGCCTGCCCTGGGAGCACCGGCTCTGCTTACCTGTCTGCCCACCTGTCTGGAACAAGGGCCAGGTTAAGACCACATGCCTCATGTCCAAAGAGGTCTCAGACCTTGCACAATGCCAGAAGTTGGGCAGAGAGAGGCAGGGAGGCCAGTGAGGGCCAGGGAGTGAGTGTTAGAAGAAGCTGGGGCCCTTCGCCTGCTTTTGATTGGGAAGATGGGCTTCAATTAGATGGCGAAGGAGAGGACACCGCCAGTGGTCCAAAAAGGCTGCTCTCTTCCACCTGGCCCAGACCCTGTGGGGCAGCGGAGCTTCCCTGTGGCATGAACCCCACGGGGTATTAAATTATGAATCAGCTGAACCTGTGCATGCTCATTTCAAAGGGAAATTCAGATGATCCAGGATGACCCTGGAGAGACCAGAGGGGGCCTGAGGCTTCACTGCAGCGGCCTCCACCCACCTATTCCCTTTCCTGGTCACCTTCATGGTCCAGGACACTCTCTGGAAGTTCTGGGTCTCCCCAAGAAGAGGAAGACCAGACTCTGCCTCAGTGAGGGGCAGTTCTCATGGCTGGGGCCCAGGCAGGCAGGGTATTAATAGAAGTTGCTCTGAATGTCTGGGAGACGACGCGTGTGTGTTGCCCCCACCGGCGGAGTGTCATCGCACCAGGGCCAATGGTAGTCAGAGCCTGTGCAGTCCCGCTCCCTCACCCAGCTCCTCAGACATCACCCACAAGGGGTTATCACTGTCCCAGTTTACAGCGGAAGAAATGAAGGCAGAGAGATTGAGTAACTTGCATAAGATCATACAGCTGGGAGTCAAACCCAGTGAGTCTGGCTGTCATTTATTTATTTTTTTTCTTTTCTTTTCTTTTTTTTTTTGAGACGGAGTCTCGCTCTGTCGCCCAGGCTGGAGTGCAGTGGCACGATCTCGGCTCACTGCAAGCTCCGCCTCCCAGGTTCACGCCATTGTCCTGCCTCAGCCTCCCGAGTAGCTGGGACTACAGACGCCCGCCACCACGCCCGGCTAATTTGTTTTTTGTATTTTTAGTAGAGACGGGGTTTCACCGTGTTACCCAGGATGGTATCGATCTCCCGACCTCGTGATCCACCCGCCTCGGCCTCCCAAAGTGCTGGGATGACAGGCGTGAGCCACCGCGCCCGGCCCTATTTTTTTCTTTTTTGAGACAGAGTCTCGCTTTGTCGTACAGGCTGGAGTGCAGGGGTGCAACTGGGGTTCACTGCAGCCTCGAACTCCCAGGCTCAAGCGATCCTCCTGCCTCAGCCACCCAAGTAGCTGGAACCACAGGTCCGCACCACCACGCCCCGCTATTTTTTGTGTTTTTTGTAGGGACGGGGTTGCACCATGTTGCTCAGGCTGGTCTCGAACTCCCGTGCTCAAGCGATCCGCCATCCTGGGCCTCCCAAAGTGCTGGGGTTACAGGCATGCGGCCCCGCGCCGGCCCAGTCTTTCCCTCTCCCACTGCTTCCCAGGGCTTCGCCTGTCTAACCAGGCGCGGGCAGTTGTCCTGTGTCCTGGCTCAGCGCGGACCTACGCGGGGTGGTCACACAGATGCCCCCAGCTCTCTCTACCTCCCGCGAAGGCGCTGAGCCCCCTGATCCCTGCCCGGGCACTGGCGCAAGGTCGCCTGCGAGCGCCAGGCCTTCCTGCCCGGTGGGAGACGGGAGGGCCCGCTCTCCGGCTCGGTCTGGTTCCCGGGTCAGCCAGCAGCCGCGCCTCTTCCTCCCAGACCCGGGACCCGCCCCTTGGCCGGGGCCGCGGCCGCAGCGCCCGGAGGGGCCGCCCTGCGCGTGCCCGCGGGAGGTGGGTGACCCGGGAGCGCGCTGCCCGAGGCCGGGGGGCGGTGGGGACAGCACAGGCGGGGCGGCCGAACCGAGACCTTCCCACCCCGCCCCACGCCTGGTTGGGGACCTGACGCGCCGTCGTGAGTGGGGCGGGTGCAGGTGTCCCTGGGGGCCGGGGGCAGACACTGGTGCGGGACGACCTGCTCCCGAGGGGGTCCGCAGGCCACACCCAGAGAAACTGGGGCGCCTCCAGTCACCGCCGCGGTCCGCCCCGCCCGAGGCTTTGACCCCCTGAATCAGCGTCGGGGCAGGGATCCGCGTGGGGTGGAAGAGGCTGGGAAACTGGGGAGTCCCGGGCCTCCTCTGGAGCCGCCCGCCCTTGGCTGGCTGGTCCTTCTCTTCCTCGGCTCCCGCCGGGCTGGGCCCTGGGCCGCCCTCACTCCCTCCCCTCTGCAGCCTCCCTTGCGTTTGTCATTCACTCTGCCAGGCTCTCCTTCTGCCTCCGCATGCCCAACGATCCGGAGAAAAACACGGACCATGACATCAAAAGGCCTTGGCCAAGGAATCGTGATTATTGTGATACAAGATTCTGCACCTCAAAGGGGATCCCTGTAGTGAGTTTTGGAAAACGTACAAAGCCTGACTTACAATATGCCTGTTATCTGTGGCGTTTCATCTGGGGAACTTACTTTTCCTTGATAGGGTAAACTATTCTCATCCAGAGTATGTCCCTCAGTCTGTAAAAGTCCATGGTGCCCTACATCTATTAGGGGAGTGAGGAAGGGCAGTGGGCATTGGATCTGCTTCTTTGAAAGCCCCCACCTGTGTTTAGCTTCTGTTAGAGGCCTTTGAACCAGAGCAACTCCATCTTGAGTAGGCGCTGGGTAAAATCAGGCTGAGACCTACTGGGCTGTGTTCCCAGGTGGTGGAGGCATTCTAAGTCACAGGATGAGATGAGAGGCCGGCACAAGCAGTAAAGAAGCCGCGGCCAAAACCCACCAAAACCAAGATGGTGATGCGAATGACCTCTGGTCGTCCTCACTGCTACACTCCCACCAGCGCCAAGACAGCTTACAAATGCCATGGCAACGCCAGAATGTTACCCTATATGGTCTAAAAAGGGGAGGCATGAATAATCCACCCCTTCTTTAGCATATAATCAATAAATAACCATAAAAATGAGCAACCAGCAGCCCTCGGGGCTGCTCTATGGAGTAGCCATTGTTTTATTTCTTTACTTTTTTTTTTTTTTTGAGAGGGAGTCTTGCTCTTGCTCAGGCTGGAGTGCAGTGGCGTGATCTCGGCTCACTGCAATCTCCGTCTCCTGGGTTCAAGCGATTCTCCTGCCTCAGCTTTCGAGTGGCTGGGACTACAGGTGCCCCCACCATGCCGGCTTTTTTTTTTTTTGTACTTTTAATAGAGACGGGGTTTCACCACGATGGCCAGGGTGGTCTCGAACTCCTGTCCTCAGATGATCTGCCTGCCTTGGCCTCCCAAAGTGCTGGGATTATATGCGTGAGCCACCGCGCCCAGCCCTATTCCTTTACTTTTTTTTTTTGAGGTGGAGTCTCACACCTGGCCTCCAATATGTTTATTCATATTGCTGAGGCAGGGGATTGCTTGAGCCCAAGAGTTTGAGGTTGCAGTGAACCATGATCATAAGCTGTATTTCAGCGTGAGTGAGAGATTGAGACCTTGTCTCACAAAATAAAAGTTAAAAAGCCCTTATCTGGAGGTGAGAAAGCCAAATACAAAGGTCTTCTCAGTTGGTTCCCAGTCTTCCCAGTCCAGCAGCCTCAGCATCACCAGGGAGCTGGTTAGGCAAATTCTCGGCGGCCCCAACCTACTGAATTGGAGACCCTGAAGATGGGGCTATCTGAATTTTAACAAGGCCTCCAGGTTTGCATGCTCAAGATTGAGAACCACTGGCAAAAGCAAACAATTTGAATCTGAAGTCAGCCCACCTGCATTTGAATACAGGCCCTGCCACTTAATAACTGTGATTTAGAGCAAGTTAGTTACTTAACAGCTAGGTTGACCAATTGTCCGAGTTTGCCTGGCACTATCCTGATTTCAGCACTGAAAGTACTACATTATCGCTGTGGCTCACGCCTATAATCCCAGCTTCTCAAGCTGTCCCTGTGGAATCCTCAATATCGGTACATTCATCCCTATCTAGCATCCCCTTCCTCCCTCACCCATCCTGCACCCTCAGAATTCATTCTCAGATCACCTTCCCAGATTTTTGCCAATATCAATTAAAAAAATTTTTTAGCCAACCATGTACTGTGAGTAAGCCAATATCAATTAGCAAAATCTTTAGTTTCTTTTGGTGATTCAGTATCTTCCCCCTGGAGTTTTTTGATGATTCAGTACCCTCCTAGATTTGGCCCCTGGGGCCTGCGGGGATGTGACTTGTCATTTAATTCTGGAGAAAATGAGGGGTAGGGCTTATAAGGAGACTCCTTCGGGGCAGGGTCATTACAGGGTGTGTTACATAGGGAAATGCTAGCTGCTGGCTAGCTCTCGCTCTTGAAAGGCTCTTCCTCCCTCAACTGAAATGGGGAAGGGGGAACCCCGGCCGACTGAGGTCCTGACATCTTTAGCACATGGCTTCTTAGGTCACCCAGGGCATCCAGGTTACCAGCTTGGGAAACAGGAGATGTAGGTTGGAGGAAGAGGCTACAGCCCACCCTGGAAATAACTGCCATCCGTCCCACCCATATGGTTAGGCTTTGTGTCCCCACCCAGATCTCATCTCGAATTACAATCCCCACGGGTTGAGGGATGGACCAGGTGGAGGTACTTGCATCATGGGGGCAGTTTCCCCCATGCTGTGCTCGTGACAGTGAGTGAGTTCTCACGAGATCTGATGGTTTTAAAGCGTGGCAGTTCCTCTTTCTCGTGCTTACATCCTCGTAACTATCCTGTGGAGAAGGTGTCTGCTTTCCCCTACCTCCATGGTTGTAAGTTTCCTGAAGCCTCCCCAGCCGTGTGGAACTGTGAGTCAATTAAACTTCTTTATAAGTTACCCAGTCTCGGTGTTTGCTTTTTTGAGATGGAGATTTGCTCTTGTTGCCCAGGTTGGAGTGCAATGGCGTGATCTCGGCTCTTTGCAACCTCTGCCTCTCGGGTTGAAGCTATTCTCCTGCCTCAGCCTCCCAAGTAGCTGGGATTACAGGCGTGAACCACCACACCCAGCTAGTTTTGTATTTTTAGTAGAGAGGGTGTTTCATTATGTTGGTCAGGCTGGTCTCGTGCTCCAAGCCTCAGGTGATCCGCCCACCTCGGCCTCCCAAAGTGCTGGGATTACAGGCATGAGCCACCGCACCCAACCTTGGATGTTTCTTTATAGCAGTGTAGAAACAGACTCAGCCGTCGCTGCAGGCCATACCTCAGCTACATAGAACACCTAACTGCCCGCAAGGGAGTTCCTGCTACTAGGATCTTCAGTGACAAAGAGGAAGCTTTGGCTGGCAAGGGTGGTGGGGAGGGGAGGGGCTAGGTACCTAAGGCTTCCCTATCTTTCCACACAGCCTAATTTTCATAGCCTCTGGTCTCCACATTTCACTCTTTCCCAAATAAAGACCTTTTAAGGTGTGGGTCCCCTTGGTCATTCTGTAACCATTGGATCAAGTTTTCAGTTTTTTCTGCTCTCTCAGCTGCAAAATAACACATTCGAGTTTTGGTTTTTTTTTTTTTTTTTGGAGACAAAGTCTCACTCTGTCGCCCAGGCTGGAGTGCAGTGGTGTGATCTCAGCTCACTGTAACCTCCGCCTCCTGGATATAAGCGATTCTCCTGCCTCAGCCTCCCAAGTACCTGGGATTACAGGCACCTGCCACCACACCTGGCTAATTTCTGTATTTTTAGTAGAGACGGGGTTTTGCCATTTTGGCCAGGCACACTCGGGTTTTCTAACCATACCTTGAGCCAAGAATTTGGATTCTGAGCTTGTCTTTTCATTTAAGCTATGTGGCGCTGTTAACATGACCGCCCTGCCCAGCAGATCTTGACTTCAGTGTAATCTTTATTCTCTTCTATGGCAGGAGCCATTAGGTCCCCCAAAGCCTTGCCTTTGATGGATACTTTGTTCCCGGGGACAATGGGATTAGCTGTCTTGCCAGGGCGTGCCATGGGGCTGCTGGTGTCCTGTCCCTTAATACCAGCTGGATTTTCACTGTCCTCTGGCCACTTTCCAGCCTTCAATTGCTCCTGTTTCCTTTGGGGCTTCTTGCTCTGTCCAGTCCTGGTCCTATTTTTGTGAGAATCAAGGTTCTTAGTTTTAACCAACAGAAACTAATTCTGGCAACTCTAAGCAGAAAGGGACTTGGTCAGAGGTCCTGGCTAGTTCCCAGGAGCTCAAAAGGGTCAGAAAATCAAATCAGGAAGAGGACATTGGGCAAAGCTGGCCAGGTGAAGACCCCACAGCCTCTGCTGGCACAGAAGCTACAATTGGCACCACCGAAGTGGGACAGAAGCTGCCACCTGTGCAAGCTAGATGTAGTCGCTGCCGCTGTCACCATCAATTTTTGAGATGATGCTTCTTCCTGCCTGCCACTTTAATTCAAAGCGAAGGCCAGGTGCAGTGGCTCATGCCTGTAATGCCAGCACTTTGGGAGGCCAAGGCAAGAGGATCGCTTGAGGACGGGAGTTTGAGATCAGCCTGGGCAACAGGGTGAGACCCCGTCTAGCCAAAAAATGCAAAAAAAAATAGCTGGGCAGAAAGAAAATGGCTCATGCCTGTAATCCCAGCACTTCAGGAGGCCGAGGTGGGTGGATCACCTGAGGTCAGAAGTTTGAGATTAGCCTGGCCAACACGGTGAAACACTGTCTCTACTAAAAATACAAAAAATTAGTCAGGTGTGGTGGCACACGCCTGTAATCCCAGCTACTCAGGAGACTGAGGTAGGAGAATCGCTTGAACCCGGGAGGTGGAGGTTGTAGTGAGCTGAGATCTCACCATTGCACTCCCCGCTGGGTGACAGAGCAAGACTAGTCTCAAAAAAAAAAAAATAGGGGCCAAGTCGATGGAAGGACAAGAATAAAGAAACTGAGGCCGGGTATGGTGGCTCACGCCTGTAATTCCAGCACTTTGGGAGTCCGAGGTGGGTGGATCACCTGAGGTCGGGAGTTCGAGACCAGCCTGACCAACACGGAGAAACCCTGTCTCTACTAAAAATACAAAAATTAGCCAGGCATGGTTGCGCATGCCTGTAATCCCAGCTATTGGCGAGGCTGAGGCATGAGAATCACTTAAACCTGGGAGGCGGAGGTTGTGGTGAGCTGAGATCACGCCATTGCACTCTAGCCTGGGCAACAAGAGCGGAACTGTGGCTCAAAAAAAAATAAATAAATAAAAAATAGAGACATTGGGCCAGGCACAGTGGCTCGTGCCTGTAATCCCAGCTCTTTGGAAGAATGAGGTAGGAGGATTGCTTGAGCCCAGGAGTCCGAGGGTGCAGTGATCACGTCATTAAACTCCCACCTGGGTGACAGAGTGAGGAGCTGTCTCCCCACCCCCATCCCCCAAAAAAAGAAGGTAACTGGGCAAAGAAGTTATTTTTAGTAGAGACTGGCTTTCATCATATTGGCCAGGCTGGTCTTGAATTCCTGACCTCAGGTGATCCACCCACCTCGGCCTCCCAAAGCGCTGGGATTACAGGTGTGAGCCATGGTGCCCAACCTCCTCTTCTCATTTAATCCTCAAAATCATCTCACAAAGCAGGTGCTATTAATACCCGCGTCTTACAGAACAGTTAACAGATGTGTCCAGGGCCGCATGGAGAACACCTTGAGAGAGCAATGAGATCTCGCTCTCCTGCCTCATGACCGATACACGGTTTCAAGAAGTTAGATGACATCACAGATACTCAGGGCACCCAGCTCCAGGCCTTACTGCCTTTGCACAAGGCCGCTCTCTACTAGCTTCACCCCGCATGGAATGCAATGGTCAATGAGGCCCTGGTCAGAACATGGGACTGACAAAGCCAGCACTTGTAGGCTGAGTCTCAGATCACGTGGCTTGCTTGTTTTGTTTGTTTGTTTTTGGGAGATGGAGTTTCACTCGTGCTGCCCAGGCTGGAGTGCAATAGCACCGTCTCAGCTCACTGCAACCTCCGCCTCCTTGTTCAAGCGATTCTCCTGTCTCAGCCTCCCGAGTAGCTGGGACTACAGGTGCACGCCACCATGCCTGGCTAGTTTTTGTATTTTTAGTAGAGATGGGGTTTCATCACATTGGTCGGGCTGGTTTTGACCTCCTGACCTCAGGTGATCCACCCACCTTGGCCTCCCAAAGTGCTGGGATTACAGGCGTGAGCCACTGTGCCCGGCTGGCTTTTTTTTTTTTTTTTTTTTTTTTTTTTTTGAGGAGTCGCACTCTGAAATCCAAGCTGGAGTGCAATGATGTGATCTCCCACCATGCTAGTTGTGTTTGTTGTTGTTGTTTTTTCTTTAGTAGAGATGGAGTTTCTCCATGTTGGTGAGGCTGGTCTTGAACTCCTGACCTCAGGTGATCCACCCACCTCGGCCTCCCAAAGTGCTAGGATTACAGGTGTGAGTCACCATGCCTGGCCTCAATTTCTTGAAAGACAAAGAAAAAAGACAAAAAGAAAAAGAGAAAGAAAGAAAAAGAAAATGAAAAAAGAAAAAGAGAACAAGAAAAAGAGAAAGAAAGCTCCATGGGTTTAAAGGCAAGAGTCAGCTTCAAGGAGGGCTGGGAAGTCAGGTGATGCCACCCCTGTGCTTCCCGCGGCCAGATCACCTGGTGGAGGTACGGTTGGTTTTGGGCCCCTCTCTCAGCACTTGCTACCAGAGAGGACAGCTCTACACCAGAGAGTGAGGGTGGGAACCTGCTCACTGCTGTCTGCTCAGGGCTGGGCATGAGGCAGGTGCTCAGTAGGGGTCTGGAGAATAAATGAATGAACCATCACGGGGCCAAGCACCTGGAAGCGGGCTGGAGATGCTTGCTCTGGACTCCTGGCTCAGGAGTGGACTCCCCAGGTGGACTTCCTCCTGCATCGCCACAGCTGAGTGCATGGAGCACAGGTAGGGCAGCTAATGAGCAGGGTCATCATGAATGACAGCAGATGACACCGGGACAGGGGAGGTCAGTAGCCAGATGGGAAGAAAGCAGAATGAAACAGGTCGGCCGGGTGCAGTGGCTCATGCCTGTAATCCCAGCATTTCGGGAGGCCGAGGTAGGCGGATCACGAGGTCAGGAGATCGAGACCATCCTGGCTAACACAGTGAAACCCTGTCTCTACTAAAAATACAAAAAATTAGCCGGACGTGGAGGCAGGTGCCTGTAGTCCCAGCTACTCGGGAGGCTGAGGCAGGAGAATGGCGTGAATCTGGGAGGTGGAGCTTGCAGTGAGCCGAGATCGCACCACTACACTCCAGCCTGGGCGACAGAGCGAGACAGTCTCAAAAAAAAAAAAAAAAAAAAGTTCTGGCGGAGAGTGTGGGTGAGCACTAGGGTACTGGAAAGATTCCATGCCTGGGAATCGTGCGTGGATTGATTACATCCCCACTTCTGGCAAAATGCTTCATGGCCTTGTGCAAGTTAACTTTGTCTCCCTGGGCCTCTGTTTACTCATCTGAGAAACGGGGTAAAGACATTTGCTCTTCTTAGGTCACAGGGCTCCTGTACACGATGTGAAAGGACTTTGGAAAGTATCCTCCAGTGTGCAAATTTCTCTGAGAAGTGCTGCGGCTGTTTATCCTTAGACTGGAATGAGAAGGGGGAGATGTGACTTTTGTGACTTTCAGGGTGGGCCAGGTGTTATAGGTGACAGGACAATCTCAGGCTGGTAGCAGTGGCTCATGCCTGTAATCCCAGCACTTTGGGAGGCCGAGGTGGGTGGATCACTTGAGGTCAGGAGTTTGAGACCAGCCTGGATAACATGGTTAAACTCCATCTCTACTAAAAATACAAAAATTAGCCAGGTTGGGGTGGTGTGTGCCCGGAGTCCCAGCTACTCAGGAAGGTGAGGCAGGAGAATCCTTGAACACGGGAGGCGGAGGCTGCAGTGAGCCAAGATTGCTCCGCTGCACTCCAGCCTCAGCAACAGAGTGAAACTCCATCTCAAAAAAACAAAGACAATCTCAGATGTGCAGTTCACACCCTGGGGCTCTCCGTGGGATCAGGCTGAGGGTCGCATTTAACTGAAATCTTCAGGAGTTCAGCGTTGGGGTAGATATTCCCTGAGAAGCAGCTGAGAGGTAAAGCTTCCTCCGGGAAGTACTCACTTGCTCCTTGTTGATTTCATGGGGTCTCAGGTTTCAGGAGGAAAGTAAAGATGAAAAGCCCTTGCTCTGGCATCTTGGAGGACTTCTGGGTGAGAGCCAGGAAGGGGAAGGCGTTTGGACTCATTGCCCTCCCAGGCCTGGAGTCTGATTTTCCTGCTCTGTCTGGTTTTGGAGGTGGAGGCTGCGAAGCCGAAGCAGCGCTGGTCCTGCCAGCTCCTCCCAGCTCCTCCCCTGCCCTCTGCTTCCCTGGCCTTGCACAGGGACAAGGAGCTCCAAAGAGCGGCTCTGTCCTGTCTCAGCCTGGGAGGGAAGAGGGAGGTGGCATAGATGGTTCCACAAACAGTTCAGTACGTGCCAAAGGAGGGCCTGGGAAGCCCCAGGTCAGGAGAGGGTGCCTGCCCTTCCCGTGAAGGCCAGGGCTGAGCTGCTTCCTGCCAGCATCCAGTTTTGCTCAGAGCACCCAGAACGCCGTCTTGGAGGAACGGGGGCAGGCGCTGCCGCAGAACCCGGGGGCTGTGTCTCCTGCCTCCAGGGCTGGCCGCAGCTGCAAAAACCAGCTGGCAGGAGGAGGACTCAGGAAGACTCTCCCTGTGTTGGCCCTGCAGCCCCATGTCCCCTTCTCTGCTTCTTGGGAACAGGAGGCCTGTGTCTGCCTGTCCTGAGCATCTCAAAAGGAAAAGCTATTCTAGGGATGATGAGAGGGAATCGGGACCTGAGGCACTTGGAGGAACATTTGCTGAGCTCCCTGTGCAACAGCCCATTCCAAGGCCAAGGTTGCAAAGGTGGCTTAGATGCTGTCCCTAAATGGCCATCGAGGTTCCAAGCCTGGCAGGAAGGGCTCGAGTGGTGGGGCCACAGCAGAGACAAGGCCAAGCAGCCTGATTCTTGGGAGTGGAGGTTAATGAGCAGCGTTTGCACTTGGCTTTCTATAGGGTCAGGCTGTAGCGCAACATCCTGAGGTGCGTGGCTGCCCACAGGTGCTCAGCCAGCCCAGCCTCTGCCAAGGCAGACAGAGCCTGGGCTGGGAAGCGGGGGATCCCACTGCTTGGGGAGTCCCCTTTTCCTCTGCATAGTGGGGATGCCAGGAGCAGTGAACAAGCTCAGCAAAGAGTTCTCCAGCCCGACCTGAGGTTTCCTTCCTCCTGACTTTGTCACCTCACTGGGAGAATATACAGCTCTGTCTGAAACAAGTTTCCTGCGGGGCGCCCTGTGCAGGGGAAGCTCGGGCAGCCCAACCTACCAGATGGAAGGGAAAGATAGAGACTGTGAGGTTCTTCTGGGCCTGTCTACAGCCTCTTCTACCTCGCTGCCCTTTGTTCAGAGTAAAGGATGCAGTTCCCAAGACATAAGCACCGCGGGCTTCAGAGTATGAAGGATCCTTCCAGGTCAGCCACTTTGGGCAACTGGTGAGCAAGGCGGGTGTGCAGGGCTGGCTACATCATTTGTGGGGCCTGGTACAGAATGATAATGTGGGGCCCTTATTCAGAAGTTACTAAGAATTTTTTTTTTTTTTTTGAGATGGAGTCTCACTCTGTTACCCCGGCGGGAGTGCAGTGGCACGATCTTGGCTCACTGCAACCTCTGCCTCCCGGGTTCAAGTGATTCTCCTGCCTCAGCCTCCCGAGTAGGTGGGATTCCAGGTGCCCGCCACCACGTCTGGGTAATTTTTGTATTTTTAGTAGAGACAGGGTTTCTCCACCTGGCTGGTCTCGAACTCCTGACCTCAGGTGATCTACCTGCCTCGACCTCCCAAAGTGGTAGGATTACAGGCATGTGCTAAAAATTTCAAGATGAGGACAGCAGAGCATAAATGAAGCGCAGGACCCTTGCAAGTGGGCCCGTCTGGGGTGTGACTGCATTTGGGGAGAAGGGGATGGGGTCCTGCCTGTCCCTGCAGTCACAGCATACCACGAGTCCTGGGGCAGAGGAGCCTGGATTCAGGCCCTTGGTGCCCAGTGGTCCTGGCTCACAGACACCCCTCGTTCAGCAGCCAGGGGGTTCCTCACTGTGTCCCAGATGTCACTCTAAAGATTGCTTCAGAGGCTCCCTCCCCAATCGTTGGAGGGACTCTGCCAGTTCCAATGACCAGCCAGCTGCCTTCAGGTCACAAAAGAATCTGGGGCTGGTCTGAGACCAGGTGTACCCCCAGACCCCATCTCTGTCCAGATCATGAGAGGGAGTCCAGGGTCACCCGCCTCCCACAGTTGGGCTTCACTGCACAGCTGGAACTCAGCCAGGCCTGTTCCGGGAAGCAGGGCTGTGAGTGTGAGCCGTCCAGGTCCTTGGCATTTTGAACAAAGAATTGAACAAAATCCACAAAGTAGCATAGCAATGAGACATGGGAAGGAAGCAGTGAAAGCAGGAATTTATGAAACAGATAAAGCACTCTGCAGGGCGGGAGTGGGCCTAAGCAAGCGGCTCAAGAGCCTGGTTACAAAGTTTCCTAGGTGTTTTGTTAGTTTTTGTATTTTATTTTTTTTATTATTATTATTTTTGAGAAGTCTCTTACCCAGGCTGGAGCGCAGTGGCATGATCTTGGCTCACTGCAATCTCCGCCTCCTGAGTTCAAGTGATTCTCTGGCCTCAGCCTCCCAAGTAGCTGGGATTACAGGTAAGCACCCACCATGCCCGGCTAATTTTCATATTTTTTGTAGAGATGGGGTTTCACCATGTTGGACAGGCTGGTCTTGAACTCCTGACCTCGTTAATCGGCCCACCTCGGCCTCCCAAAGTGCTGGGATTACAGGCACGAGCCATGGCACCCAGGAAGTACTGCTTTTGAGGTTCTATTGGCTACCCCTTATCTGGATGAAGGATTTGGTCTGTGGCTCATAAAAGGCTAATGTGAACTGGCGCCCTATGCAGATGAAGGGATGACCCATGCTTGGCCTGCGGCTAATCCAGGACACTCTCCCTTCCCATCTGAGATGTGGTGGAGACAGGAGGGTGATAGAGTGTCTCTATATTAAACACACACACACACACACACACACACACACACACACAAAGGCAGCCAGACTATGCACTAGGAACTGCCCTGGGAATCCCGTTGTGTTCTCATAACAATCCCATTTCACAGATGAAGAAACCAAGGCACAGAAATATTCAGTAACGTGTCCAGGTGCGGTGGCTCACGCCTGTAATCCCAGTACTTCGGGAGGCTGAGGCAGGCAGATCACGAGGTCAGGAGTTCGAGACCATCCTGGCCAACATGGTGAAACCCCGTCTCTACTAAAAATACAAAAATTAGCTGGGCGTGGTGACAGGTGCCTGTAATTCTAGCTACTCAGGAAGCTGAGGCAGAATTGCTTGAACCCGGGAGGCGGAGGTTGCAGTGAGCGGAGATCACACCACTGCACTCCAGCCTGGGTGACAGAGCAAAACTCTGTCTGAGAAAAAAAAAAAAAAGAAAAAAGAAATACTAAGTAACTTGTCTGAGGCCACTTAGTTACCAAGACGTGGGAGCTGGGACTTGAACCCAGGCAGTCTGGCTGGATTCATGCCTGCAGCCTCTGCACTCCTCCTACTTCCTGTGTGAGAAGCGCCTGTTCTGTGGAAGGTTGTGGGCTGAGATCTTTCCATGACTTCCACTCATTTACCCCCAAGGCTGTTCTTAAAGACGGGCATGACAGTTAGGCCCATTTTACAGATGGGGCCCTGAGGCTCACAAGGGCACGCCACTCACCCATTTCCACAAAGCTATAGCTCGTTAGCAGAGGGCAGAATTCGGCCGCCTCTCCCCTAGCTCGAAGGCTGTGATTGACACAGGTTTTTTTTGTTGTTGTTGTTGCTGTTGTTTGTTCCTTTTTCTTTTTTTTTTTGAGACAGGGTCTTGCTCTGTCATCCCGGCTGGAGTGCAGTGGTGCGATCTCAGCTCACTGCAAACTCTGCCTCCAAGATGCAAATGATTCTCGTGCCTCAGCCTCCCAAGTAGCTGGAATTACAGGTGTGCACTACCATGCCCAGCTGTTTTTTGTAGAGATGGGGTTAGTAGAGATTTGTTTAATAGAGACGGGGTTTCACCATGGTCTCTACTAAACCCTGTCTCTACTAAAAATACAAAAATTACCCAGGCGTGGTGGCACATGCCTGTAGTCCCAGCTACTCAAGAAGCTGAGGCAGGAGAATCACTCGAACCTGGGAGGTGGAGGTGGCAGTGACCCAAAATCATGCACTCTGGCCTGGGGTCTCGCTTTTGCCCAGGTTAGAGTGCAGTGGCACAATCATAGTGGCTCACTGCAGCCTCAAACTCCTGGGCTGAAGGGAATCCTCCCACCTCAGCCTCCCAAGTAGCTAGGACTATAGGCATGTGCCATCATGGCGAGTTAATTTTTTGTGTGTTTTTATTTTCTCGAGACAGAGTCTTGCTCTGTTGCTCAGGCTGGACTGCAATGGCGTGATCTTGGCTCACCGCAACCTCCACCTCCTGGGTTCAAGTGATTCTCATGCCTCAGCCTCCCGAGTAGCTGGGATTACAGGTGCGTGCCAGCATGCCTGGCTAATTTTGTATTTTTAGTATACACAGGGTTTCGCCATGTTGGTCAGGCTGCTCTCGAACTCCTGACCTCGTGATCCACCTGCCTCGGCCTCTCAAAGTGTTGGGATTACAGGCAGGAGCCACTGAGCCTGGCCTGGGGAGCTAATTTTTAAATTTGTTATAGAGACAGGAGAGACAAGAGTCTCTCTTATGTTGCCCAGGCTGGTCTCGACCCCCTGGCCTCAAGTGATCCTCCCACCTCAGCCTCCCAAAGTGCTGGGATTACAGATGGGTGTCACCGCAGCTGGCCTCTGAGGAGGGTTTCATTATAAACCTGCCCTGAAGGGAGGGAATCCAATTTTACGAGAGGGTGTAGCCTGGTGAGGCCTGGATGACCTCCGCAGGCAGGGGCTTGTGCCTGGGCTGAGGCCTAAGGGACAATGGGCAGACATGAAGTTGCCCCAGGCAGAGGGTACAGTGTGGGCAAAGTCAGGAAGTGGCAGGGCTTGGATCACTCCAGGAAGAGAGAGGAGTCACGTGTCACAGGAGCTCGAGACCCAGAGAGAGAGTGAGGCAGGCAGGCAGGCAGGCAGGGACCAAGCTTGGGCACAGCCAGGAAGGCAGGACAGGGCATGGTGGGGCCAATGGAATCATTACCCAAGACGGGCATTTTCAGGGAAACAGCTTAGATAAGGCCAGGCGTACAGTAGCTCCCACCTGTAATCCCAGCATTTGGGGAGGCTGAGGTAGGAGGACTGCTTGAGCCTGGGAGTTCGAGACCAGCCTAGGCAACATAGTGAGACCCCATATCCACAAAAAATTTAAAAAAGGAGTTTGTGTTCCTGTAGTAGCATACTTGGGAGGTTGAGGTGGCAGTATCACTTGAGCCCGGGAGTTCAAGGCTAAAGTGAGCTGATTGAGCCATTGCACTCCAGCCTGAGCGACAGAGAGATACGCTGTCTCAAAGGAAATACAAATTAAAAAACCAGCCGGGCATGCTGGCGTGTGCCTGTAGTCTCAGCTACTTGGGACACTGAAGTGGGAGGATTGCTTGAGCCCAGGAGTTCAAGGCTGCCGTGAGCTATGATTGTGCCTCTGCACTCCAGCCTGGGCGACAGAGAAAGACCCTGTCTGTCTCTTAAATTAAAAAAAAAAAAAAAAAAATCTTAGAGGATGCTGTGCCTCCCTGGGGGTCTTCAGTCACCCATGGTCCTGGCAGCAGAGGAGGGCCAGGAGAGAGCTTCACCCACCTGCTGTCCTGCCCATGTGACATCCGCAGGTGCTGCCATGGCCACGACTGTTGTTACACTCGAGCTGAGGAGGCCGGCTGCAGCCCCAAGACAGAGCGCTACTCCTGGCAGTGCGTCAATCAGAGCGTCCTGTGCGGTGAGTCCCCAGCAGCACCATGCCACCCACCCCGAGTATCCCCTGGGCATCCTGGCATAGCCAGATGACTTCCGTGTCCCTGTTGCAATAACCACTGCTTCCAACTCTCTATAGACCACCCCTTGGGTATATCTAATGTAAGTGATATTTATTTTATTTATTTTTTGAGTCAGAGTCTTGCTCTGTCACCCAGGCTAGAGTGTGCTGATGTGATCTTGGCTCACTACAACCTCTGCCTCCTGGGTTCAAGCGATTCTCATGCCTCAGCCTCCCAAGTGGCTGGGACTACAGGCATGCACCATCACGCCCAGCTAATTTTTGTATGTTTTTCAGTAGAGGTGGGGTTTCACCAAGTTGGCCGGGCTGGTCTCAAACTCCCCACCTCAAGTGCTCTGCCCGCCTCGGCCTCCCAAAGTGCTGGGATTACAGGCATGAGTCGTGGTGTCTGGCCCTAATGTGAGTGATCTTTAACAATGAGGACTTGAAAAAGAAAACCCTGAAGAAACCTAATTCTTTGATGTCTGGACGACAAGGAAGAAGATAGAAATGGCATCAGATAATAAACAGTGTAAATGTTTATCGGAAAGAGGCTGGTGGTCGGGACCAGTAGGAGGATCGCTTGAGTCCAGGAGTGCATCTCTACAAAAAAGTTAAAGGATTTTTTAACATTGGCCAGGCGTGGTGGCACACATCTGTGATCCCAGCTACTTGGGAGGCTGAGGCAGGAGGATTGCTTGAAGCCCAGGAGGTTGAGGCTGCAGTGAGCTGTGATCGAGCCACTGCACTCCAGCCTGGGTGACAGAGCAAAACCCAGTCTCAAAAAAAAAAAAATAATAATATTTTACATAACCAACCACTTCTAAAGATTAAAAAAAAACCCTACAATTAATTAAAAACCTCAGGTCCCTCAGGCAATCATACCAGATATTGAAACAAAGCAATAACATAAGGACTGCAGTATTTATTTTATTTTTATATTATTTATTTATTCTTCGTTAGTTTGTTTTTGGAGCGTGGGTTTTGTTTTGTTTTTTGATTTTTTTCTTTTTTTCGACCCACGGATTTATTCTTATTGCCCAGGCTTGAGTGCAATGGCGTGTTCTCAGCTTACTCAACCTCCGCCTCTTGGGTTTGGGTAATTGTTGTGCCTCGGCCTCCCTCTGCCTCTTGGGCTTGGGCGATTGTTCCACCTCATCCGCCCTCCGCCTCTTGGGTTTCGGTGATTGTTCCACCTCATCCACCCTCCACCTCTTGGGTTTGGGTGGTTTTTCCGCCTCGGCCTCCTGAGTAGCTAAGGGAGGAGTCTTGAGATTATCATCCACTGAGGGTGGAAGAGGAGAGGGTGGAAGAGGGACAAAGAGACAGTCCTTCAGATTATCATCCACTGAGGGTGGAAGAGGAGAGGGTGGAAGAGGGACCAGGAGATACTCCTTCAGATTATCATCCACTGAGGGTGGAAGAGGAGCAAGAGGACACTCCTTGATATTATCATCCACTGAGGGTGGAAGGGGATGAAGGAGACATTCGGGAGGTGTCTTGAGGCTCAGGGAGTTATCAGTTATAGAATGTTGTTGAGTTGGAGGAGGTGGCTGGCGGCCCATCCTGTTTTTTAAAGCTTCAGCTGTGAGGTAGGGCCAGCAGGGCAATCCTGAAGAATGACGATGCTCCGCTGCCGCCATTCTGACCTGTAGGGCCAAAGGAGGGAATGTTTTCACACATATTCATTTGATGGACAAAATTACCGCCACCAACACAGTCTGCACCTTCTGTTGCTGGTGATAGATTTTTGCACCTTTCCATCCTCCAGGTTTCAAAATAGCAGTATCAGTGTCATGATATCACCCTTCCACTGAGTACTGCCGACAGCTGGGGAGTAAAGAAAAGTCATTGGGACACACTGTTGTCTCCACATGCCACTGTGTCTGTCTGCAAATGTAGGCAGGCTGGGGTCCTGCCCCAGGGAAGACAGAGTCATAACAGAGTAATAAAGAGGCATGTTTGAGACACAGGAGTGTCTATGTCTATCCTCATTCCTCCCTCACAGCCATCACCAGAGCATGTTTCTTGCACCAGGTCAACAGACAGTAAGAGACAGTAAGAGAGGCATGAAAAGCCCATTGTCCACACATGTTGCAGCTTCTTTTTGGAGAATGTTTTCCAGGCCTTTTATGTTCTGTCTCTGATTCTCAGGACTCTGCAAGGTCAGTGTGACCACCCTGCTCCAAATCTAAGAAAACAGAGGTTTCCAGAGGAAGGAGAAATTGTGCCCAGGGTCACACAGCTTGCAAGAGGCAGAGTGGAAGTTGATTCCAGCTCTGCCTGCAGGACCCTCTCATTTCCCCTCTGTTTCCCTTCTTGACAAAGGATCTTCTTCACTCTGGAGGTGCCACCCATGAGAACAAAGAGCTCTGGAGAGATGTGGGTTCCTGAAGAGCTGCAGGGGAACTGGGAGAGGGTTTTCTGACAGAACAATCTTACCTCAAGAAGTCAGTTAGGCATGGCTGTAATATTTCTTTTCACTCCCAGGTAATACCAAATTGTAAGTGCACTAGGACATAAAGAATACTTTTGTCCATGGAAAAATGAGGTGGGAATTCTAAACAAAGCAAGTTTTAAAACTGTGTTTCACTTCAAGTGCACAAGTCCCATCACGTGTAATCATAGGACTCGGCAGCTTTTGAAGGTACAGAGGCCACACAAGAACCAGCTTAGCTGAGCATCATTTAAGGCCTTCATTTGGAATTGTCCCTGTGGGTAATAAGTTACATTCACTCTTCACTAATTTACAGTCAGGGCCCATTTGCTATTACAAATATGGAACCTCTGACACTTTGAATATTAGATCAGGGGCCCCACTGGGTGGGGATGAAGGTGTTTTTGCACAACACGGTTACCAACAGGGATGGGACTGTGATGCCTGTAGGCAGCCTTCCTCTCTGCCATCTCCCTCTGCAGGGCTTGAGCACAGAGCTGTAGGGAGAAAAATGTATCCATGTCCTGACCTGGCAGACTATGTTCAAAAGCAAGGAAAACAAGCAAACTTACCCAGTTGCAAAGAGGCTTTCTTGCAGAAGGGGGGATCTGAAAAAGCCAACACATGAGAAATTGAATGTTGAGAGAGTCTAAGAGCCGTGGCATCATCTGCATCAGCACTGAACTATCCTGCAACTGCGGGGAGGAAGCTCCTTACTTTGCATTTGTGGTAGTCCTCTGCCCGCCGCCGCAACTCTTGCGCACGTTGAAACATTTTCCTATGGATTACAATCACTTTCATCAGATAAAGCACCATGTTCAGGATGATTTTAAATAATCTGCCATGTTTCTGTTATCCTCACAACTGTACCCTTACACAATCTATCTCTACCTAGAAAACGTATTTCAGATGGCTATAAGAGTACAGTCTGAGCCGGTCACGGTGGCTGATGCCTGTAGTCCCAGCACTCCGGGAGGGCGAGGCGGATGGATCACGAGGTCAGGAGATTGAGACCATCCTGGCTAATACGGTGAAACCCCGTCTCTACTAAAAATACAAAAGATTAGCCGGGCGTGGTGGCAGGCACCTGTAATCCCAGCTACTCGGGAGGCTGAGGCAGGGGAATCACTTGAACCTGGGAGGCGGAGGTTGCAGTGAGCCAAGATCACGTCATTGCACTCCAGCCTGGGTGACACAGTGAGACTCCATCTCAGAAAAACAAAAACAAAAACAAAAAAACTGTACGGTCTGATCCAAACTGTTGCTATATTGATTCCTCCTCTTGCTTACTGCCTGCTGACTTCTGAGATGATAGTTTCCTTCCCCATTCTCAGTATATCCCTAATTCATCCTTCATTGAGCATCTTTTATCATAAAGCTGTATTCTCTTTGTATTAATATCCTTACCGTGTTTCACAGGGCAGAAAGAGCTGGGCTTATAAACAGGCATAGTCCTTTTGAAGGATGTGGTTGATCCTACAACAACACACTTTCCTAAGGATGACAACAACTCACCCCACCCCTAGAATGGCTGGTATGAACCGAGTTTCCACACAGTCTAGCTGGCAATGGGGTCAGGAGACGTTTTGCTACTTCACATCTTTTGGTCACTGGTAAATATTCAGGTACTTTGTTTTCTGTTTTGTGAACTCTCTCTCTCTCTCACGATAGGTCTTCTGACCATTTGTTTCTATTTCTGCATTTACTGGGTCTAAACATTGTACAGAGGTTATAAACAACACTCCAATGGGCGTTTCCCAGGAGGGTGGGGTTCAGTTTCTGAACTCACTTGTAGGTGTGTATTTCTTTCATATCCAATTTCCCATTTTCCTCTGCCTCTGATACCTGCCTCTCCTTTTCTGTGTGCTCACATTCTTTCATGCTTAGTTTCCTCAGGTTAGAAGGGAGAGAAATGCACACACATGATCCACCAGTCCATGTGGGATTCCCTCTGCCCTTCTGGCATCTGAAGGCTGTGATTCAAAGATCCCCCCTGCAACCTTCCCACAAATGAACCAACTGATTCTCACAACCGAAGGGAGAATGGACACCTCCCATTGAGGGACCAAAAAAAATCACACTCTGGCCTGCTGGCAAGTCACCTGTCATTTCCAGCTCATCTTCATAGTTCCATAGTTAGTCCTATTCTTTAGTAAATATAAAGACTATTAAAAGCTTCTATGAGGTGCACTATGTGTGTGTCTGGGGTCAGTCTTGTGTTTGACACAGCGAAAGATCATTTTAGTTCAGTGTGAAAAACCAGACCTCACCAACTCATCACAACTAACTCCATCGGAAGCAGAGGATTGCTCCTCATCTGACTCTTCCTGTGTGAGACCTGCTTCTCAGTCAGAGGCTGATGCCAGAACTGAGACCATCAGCCATAGAGAGATCCTTCCAGAATATGGTGTCATTAACCCCGCAGTTCACTACTGCACTTTGCCATGATTCAGGACTGGAACTCTTGTCATCGACTTTAAAGATCCTGGTTGAGAGAAAAGGCAATCTGAATGCTGGGTGCATCTATTGAATTAGAAATGATCGGAATGGCTCCTAAGTCAGGGTGTTATGTCCTGAAAATAGGTGACAACGGCAAACCATCCACCCTGGTGTTGACTGACTTTAACAAGGTTCAGTTCACAGAGTTTGAGGGCAGAAAAAGGAAATGGCCTAAAAAGGGTAAGTTTGCTGTGTTGCCCTCACACCACTTGATTCATGGTCCTGATCCTAAGGATCTCACCTGATACTTGGTTTTATAGGAAGGATGTGTAAAATTCCCAGAACGCTAGGAAACAGGGGCGAAAACACTTCAAAGGGAAAGTTAATGAACTTGTTTCTGACCACAGGGCATCCTTCAGCACATGCTGTCTGGAGTGGCCTCCAACAAGGAGTGTGTGGTGTGGTGCTGAGAATGCAATGGGAGCAGGGTCCTGTCCCCACGCTAAAGAAGCTCACAGTTTAATGCAAATGAGAAGCCAGTGAGGACATCACTACTCCTGCTGTGCACTTGGGAACTAGAAACACAAAACCTGACTCTGGAGGGAAGCTAAGGAAGCATTCTACTCTTGAGTTGACATAAGTGCATCTGAAGCTTCTGATCTCCGATGAGAACAATGGGGGACACCAAACAGAATATAAAACCCATGATTGAATACATCAAATAGCTAACATGGCAGTAAACAGACATGAGGTGAAGATGGAGAAGAAGGAAACCCAGGACGAAAGTCAGCCTCGCATTTGGAATCCATTTCCCTGAGTTTCATTGCTGAATTCCAGAAGGAACTACTGAGATGCAAAGAAGCACAGCAGCTTTTGCACACATGCGTGGGATTAGATGGAAAACAAGTGGATTGAGGGTCTGCCAATGAAAGCGACCCGTACTGAAGTCCACTGGCTCTGGTTGAGACCCAGAAGAGTCATGCATCAGAATAGAGGTGGACAGGAAATACCCTGGCCTTTCTAGGGACTGAGCCTGCACCGACGACCTCAATTGCAGCCTGTATGGAGGACCCGTGACCATCCCCCAGAAGTAGACTCCCATCTCTTCTGCAGCAAGATAACATGCCACTAGGCCTCAATTCATTGCTAAATATTTTTTAACAAGTATCTCACATTTAACAAAAAGAGATCAGTCATATGGCAGCAAAATACAATGTAATATGACCAAAACATGAAAGACTGTGAAAATGAATCTGGAGGTGACCCAAGCATTGAATTCAACAATCCAGGCTGGGTGCGGTGGCTCACACTGGGAGGCTGAGGTAGGCAGATCACCTGAGGTCAGGAGTTCAAGACTAGCCTGGCCAACATGGTGAACCCCTGTCTCTACTAAAAATACAAAAATTGGGCCGGGCACGGTGGCTCACGCCTGTAATCCCAGCACATTGGGAGGCCGAGGTATGTGGATCATGATGTCCAGAGTTCTAGACCAGCTTGGCCAATATGGTGAAACCCCGCCTCTACTAAGAATACAAAAATTATCCGGGCATGGTGGCATATGCCTGTAGTCCCAGCTACTCAAGAGGCTGAGGGATAAGAATCGCTTGAACCTGGGAGGCGGAGGTTGCAGTGAGCCAAGATCATGCCACTGCACTCTAGCCTGGGTGACAGAGTGAGACTCTGTCTCAAAAAAAAAAAAAAAAAAATTGGCCGAATGTGGTGGCACACACCTGTAATCCAAGCTACTCAGGAAGCTGAGGCAGAATTGCTTCAAACTGGGAGGCAGAGGTTGCAGTGAGCCAAGATTGCACCATAGCACTCCAGCCTGGGCGACAGAGCGAGATTCTATCTCAAAATTTAAAAAAAAAAAAAAAAAAAAGGCTGGGTGTGGTGGCTCACACCTCTAATCCCAGCACTTTGGGAGGCTGAGGCAGGTGGATTACCTGAGGTCAGAAGTTCGAGACCAGCCTGGACAACATGGTGAAACCCCATCTCTAGTAAAAATACAAAAATTAGCTGGGCGTGGTGGTGGGCACCTGTAATCCCAGCTACTTGGGAGGCTGAGGCAGGAGAATTGCTTGAAGCCAAAAGGCAGTGAGCTGAGATTGTGCCATTGCACTACAGCCTGGGCAACAACAGCAAAGCTCCATCTCAGGAAAAAAAAAAAAAAGAGAGAAAGGAAAACCAATGCCAGTACTAGCAACTCCTCTTCCCCCGAAAAAATTACAAACAAGAATGTAGGAAGGGAAAGGAATTATACAGCTTAAACTAATGAAGCAGAAAGGACAAACTCAATTTTGAGCCCACTGAATTTGCCACAAATATTGTAGAAAATATTCTCAAGGACTTTACAGTTGTCTACTTTGATTGGCACATGGTTCATACAACAGTATTTGTGTCAAGGCACATCTTACTGTTTTCTGGCGGTCTTCCTCTTTCCATTGATTTTGTCATGACGGTTGATTTTCGTTGTCACCTTCCTCTTACGGATTTTAGCTCTAACTTTTGTTTCCACATGCCTCCGTAGAGTAATGACGTCTTTCAGGCCAATTTTATTTCCTCGAAAGGAAGAAACTCTTTTCTTTGTGTGCATACAAATGGACCTCAGCCCTTGGTGAGAGTGAGGAGAGGAGAAGGTGAGAAACCTGAGGTCAAGAAGCTGTTCTTTCCCTTTCCAGGGCAAACTCATTTCCACACTATGGGGACTCCAACAGAGCCATACCTTTCTGTCTACTGCGGTTGGACCTCCAGGCTCTCTGCTGTACATCCGTGGATCCATCATGTCCATTTCGAGACCAGAAGATAGTCTTCAGGAAAGACACCTAGGAAATAATAATATAAGAATGACGGCTGGGCACGGTGGCTCATGCGTATAAATAATCCCAGTACTTTGGGAGGCCGAGGCAGGTGGATCACGGGGTCAGGAGTTCAAGACCAGCCTGGCCAAGATGGTGAAACCCTGTCTCTACTAAAAATACAAAAATTAGCCAGGCATGGCAGCGGGCGCCTGTAATCCAAGCTACTCGGGAGGCTGAGGCAGAGAACCGTTTGAAGCTGGGAGGCGGAGGTTGCAGTGAGCCGAGATCACACCACTGTACTCCAGCCTGAGCGACAGAATGAGACTCTGTCACACACACACACACACACACACACACACACACACACACACACAAGAATGACATGAGGCTGGCACGGTGACTCACTCCTGTAATCCCAGCACTTTGGGAGGCCGAGGCAGGTGGATCACCTGAGGTCGGGAGTTTGAGACCAGCCTCACCAACATGGAGAAATGCTGTCTCTGCTAAAAATACAAAATTAGCCAGGCATGGTGGTGCATGCCTGTAATCCCAGCTAGTCGGGAGGCTGAGGCAGGAGAATCACTTGAACCCAGCAGGAAAAGGTTGTGGTGAGCTGAGATTGTGCCATTGCACTCCAAACCTGGGCAACAAAATTGAAACTCTGTCTCAAAAAAAAAAAAAAAAAAAAAAAAAAAAATAGGCCAGGTGCGGTAGCTCACGCCTGTAATCCCAGCACTTTGGGAGGCTGAGGCGGGTGAATCACAAGGTCAAGAGATGGAGACCATCCTGGGCAACATGGTGAAACCCCGTCTCTACTAAAAATACAAAAATTAGCTGAGCATGGTGATGCACGCCTGTAGTCCCAGCTACTCGGGAGGCTGAGGCAGGAGAACTGCTTGAACCCAGGAGGCAGAGGTTGCAGTGAGCCAAGATCCCACCACTGCACTCCAGCCTGGTGACAGAGTGAGACTCCGTCTCAAAAAAAAAAAAAAAATGACATGAATATACTTCACACAACTGAACTGTACACTTCAACACGGTTAGATGGTAATTATCATCTTATAAGTATTTTACCACAGGTTAACATGTTTCACAACTTGAAAAGGAAGTAATTACCTTCAGCTCTCTGAGTTCTAGAATTTGTAACATTTCACCCCCTGCTCCTTCCTGATCTGCACTGGAGCATCTTCCTTCTGTCCCTGCTCTACTCAGAGTTCACTTTCCCTTCCCTCACATCAGCTTCATTGAGGCTGGTTTGAACTTAACGCAAAACATTCTCACTAATGACTGAATTCCCACCAAGATTTCCATATTATCACAGTATGCTTTTAATCTTCTAAGATATTAAATATTTGTTCTCATCATAGCGAAAATGCAATGCAAATCCCATCTCAGATGTGGGTCAGATACCTATGAATCTCCTGAGGTAGTCATTGAAATGACTTTTTTCTTGAGATGGAGTGTCACTCTCAACCATGCTGAAGTGCAGTGGCGCTACCTTGGCTCACGGCAACCTCCACCTCCCAGATTCAAGCGATTCTTGTGCCTCGGCCTCCCAAGTAGCTGGGATTATAGGTGCCTGCTACCATGCCTGGCTAATTTTTGTCTTTTTAGTAGAGATGGGGTTTCACCATGTTGGCCCATCTGGTCTTGAACTCCTGACCTCAAGTCATCCACCTGCCTCAGCCTCCCAAAGTGCTGGGATTACAGGCATGAGCCACCACACCTGGCCTGAAATAATATCTTTCAAATTCTTTGTAGAATTTGTTTTTTCCTGATTTCTGCACATAGGATAAAAAAAAAAAATCATATACTAGGATTTCGAGAGAAGCAATGGGTAATCTAAAAAGATGAAAAGAGCAACCACGTCAATCCCACAGCTACTACTAGATTTCATAGGAAAGGTAGCTGGCCCAGTTTGGAGCTAGGAGAAATGTCAAACACATGAAGAAATGAGAAGCAAAGAAATGCCATCACGCATGAATGCTTCATGGCACCCATGATGTCCCTGCTTAGGAGGTAATGGTATAGATGACTAGATGACAAGGACAAAGATGAGAGGTGCGAAGTTGTCCAAGTCCAGCAGCTCAACTGAACTTTCCTAAATGGAACTGTTAAAAAGTGGTAAATTTAAAAACTTCCCCTGGCTCACGTGGTGGCTCACGCTTGTAATCCCAGCACTTTGGGAGGCTGAGGCGGGTGGATCATTTGAGGTCGGGTTTTGAGACTAGCCTGGCCAACATGGTAAAACCCCGACTCTACTAAAAATACAAAAATTTGCTGGGCATGGTGGTGGGCACCTGTAATCCCAGCTACTTGAGAGGCTGAGGCAGGGGAATCGCTTGAAGCCAGGAGGTGGAGGTTGCAGTGAGCCGAGATCACACCATTATACTCCAGCCTGGGCAACAGAGGGAGACTCGTTTCGGGGGTGAGAAAAGAAAAAAAAAAAAAAAAAAAAAGCTTCCTCCAATTTATACCAAAAATTCTCTGTTCAGGACTAAGTGGCATAGAGAATGTTAAATGTGCCTAGATATCTTCATAACTCATATATTTTCTGTTTTCTACATATCTTGAAAGGCAGTGCCAAATGACTTGTAATTATCTAGGTGGTAAAACTGAAACATACTTCCTCTTCCCTTGAATATAAAAAAGCATTGTGGTATTAGTACTTTTATCTTGGATCATTGTTCAGAAGGAGGTTCAGCCCCCAGAAAACCACATTTTTACTGTCATGAATGGTAAGACAAAATGTAGAGCTCAACTTACCCAAAGGAAAAAAGGCTCAAAAGACAAATTATGGCACAACTTAGCAGCCAAATTCTTACCAAGTACAGACTTTTGACATACTGATCTCTTTCCAGTTGCAAGTGGGAACATGCACTTTGAATGATGTCATTCAAAATTACCCTGCCCAGACACACTTTTCATTGATTCTCTTGGAGGGCAGTTCTAAGAGATTCTCTGGGGCTTTCTCTGCATCATGAGACGCAGTGCAGTTCTGCCCTTCACCTTCCGGCAGTTTGTCACCTCGTCCCTATGACCTCAGAGGAACTTTGTCTCAGGCCAATTGTTTGTTCCTTGGCCTCTTTCATTTCCCCTAAAAATCATTTGCTGCCCCTCTAAATGGCCTACATCTCCATCTATCTCCCTCTCCCCTCAGAAGAGGGTGCTCTTTAAGCATCAACCATCCGGCCCTTCTAGCAGTCTCATTTTTCAGCTGGTTCCCATGTTTATGCCTGTTCTATGTTTTTCTTTTCCTGTTAAGCTGTCTGTTGTCAGCTCATTTCTGCAGTGAATCTTCAGAGAGGAGATTGGAAGCTTTCCTTCCACCCATACGATAGAACTATAAAGCAGAAGAGTTTAGAAAGAATTTCCTATTTAAGTGACGAAACCTCATACTCCATTTGTGATAAATAGCACAAAGGCTAAAAAAACTTATTTTTGACCAAAAGCTCTGTTGACATTCTATTAAACAAACACCGACCTATTTAATTTTCATAATGTAAATGGCAGACATTTTCATAATTCTTATGCTAATAAATCATTTCCCTGATTTTTTGGGTAAAACCACATATTCATAATGAAGTCCAGAAACGTGAATTGTTTTATATAATTTATTCTTATTTGTGATTACAAGTATACCTCTACAGAAAGTTAGTATACTCACACAAAGGTAACTTGTGCAGAAGAGAATGGTAAATGTGTCACGTCTCAGAAACCCAATAATGATAATTATCAAATTATCCAATTTTTGTGGAGATGGGGTTTTGCCATGTTGGCCAGGGTGGTCTCGAACTCCTACACCAAAGTCAGTCTCACGATGACGATAGACAGCCAGACTATTGATGACCTGGAATAATAATAGTTGAAAGAATGAAAAGGTCAATGACACCGACAATATTTCACTCAGAAAGAATCATCCTTAGAAACCGTCAACCTCCTCCAAAAGGTAACCACATCCCTCAGATATCACCGTGGGATTCCACTGCTACAAAAAAGAACAGAAGTTAGAAGTCTCATGTTTTTCAGATGGCTGGTAGTGTTTTTAGGCATTGCAAATGTGGGGTGTTGTCTTTCTTGGTATAAAGCAGGGATATCCAATCTTTTCACTTCCCTGCCTATATTAAAAGAAGCAAAGTTGTCTTGAGCCACACATAACATACACTAACACTAACAATAGCTGATGATCTAAAAAAAAACTCTTTTTTTTTTTTTTTGGAGACAGAGTTCCGCTCCACTCAGTCGCCCAGGCTGGAGTGCAGTGGTGCAATCTCGGCTCACTGCAACCTCCAGCTCCTGGGCTCAAGCCATTCTCCTCCCTCAGCCTCCCGAGTAGCTGAGATTACAGGTCTCTGCCACCATGCCCGACTCATTTTTGTATTTTTAGTAGAGATGAGGTTTCACCATGTTGGCCAGTCTGGCCTTGAACTCCTGGCAGGCGATCTGCCTGCCTCGGCCTCTGAAAGTACTGGGATTACAGGTGTGAGCCACCGTGCCCAGCCATTTTTTTTTGTTTTTGTTTTTGTTTGGTGTTTTGTTTTTGAGATGGGGTCTCACTCTGTCACCCAGGCTGGAGTGCAGTGGCGTGCTCTCGGCTCACTGCAACCTCTGCCTCTCAGGTTCAAGTGATTCTCCTGCCTCAGCCTCCTGAGTAGCTGGGAGTACAGGTGCCTGACAATGCACTCAGCAAATTTTTGTATTTTTTGTGGAGATGGGGTTTTGCCATGTTGGCCAGGGTGGTCTCGAACTCCTGACCTCAGGTAATCTGCCCGCCTCAACCTCCCAAAGTGCTGGGATTACAGGCATGAGCCACTGTACCTGGCCAAAATCTCCTAATGTTTTAAGAAAGTTTACAAATTTGTGTTGAACTGCATTCAAAACTGTCCTGGGCCACATGCAGCCCGTCACTCATGGCTAAGACAAGCTAAGTATAAAGTAATTATCTTTTCTTTTTGTTTGGAGACAAAGTCTTGCTCTGTCACCCAGGCTAGATTGCAGTGGCATGATCTCAGCTCACTGCAACCTCCGCCTCCCGGGTTCAAGCGATTCTCCTGCCTCAGCTACTGAGTAACTGGGATTACAGGCGCCTGCCACCGCACTCGGCTAATTTTTGTATTTTTAGTAGAAACAGGGTTTCACCATCTTGGCCAGGCTGGTCTCCAACTCGTGACCTCTTGATCCACCTGCCTCGGCCTCCCAAAGTGCTGGGAATACAGGTGTGAGCCACTGCACCTGGCCAGTAGTTATCTTTTCTTTAAAGTTATTTACTTGTTTTTTAAATTGATGTATAACATTGGATGCATTTATTATATATCACATGGTAAAAGAATCCCTCTAAATAATACTTCTCTCTTGGATTATATGAATCTTTGTCATTTAAAGCTCAGCATAAGTAAAAAAAAAAAAAAAAATACAATGAAGAGATTACTTCATTCACAAATAAGTATCAAATTTTAGTGCTTAAAAATTAACAAGGTGGGCCGGGTGTGGTGGCTCACGCCTGCAATCCCAGCACTTTGGGAAGCCGAGGTGGGTGGACCACGAGATCAGGAGATTGAGACCATCCTAGCTAACACGGTGAAACCCATCTCTACTAAAATTACAAAAAATTAGCAGGGCATGGTGGCACGTGCCTATAGTTCCAGCTACTTGGGAGGCTGAGGCAGAAGAATCACTTGAACCCAGGAGGCAGAGGTTGCAGTGAGCCGAGATCGCACCACTGCACTTCAGCCTGGGTGACAGAGCGAGACTCTGTCTCAAAAAAAAAAAAAAAAAAAAAATTACCAAGGTGGAGATCATGAAAATGGCATGAATAGTGTGGGATTTCTCTAAGATTGTTGATATTAATTCCATTAGACTCTTATGTGAGTGAAGACGAAGACTTCCCCTGAGTAAGTTCAGACAGCTTGTGATAACATTTCTACATCGATTCCTCAGGATTTAACTATATATTCTTGAAAACATCTCAATTTTAAATGTTTCTTTCAAGATGGTGAATTAAACAGAGATAGCCCTTCAACAGGTGGAACTCAGCATATGCTGAGTCTGAAATGGAAATGATGGAGTTAGAGAACCATACAACAACGGTAATGATTTCAGAAACATGGTGTTGAGCAGAATAAAGCAGACACAAAAGAGTACCTATGGCATGGCATGCATCTGTATACGCGAAATTCCAGAATAAGCAAGCTAACCTATGATAAGAAAGAGACTGGCTGGGAAGAGTGGGAGTTCACTTTCTGGGGTGACATAATAGTGTAGATCTTGGCTGGGCACGGTGGTTCACGCCTGTAATCCCAACACTTTGGGAGGCCAAGGCGGGCGGATCACCTGAGGTCGGGAGTTCAAAACCAGCCTGACCAACATGGAGAAACCCTATCTCTACTAAAAATACAAAATTAGCTGGGAGTGGTGGCACATGTCTGTAATCCCAGCCACTCGGGAGGCTGAGGCAGGAGAATCGCTCGAACCTGGGAAGCAGCGGTTGCGGTGAGCTGATATTGCCCCATTGCACTCCAGCCTGGACAACAAGGGAGAAACTGTCTCAAATAAATAAATAAATAAATAAAATAATGTAGATCTTGAAAGGGGGTCGGTTTATGCTGGTGTATGTACTTTCCAAAGTTAGTAAACTTACACTTAAGGTTATATATTTTGGCCAGGCGCGGTGGTTCACGCCTGTAATCCCAGCACTGGGAGGCCGAGGCAGGCGGATCACGAGGTCAAGAGATGGAGACTATCCTGGCGAACATGGTAAAACCCCGTCTCTACTAAAAATACAAAAATTAGCCAGGCGTTGTAATCTGAGCTACTCAGGAGGCTGAGGCAGGACAATTGCTTGAACCCCGGAAGCGGAGGTTGCAGTGAGCCGAGATCTTGCCACTGCACTCCAGCCTGGGCGACAGAGTGAGACTCTGTCAAAAAAAAAAAAAAAAAAAAAAAGGCATCAAACCAGGTGACACAAATCAAATGACATTTCACTTTGTTTTGGTCCATTTTGTTTGTTAGAGACAAGAGTGCAGCGGGGCCATCTCAGCTCACTGCAACGTCCAGCTCCTGGGCCCAAGCGATCCTCCCACCTCAGCCTCTCCAGTAACTGTGATAACAGGTACGCACCACCAGGCCCGACTAATCTTTTTTGGAATTTTTTGTAGAGATGGGGTTTCGCCATGATGCCCTGGCTAGTCTTCAACTCCTGGACTCAAGTGATCTGCCCACCTCGGCCCCCTAAAGTGCTGGGATTACAGGCCTGAGCTGTGTAATTTCATGCCGCGTGACACAGCCCAGTAAAAAGGAAGAAACCCGGCGGGTCCAGCGTCTACTCACAGGGGTGGGCTGATGGCTGATAAATCCCAGCAGGAGCCAAATGAGGAGCCAAAAGCGCAGCCGCATGTCCTGGTCCTTTCAGGGCGCCCTGAGGCGGCCAGGACAGAGGTGGAGGTGGCTTAGGGCAGGGGGGAGGGAAGGGGACGGGGACCGGGGCCGGATCTAAGTTGGGGAGGGGGAGGGGAGGGGGAGGGGAGGGGGAGGGGAGGGGGAGGGGAGGGGGAGGGGAGGGGGAGGGGGAGGGGAGGGGAAGGGGGGAAGTAAGGGAAGGGAAAGGAGGAGAAGGGGGCTGTTGGGCACCTGGAGGAGGTGGAGGAGGAGGAGGAGGAGAAGAAAGGGGTCTGGGAAAGGATCCGGTTCAAATTAAGTTCTCAAGCGCTGGTGGAAGGTTTAGCTACAGGTCACGGAGAAGATCAGGGAAGCAACAGGACACGTGGGGCAAGGGAGCGTGAGGCTTAGGAGCAATTAGAGGGAGACAAAAAGGTTCTGCTATCCACCAAACCTTCTTCGGTCTGGGCCCTCCCTTAGCAACCCTGGGGCTTTATACTCCCTCTCCACCAATCCCTGATGACCCCGGTGGTGCCTCACAATGGACAATGCCAAGTAGCGCCCGCATCATTCCAATGACCCCTCCCCCATCTCAGTCTCCCACACTCCTCGCAAGGACAGGTCCTCTCTGGAACCTTCACAAACCTGATTTCTGGTCCTCCCCAACCAGCTCCCTGTCCCTGCTTCTGGGCTCTCCTTCCTTCCTGAGCTCCCAGGGTTCCTCAAGGTCACTTTTGGCGACAAAACATAAAAAACAAATGATGGCAGGATGGCAGGAAGAACTTCATACCCAAGCAGAGTGCCAGGTTTTACAGCCTCCGCTCAGCCATTCATATCCTAAGCAACAAAACATCAGCAGGATGCGGAAGGTCCCGATAGTAAACCATCTCCATCACATCCATGTAGCCATCCGTCCATCAACCTGTATCTCAGGAACAAATGTAGATACATTCATTTTAAGCATGCATGGTACATTTACAAAAATTAACCTGACTTATTTTGTTCCAGCAAATCTCAATATATTTGAGAGCAATCAAATCACACAGCATGTTTCTGATCATATAACTGTGCTAGAAGTCAATGATTAAAAGCTAATTCAAAATTATTATTTGCTTGGAAATTCAAAGTGCCCTTATAAGACATAAACATAAGAAAGAATCCAAAATGAAACAAGATTGCCTTTCAACTCAATGATGAGATCATAACATGGCAATAAAATGTCTCCCCCTGGCCTGGGAATTCCTCTTTGTGGCACAAGGTTGTGTGATCTCAAATCACCCCTAACCCACCTAGACATTTTAACATCTGAAACCGAGTGATGATGTCCTTATCTATAATCATCTTACTGCCTGTGTGTGTGGACTTTAAATTCTGAACCCAAATGAGGGGGAGAAAACCAAGTTGACCTTCATCATTGACCTCTCAGGGACGTCCAAGGAATCTGTGCATTTCAAGAAACAAAGTTCATCAGCTTCTCTCCTAAGGTATTTGCCCACAATACCCAGAGGGCTTGGCAGCATCATGTGTGATGGGTGGGGAGCTCCAAGCAGGTGGGCAGGACCCAGGGGTCTGGTGACCAGGACAGACCCCCACTGTCCATCACCTTTCCTGGCCCTGTCCTCAGCTGAACTTCCCACAGGCCTTCTGCCCGATCACACAGAGTGTGCCCAAACTCACTCAGGCCTCTGGCAGCTGAAAACCACTGCTTTAAATCCCTTTACCATTTACTATGACATAAGGTTATTGTAAACAGGAAATATTCTATTGATGCTACAAATGGAAAGCCAATGCCTTTACCATAAATAGAAAAACAACCCTAAGAAACAAGCAAAACAAAAACAAAACAGGGGCTGGGTGTGGTGGCTCACGCCTGTAATCCCAGCACTTTGGGAGGCCGAGGTGGGTGGATCACAAGGTCAGGAGTTCCAGACCAGCCTGGCCAATATGGTGAAACCCTGTCTCTAATAAAATACAAAAATTAGCCGGGTGTGGTGGTGGGCGCCTTAGTCCCACCTACTTGGGAGGCTGAGGCAGGAGAATAGTTTGAACCCGGGAGGCAGAGTCTGCAGTGAGCCGAGATTGCACCACTGCACTCCAGCCTAGGCGACAGAGCGAGACTCAGTCTCAAAAACAGCAACAACTACAAACAAACAAAAAACAGGGTTAACAAAACTATGGAATTCAATTCTATTTATATGCTGCAGCCATGTTCCAGCCCTAGATTTGGCTGGGCATGGTGGCTCACGCCTGTAATCCCAGCACTTTGGGAGGCTGAGGCAGGCGGATCACGAGGTTAGGAGTTCGAGATCAGCCTGACCAACATGGTGAAACCCCGTCTCTACTAAAAATACAAAAATTAGCCAGGCACGGTGGCACCCGCCTGTAATCCCAGCTACTCAGGAGGCTGAGGCAGGACAATCCCTTGAACCCAGGAGGTGGAGGTTGCAGTGAGCCGAGATCGTGCCATTGCACTCCAGCCTGGGTGACAGAATGGAATGAGACTCTGTCTCAAAAAAAAAGAAGCCCTCGGATTTCGGTTGTGTTGGTTGTAAAAGGAGAGACCAAGTAAGTGGGGGTTGAAGTCAGATTAGACCAAAAGTGAATGGCAGAGAGTACTATAATGTCCATGAAGGGTTGCTAGAGTCACCGTGATCATAGCCCAAGCAGAGACAGGGAAAGGAAGATGTGAGCAGAGTTTGGGGCCTCAAACATTGGAGGTTACTCGTGCAGCCCAGGAAAGGCTCCCCAAAGCCAGGATCAACCTCCCTTGCAGGCGGTCCCTCATGGAGGCATGGCCAGGCACCTTAGATTTGAGACCAGCTGTGTTGCTGCTGACCAGCTGTGTGACCCTGGGCTGGTTTCCTTGCGTACAATGGGAGTGCCAATGGCTGCATGCATGCAAAGACCATCTGAGGATAGGAGGAAGCAATCTGTTGAGCACCCGTGTACCTGAGTGTCATCACCTCCCAAAGGCATCCTTCGTTCCAGAGCTGGCACCTTGGAAGGCCCTTGGTTACTAAATGCAGTGATGATGGTAACAGCAGTAAATCATCATTTACGGCTGATGACGGAAGGCCAGGGGGTAGGGCTCCTAGGTCCTGGATAAGAATGAGGGTCTGGGCACTTCTGGGGACAGCTGAGTGGTAGAACTCCTGGGTCTCCAGGGGGCAGGTCCATCTTCAGTGGCATTGGGCCTAGGCTGGGATGCTGAGTTATCCACTGGAGCATCAGCAGTACAGGCAGGCACAGAGGCAGTGGATCCATCGGAGGTGGCAGGTGTAGGATCATCTGGTGAGCAAGTAGAGTCACCAAGCCTGGCTTCTAGATATAAGAGAAGTTCCTGGGCCGGGTGCCACGGCTCAAGCCTGTAATCCCAGCACTTTGGGAGGCCGAGGCGGGTGGATCACGAGGTCAGGAGATCGAGACCATCCTGGCTAACACGGTGAAACCCCGTCTCTACTAAAACTACAGAAAAATTAGCCGGGCGTGGTAGCAGGCACCTGTAGTCGTAGCTACTCGGCAGGCTGAGGCAGGAGAATGGCGTGAACTCGGGAAGCGGAGCTGGCAGTGAGCCGAGATTGCGCCACTGCACTCCAGCCTGGGCGACAGAGGGAGACTCCGTTTCAAAAAAAAAAAAAAAAAAAAAAAACCAAAACAAAACCAAAAAAAGAATGTTCCAGAAAATTGCCATTTATTTATCTAATAGGTACTGTTAAGCTAGAATATTTGAATTTTGAAGAAAATAGTAGCCGAGCATGGTGGTGGGCACCCATGATTCCAGCTCCTTGGGAGGCTAAAGCAGAAGCATCACTTGACCCCAGGAATTCAAGACCAGCATGGGCAACATAGCGAGACCCTGTCTTTAAAAACTTTTTTTTTTTTTTTTGAGACAGAGTTAGCTCTTGTTGCCCAGGTTGGAATGCAGTGGCGTGATCTCAGTTCTGATCTCAGAGGCGGGCGGATCACAAGGTTTGGAGTTCGAGACCAGCCTGACCAATATGGTGAAACCCAGTCTCTACTAAACATACAAAAATTAGCGGGGCATGGTGGTGCATGCCTGTAATCCCAGCTACTCAGGAGGCTGAGGCAGGAGAATCACTTCAACCCGGGAGGCGGAGGTTGCAGTGAGCCAAGATCGCACCACTGCACTCCAGCCTGGGCGACAGACTGAGGCTCCATCTCAAAAAAAAAAAAAGATTGTTCTCGAAGTCAGGGCTGACAACCCTCTCAACCACAGCAGCGGTGGTAGGGACAGAGAGGTCCGAACAGAGGAGAGGCACTGAGGAGACAGACCCTTTGAGGCTGGGTGATGAGCAGGAGGTGGAGGGAGAGGCGAGTGGGGAGACCAGGTGAGTCCCAGGTTTCTGGTGTGGTTGGCCATTCCTGGAACTGGAAATAGAAGGGGCTGATTGAGAAGACAGGATGAAGACACTGTTGTAGACGTGAGCCTACGGGGTTCCCAGATGTAGCTGCTCCAGAATTAGTTGGATAAGCAGAATAAGACCATTGACTTGCAAGACTGCAGTGAGTGAAGATTTCCTTAAGAAGGCGTAGGCCCTGATTTCACCATTCTTATATAATTGCACTATCAGACAGCCTTTATTTGAGCTGCAAAAAAGGCTACCTAGTAAACCAGCCCAAAACTCAGTGCCTTACAACAAAGCATTCAGTGCCATGCTCATGAGACTGTAGGTGACTATGGTCTAGCTGGACAGCTGTGTTTCAAACTGAGAGTCAGTAGGCTTGGACAGCTTTGTTTCAAACTGAGGGTCAGCAGGCTTGGACAGCTTTGTTTCAGGCTGAGGGTCAGCAGGCTTGGCTTCAGGCTGAGTTCAGGTCTGTTTCAAGTGCCTTTCACTTTCCATGATCCAACAGCTACTCAGGGCATAAACTTGTGACAAGGGCTGATGACATGCTCAACACCTCTTAAGGCCAATCTCCAGATCTGTACACTATGGCTTCTACCCACCTTAAAAAATAAGTTTGGTTGGCCAGGTGCAATGGCTCACGCCTGTAATCCCAGCACGTTGGGAGGCCAAGGCGGGCGGATCACAAGGTCAAGAGATTGAGGCCATCCTGGCCAACATGGTGAAACCCTGTCTCAACTAAAAAAAATTTATATATACAAAAATTAGCTGGGTGTGGTGGCGTGCTCCTGTAGTACCAGCTAATCGGGAGGCTGAGGCAGAAGAATTGCTTGAACCCAGGAGGCAGAGGTTGCAGTGAGCCGAGATCGTGCCACTGCACTCCAGCCTAGCGACAGAGCAAGACTCCATCTCAAAATAATAATAATAATGTTTGACTGAAGCCAACCAACATCAGTGGGACAGGAATCCTACTCCCCCCATTTCGTGCACTGCAAGGTCACATGGCAATAGGGAATGAGGAATTGAAAACAACATCCCATCTACCATAGCTAGCTGCGTTCCTTCCTGTTACACTGCCTGCTTTTTTCTGTCTCTGTATCCAGCCCTTACATCACCCAGTCTCAGATGCTTTCCTGGCCACCTGTCCTATGGCATAGTGCAAAGATCATTAGATTCAGATATTCAACATGGGAAGAGCTCCATTTCTGGTCCTTCCTCCTAGGTGTGTGATCTTGGAAAAGTCATGTTACATCTGTGTCTACTCTATCTGCTAAAATTTACTTCATGAGATTGCCAGAAAGATTACGTGAGCTGATACAGAAGGAAAAATTTTGTCCTATGTATTTTCATTAAGACCCAGTGCAAGTCTTCCCTCTTAAAAAAGCTTTAAATGACTACCATTTCTTCCCAGGACTCTTAGTTAACATCCGGTGGCTTCTAGATATAAGAGAAGTTCCTGGGCCGGGTGCCGCGGCCCACGCCTGTAATCCCAGCACTTTGGGAGGCTGAGGCAGGCAGATCACGAGGTCAGGAGATCGAGACCATCCTGGCTAACACGGTGAAACCCCATCTCTACTAAAAATACAAAAAAATTAGCCGGGCATAGTGGTGGGCGCCTGTAGTCCCAGCTACTCGGGAGGCTGAGGCAGGAGAATGGCATGAACCCAGGAGACGGAGCTTGCAGCGAGCCGAGATGGTGCCACTGCACTCCAGCCTGGGTGACTGAGCGAGACTCCGTCTCAAAAAAAAAAAAAGAGAGAGAAGTTCCAGGCCGGGTGTAGTGGCTCATGCCTGTAATCCCAACACTCTGGGAGGCCGAGGCGAGCGGATCACAAGGTCAGGAGATCGAGACCATCCTGGCCAACATAGTGAAACCCCATCTCTATTAAAAATACAAAATTTAGCTGGGTGTGGTGGCACACGCCTGTAATCCCAGCTACTCAGGAGGCAGAGGCAGGAGAATCCCTTGAACCAGGGAGTTGGAGGTTGCAGTGAGCCGAGATCGCACTACAGCAGTCTAGCCTGGCGACACAGTGAGACTCCGTCTCAAAAAAAAAAAAGAAGTTCCTGGCTGGGCGCAGTGGATCAAGAGATCGAGACCATCCTGGCCAACATGGTGAAACCCTGTCTCTACTAAAAATACAAAAATTAGCTGGGCATGGTGGCATGCGCCTGTAGTCCCAGCTGCTCGGGAGGCTGATGCAGGAGAATGGCGTGAACCCGGGAGGCAGAGCTTGCAGTGAGCCAAGATCGCGCCACCGTACTCCAGCCTGGGTGACAAAGCAAGACTCTGTCTCACAAAAAAAAAAAAAAAAAAAAAAAGTACTGATTGTTACTCGCAACATTCTTCTCTTCCCATGGTGTGAATGAGAACATCCCTGCTTTCCACACAAACACAGGCTCTCAAGCACACGAGAAGCATGCCAGGTGTCAGGTCCTTTCTGTGAAGTCGGTTGTAGGCAGATGTCCAGTCTACTGATGGCGACAAGAACTTCAGAGGGAGGAGGGAGGCCTTCCCCACAGCCATGCCGGTGCTGGAGGGAGGTAAGATAAACGCCTGCATCTTAGCGACCTCAGATCCAAATTCATTCTTACACTGTGGTAACATAGGTATGTCAAATGTTTGTCTGTACACTGTTTATCCTGTGTGGTAGCAAACACATTTACCAAGTCACTGCAGATGAATATTTCACAAGAGGACTTGACAAGCGTAATTAAAACGTCTGTTTAGGGCAGGACGTGGTGGCTCATGCCTCTAATCCCAGCACATTGGGAGGCCAAGGCAGGTGGATCTCTTGAGGTCAGGAGTTTAATGCCAGCCTCAGCAACATAGTGAAACCCCACCTCTACCAAAAAATACAAAAGTTAGCTGGGGACGGTGGAACACGCCTGAGGTCTCAGCTATTCGGGAGGCTGAGGTGGGAGAATCGCTAGAGCCCAGGAAGTTAAGACTGCAGTGAGCCGTGATTGCACCACTGTGCTCCAGCCTGGGTGACAGAGTGAGAGCTAATCTCAAAAAATAAAAATAGGCTGGACGCGGTGGCTCACACCTGTAATTCCAGCACTTTGGGAGGCCTAGGTGGGCGGATCATGAGGTCAGGAGTTTGGGACCAGCCTGGCCAACATAGTGAAACCCTGTCTCTAATAAAAATACAAAAATTAGCCCAGCGTGGTGGCGCACGCCTGTACAGTCCCAGCTACTGGGGAGGCTGAGGTAGGAGAATCGCCTGAACCTGGGAGGCAGAGGTTGCAGTGAACCGAGACCACGCCATTGCACTCCAGCCTGGGCAACAGAGTGAGCCTCCATCTAAAAAATAATAATAAAATAAAAACACTCAACCCCCTAGAAAAAATAGTGCATCAGTGGTTATGAGAACCTACTAAGGACAAGACCCATCTTTGACAATGAAAGGGGCCTTAGGACTTCCTTCCTTTTTTTTTTTTTTTTTTTTTGAGACAGTCTCGCTCTGTCACCTAGGCTAGAGTGCAGTGACACAATCTTAGCTCACTGCAACCTCCGCCTCCTGGGTTTAAGCAATTCTCCTGTCCCAGCCTCCCAAGTAGCTGGGATTACAGGCATGTGTCACCACGCCCAGCTAATTTTTGTATTTTTTAGTAGAGATGGGGTTTCACCATATTGATCAGGCTGGTCTCGAACTTCTGACCTCACGTGATCCAACTGCCTTGGCCTCCCAAAGTGCTGGCATTATAGGCATGAGCCACCGCACCCAGCCTGACTTAGCATTTTGGAGTGGAGGCCGATCATGGTGATGGAGAAGGAAATCAGGGACAGATCTATACCATTTGTTTGCTATTTACTGCACGTAAACAGAATGAAATCAACACATTAAGTATTTCACTTGATTTCATCCACCATCTCCTGCAGACAACCAGGTTTCTCCCAAATTCATGTGCCTGGAAATGGCTTGAACCAAATGGTTCATGAGGAAAACCTGTGATATTTTTCATGAAATTGCCACATCTGGGCATCAGGAAAGCCTTCCCCGAGAATGTCTCAAATTGGTCAGCCGTTTTCTCTTTTTTTAGACAGGTAGGTGTCCCCAAGCATTCAATCCTAGCTAAAATATGGAAGTATTTATCTAGCACAGGAGCCTATGGCATAGTTTCAGTCCACTGTCTGGCAGACCTCATCTGGGCTGTCTTTGTGTGATTTGACTGGCCAGTAAATGGGGTATAAACTATGTAGGCTGTGGCCTGGCCTTGTGACAGAGGGGTCCCTGGAACTTGACTGCCACTCCCTAAGAGCAGAAACCGCCTCTTTCTTGTACACTGCTGGATCCCATCATCCTGCACAGTGCCTGGCTACAGGTGGCCAGCAATAAAACACAAGATTGGGGCAGGCACAGTGGCTCACGCCTGTAATCCCAGGACTTTGGGAGGCTGAGATGGAAGGATCACTTGAAGCCAGGAGTTCAGGCCCAGCCTGGGCAACACAGTGAGCCTATCTCTACAAAAAAAAAAAAAATTTTTTTTAATTAATAAAACACAAGATTGGTTTGTGTGGTGAGACAGTATTGAATCCAACAAACGGGAACTGGATAGTGTGGCCCAAGATGCAATGGTGGCTGCAGCATGAGACCCTTATGCATATAATATTCAGTGGAAGAGGTGCCAGGCACTGTTCTGGGTGCTGAGAATAAAGCTATGCATAAGACTAAGGTTCTGTCGACAGAGATCGTGTCACACCAGTGGAAAAGACAGTCATCAAACTTATATCCTTGAGTCAGTGATGACTTCTAGAAGGAAAGAAAAGGCTGATGTGACGGTGAGGAAGGGATGAGTGGAGACTTCTCTGAGACTTCAGTGATTCCTCTTCCTCTGAGCTGAGCCAAGCTGAGAAGCTGAGAAGAGTAAGATAGGGCCGGGAACTCAGGTCCGTTAGTCCGTCCTCCGAGGTGGGGCGGGCCAGCAGAATGGATTTCCGATCTACTCTGTGAGAGCCTCGCCCAAGAAAGCCCAGAGCCACTTCCAAGATCCGCGCTCCCACGGCGATGAGAAGCGTTTTCCCCCGGGACTGCTTGGCTTAGGACTGGGGACCCACTGGCTTTGGAGTAAGCCCTGGCACGGGCCTCGAGGGAAGAAAGAACCCCCGCGCTCCCCACACTCCACAGGGCCTGCGATCATCTCAGATGTTCCGGTTCCACGTGCAGAAACCCCGCCGGTCCGAGGCCCGGGTTCTAAAACGGCCCTAAGAGTCAAGGCTTCCACAGCTCGCCTCTGAGGGTGGCAAAGAGGCCGCGGGGGCGGTGCCTCGCGAGACCCAAACAAGCCCACGTGGCAGGGGCGGGGCTCCGCGAGGGCGTCACGGCGCGCTCGGGCGCGGCTGAGGTCACGCGCCGGCGGTACCCGTGCCCGGGGGCCGTAAAGCGCGGAAGGTCGCGGTCTCGGCTTCCCCGGAACTTTTTGCTCGCTTCGCCCCGCCCCCTTCCCATCCCCGAACCCCGCTTTCCGGCCCGCGGCGACCGCCGGCAACTGTTGTGGCTGCCGCATTGCTCCCGCCGGGCTGTAGCTGAGCGCGGAGCCCGTGGGGGCCGGTGAGGTAAGGAGATAGCTTCGGGGCAACTCTGGCCTCCCCGTCCGCGCGGGCCTAAGCGCCCCGGGACCCCTGGGTTCCCCTCTTTCTCCTTTGGTTTCGCCCGGGGGTGGTCCCCGCTAGCTCACGCTTCCAGTGGGTTCCGCCTGGCCTCTCGCGAAGTCGCGTCCGGGCGGTAGTACTCGTCCCCGTAAGGTTGTCCGCTCGTGCCTTGGCTTGTGTCCTCGGCTACCCCTGGGCCTGCGCACCGCTCCTCCAGGAGCCTGCACCTCAGCCCCGATGCCAGGGCGGCCGGGGTGACCTCGGGCTCCCCAGTCTTGGGCTTGCACACCCCTGCGGCGCAGAGCCAACTCCAGCTTGTCTAGCCCGGTCCTCCATCCCTGCAGATGGAACTGTTTTCCCGCGTTGAGACGTGCGGTCCGCTTGTGCTTTCAGAACTAGTAAGACTGCTGCAGAGTCCGGAGGAAGAAGTCACCTAGAAAAGTCTGGGACAGGGCAGTAAGCTTCCTTCTTAATGTTTGACCTTTGGGGGCCGATGTGTGATACCTCGGATTTGAATCAAGAATCTCCAAGCCCATTTTCCGCATGCATGTAAACGTGATGTACCGGGATGGGGGCTGGTGGTGGAGGAGGAGCCAGCCCAACGGATATGCGTTTCCAGTGGCAGGGACTTGTGTTAATTTCTTTTTTCTTTTTTCTTTTTTTTTCTTTTTTCCGAGACGGAGTCTCACTCTGTCGCCCAGGCGGGAGTGCAGTGGCGCGATCTCGGCTCACTGCAACCTCTGCCTCCTGGGTTCAAGCAATTCTCCTGCCTCAGCCTCCCAAGTAGCTGGGAATACAGGTGTGCGCCACCACGCCCGGCTAATTTTTGTGTTTTTAGTAGAGACGGGGTTTCACTATGTTGGCCAGGCTGGTCTGGAACTCCTGACCTCGTGATTCGCCCGCCTCAGCCTCCCAAAGTGCTGGGATTACAGGCGTGAGCCACTGCGCCCGGCCAACTTGTGCTAATTTCTTAAACTTGCGTGATCACCTGGTGTACTTGTTGAAAAATACAGCTCCCTGGCGTGGCAGGATCAGAATCTGCCGAGGTGGACCGTGGGAATCTGTCATTTTTAAACAAGTGTCCCAGGTGGTTCTTTTGCTGAGGCAAGTGTGGGAAATGTGTGAACCCACGCTCATCCAGTCTTCCTTGTGACCGGCAGTCCACTGTGCGCAACGCTGCAGCCATACAGAGGGACTACTCGAAGTTAGAACTAGCACCTTGGTCTTGTTGGAATAAGCAGATCTGAGTAGAGCCAGCTGCAGTCTTATGGTTGTTTAGCAGAAGTTATTCTTCTTAGCAGAGAATATTATACGGTCATTTTCCAGAACTGTAAAAACTCTATCATTTGTTTTAAACCAGATGATGTGCTTCATTTCTGTCTTTGACGTCTTCAGTTTCTTCTCCCCTGGCTTTACCTCCTTTGCTATCAGTTTGTGCTTTGGTTTTGCTGCCAACCTTATAGGCTTAGGTTTGGCGGCAAAGGCACTAGACTCTGGTGCCTTCTTTTCCTTCGTTGTCTTAAGCCCTTCTTTTCCTCTGCCCTCATGCCCTCACCACTTCACTCTTTTGAAGGTCATAATGAACACAAGGTCAGAGATCCCTTTTTTGGCGCCAAGCACCCTGGGCTTTTTTGAGATGGAGTCTCACTGTGTCACCCAGGCAGTGGCGCGACTCTGCGCACTGCAGCCTCCATCTCCCTGGTTGAAGCAATTTTCCTGTCTCAGCCTCCTGAGTAGCTGGGACTACAGGTGCAAGCCACGACACCTGGCTAATTTTTCTGTTTTTAGTAGAGACGGGGTTTCACCATGCTGATCAGGCTGGTCTCAAACTCCTGACCTCAAATGATCCACCCACCTTGGCCTCCCAAAGTGCTAGGATTACAGGTGTGAGCCCCTGCGCCTGGCCTTTTTTTGTTTTGTTTTGTTTAAGACAGAGTCTCACTGTGTCACCCAGGCAGGAGTGCAGTAGCATAATCTCGGCTCACTGCAACCTCTGTCTCCCAGGCTCAAGCGATCCTCCTACCTCAGGAGTTCAGGACCAGCCTGGGCAACATAGTGAGCCCATCTCTACAAAAAAAAAAAAAAAAATTTAAAAAATTAATAAAACACAAGATTGGCCTGTGTGGTGAGACAGTATTGAATCCAACAAACGGGAACTGGTTAGTGAGGCCCAAGATGCAATGGTGGCCGCACCATGAGTACCTGGGACCACAGGTGCGTGCCACCACACCCAGCTAATTTTTTGTATCTTTGGTAGAGACGGAGTTTCACCATGTTTGCCAGGCTGGTCTCCAATTTCCGACCTCAAATGATCTACCCGCCTCGGCCTCCCAAAGTGCTGAGATTACAGGCGTGAGACATGGCGCCCGGCCTAAAGTTTTTTTTTAATTCCTCCTTAAAACTCATCTGTTACTGTGTTTGTTCTGCCACCTTTGCAATTCCCTTTCTCTGTTAGGGGAATGTGCTTAATGGTTCAGTCCTCACAGCTGTCCTTTCCTTACCATCTGCTTTTATTTGAAAGGTAGCGTGGAGTCATGATTAAATAGCCGGCCACTAATGCCAAATTGGCAGGGTTCTGCTACTCAACAGTTTGGTAGGACCTTGGGTGAGTCACTTCCACTTATCTGTGCCTGTTTCCTCAAGTGTAGAATAGAAATGCTAGTATCTACCTCATAAGGTTGTGAGGATTAAATTAGTTATATACATAGGCAGTATCTGGTGCATTGTAACTACTTATAAAAATATTAGCTTTAAAAATTATTGGCCGGTCACAGTGGCTCATGCCTGTAATCCCAGCACTTTGGGAGGCCAAGGTGGGTGGATCACCTGAGGTCAGGAGTTCGAGACCAGCCTGGCCAACATGGTGAAACTCCATCTCTACTAAAAATACAAAAAATTAGTCGGGCACAGTGGCGTGCGCCTGTAATCCCAGCTACTCGGGAGGCTGAGGCGGGAGAAACACTTGAACCTGGAAGGCAGAGGTTGCAGTGAGCTGAGATCACGCCTCTGCACTTCAGCCTGGGCGACAGAGTGAGACTCTGTTTCACAATAAATAAAAATAAAAATAATTCTCTCAGGTATTTAGATATCTCCTCAAATCTGGGGGTCCTACCTTTGATTTTTTCCCCCCATCTTCTTTGTTCTCTGTTCTCATTCATGCATCAACATATATTTCCTAGGTACCTATGCTGAACGCTGGGAAAATTGAGCAATTTATAAGGTTTCTGCTCTTAGTTCCATTATAATAGGGAAATAATAGGCCGGGTGTGGTGGCTTAGCCTGTAATTCCAGCACTTTGGGAGGCCAATGTGGGCAGATCACTTGAGGTCAGGAGCTCGAGACCATCCTGGGCAACGTAGTGAGACCTCACCTCTACAAATATTCATAATTTTAAAATTAGCTGAGTGTGATGGTACACATCTGTGGTCCCAGCTACTCTGGAGGCTGAGGTGGGAGGATCGCTTGAGTCTGGGTGGTTGAGACTGCAGTGAGCCATGATCATGCCGCTGTACTCCAGCCTGCATGACAGACCTCGTCTCAAAAAATAATAAAAAATAACTACCACTTACTGAGTGCTTCTTAGGTGCTTGTACCATGTTCTTCCTGCCTTGTCTGATTTAGTCTTTGCAGCAACCATGTGAGGTAGGTGTTTCTAGCCCGTGTTACAGATGAGGAGTTCAAAGCCTAGAGATTTAGTAACTTGCTGATAGTCATACAGCTAGTGAGAGGTGGGGATATTTTCAAACCCAGAACTGTCCGCCCCCAAAGCCTGGATTCCCTGCCATGCTGGCATGTTGCTTCTCTGATTGGCAAACAGACCATTGTGCAGTGTGGTAAGTTCTGTGCTGGGAGAAGTGTAGTGTGTTATAGGAGAACATAGAAAAGCCACCTAACCAAGTGTTGGAGAAGGAGGGGGAGATTGTCAGATAAGATGTCAAAGACAGGGCTGGGCACGGTGGCTCATACCTGTAATCCCAGCACTTTGGGAGGCCAAGGCAGGCGGATCACGAGGTCGGGAGATTGAGACCATCCTGGCTAACATGGTGAAACCCCGTCTCTCCTAAAAATTAAAAAAAAAAATTAGCCAGGCATGGTGGCGGGTGCCTGTAGTCCCAGCTACTCAGGAGGCTGAGGCAGGAGAATGGCATCAATCCAGGAGGCAGAGCTTGCAGTGAGCTGAGATCGCACCACTGCACTCCAGCGTGGGCGACAGAGCGAGACTCCATCTCAAAAAAAATAAATAAATAAGATGTCAAAGAGGCTGTGACCTGAGGAGATTACCTGTATTTGCGGGAGGGGTGGCAGGAACCTGCCAGGAGGGAACAGCATGCACAGAACCTGGAGCCGAATAGAACATTCACACCTCACCTGATATGTTTGACGAATTACAGGTTGTTCAGTCTGGCTTGGTCAGAGTGTGAGGAAAGGAGAAATGAGACCACAGATAAGAACCAGACTGTGAAGGATCTTGCACTTGATATGAAAAGAGTTTTGCCTTTTTCCTGAGGGCATCAGAAAGTCATTAAGGTGGGTGTGGTGGCTTACACCTGTAATCCCAGCACTTTGGGAGGCCAAGGCCAGTGGATCACCCGAGGTGAGGAGTTCAAAACCAGCCTAATTAACATGGCGAAACCCTATCTCTACTAAAAATACAAAAAGTAGCTGGGCGTGGTGGCGCGTACTTATAGTGCCAGCTGTTCAGGAGGCCGAGGCAGGAGAATTGCTTGAACCTGGAATGTAGAGGTTGCAGTGAGCCGAGATCACACCGCTGCACTCCCAACTGGGCGACAGAGCGAGACTCCGTCTCAAAAAAAAAAAAATTGCTGAGGAAAAGGAGCAAAAACGGAGGGAAACATTGCAGGTACAGGAAAGAGAGACAGCAGTTGATGGAGCTAGGGTCAAGAGAAGAGAGGAGGAAGTGGGATCCAGGGCCCTTGGGGGAGATTAACTTTCCAGTGGATAAAAGAAGGAAGAGATGGTTGCAGATGTAAGTGGGTCTATAGGAAGGGTTTCAGGGAATGAGATGAGCCAGGTTATCTGCTTAGAATGAGGGAAGAAAGGAGGTGAAGTTGAAGGTTGAGAGAGGAATAGCTGGGCTCTGAACCTGAATACAGACAGAGGTCTACCTGTGGCTTAACATGTGCTAGCCTAAGCCACCAAGGAGCAGGACAGTTTTCAAGTATAACCGAGTGGTCACGGGTCAGAAGCCAGGAGGTTGACAGTGAGGTCAATGGGATGGGGCTGGCCATTTGGCAGCAGCAGTTCCCCAGGAGAGCTGTGTTGCCATTGGGACAGAGGGTAGAGAGGATGTCAGCAAAGGGGTGGGTGTTTACCTTTGGGAAAGGTATTCTAGAGGGTGCAGTAGAGGAGCTTGAAGGAGAGGAAAGCAAAGAGAGCTTGGGCCACGGGAAATAAATTGGTCACGTAGAGATGAGATTATGTAAAGACTAGCCGGGTAGAGAAGCTTCTGTTTTGAGATGGTGCTTAACAGGGACCAGGGATGAGAGGCATGGTGGCAACCACAAGGTGGCCAAGACAATTTGTCTCCAGTTGGATGGGATGTCTGTCTGGACATAGTCTGTGCTTGCATTGGTTGCAATTCTGATGGATGGACATAGATACCTTGGCCTTGGACAATTTGGGCTGACTGTGGAGCATCTGTGGGTCCTGTGGCTGGCAGTGGAGGCGGTAAGGAGATGACTAGCAGTGAGCTGCCCTGAGGCCCCCTTGTCTACCGCCTCTCGTCTCAAAGTCCTCATCCTCCTGTACACATGACTGCATGGACAGCCAGTAGGTGCTTTCTTCTTCAGTTTCTTGAAACTTGAACAGTCATCTGTTTTGCTGATAGATTAAGTTTGTTAAAACCCTGCCTTGTCCAAGGGCAGTGGTTCATGCCTGTAATCTCAGCACTTTGGGAGACCAAGGTGGGAGGATCACTTGAGCCTAGGAAGTCGACTCTGTTTTTATAATTCTACCATCCGCTCTCCACCATGGAGCCAGACTGACCTTTGGAAAACATCCCCCCACCCCTCACCGCCAAAAAAAACAAAGAAAAGAAAAACATCCCAGATCATTTCATTCCCCTGCTAGTGATACTCCCGCATGAGTGATTTTCCTTTGTACTTTGAATAAAATTCCAACTCCTGCTGATGGCACCCAAGGGCTGTGTGTAACTGGCTTCCGCCTGCCTCTCCAGCATTGTCTTAGATCATCTCCCCACACTCCCCGTGTCGTGTACATGCCGGCCTCCTTTTTGTTCTTGGTCTGTCTTACCTCAGGGCTTTTGCACATGCTCGTCTCAGTGTCTGCCAAATGTATAGCTCGTTCCTTATCCTTCAGGTCTGTTTCCAAATGTCACTTCCTTGGAGGCTGTTTCTGACCATCCTGTTTTAAATATGCCCCTAGTTACTCTATCACATTAGCTTTATTTACTGTTTTATTTGTATGTTTACTTGTATATTGATTGGTGCTCTCCTCATTCACACACGCAAACTCTCAAATGTAAATTTCATAAAGACAGGGACTTCCCCATTCTTGTTCACTGCTAGCAGAATATCTGAAACTCAGAATGCCCTCAAATATTTCTTTTTTTGTTTTTGTTTTTGTTTTTTGAGACGGAGTCTCGCTCTGTCGCCCAGGCTGGAGTGCGGTGGCGCGATCTCTGCTCACTGCAACCTCCGCCTCCCGGGTTCAAGCAATTCTCCTGCCTCAGCCTCCTGAGTAGCTGGGATTACAGGCACCCGCCACCATGCCCAGCTAATTTTTGTATTTTTAGTAGAGACAGGGTTTCACCATGTTGGTCAGGCTGGTCTCGAACACCTGACCTCGTTATCCACTCGCCGCGGCCTCCCAAAGTGCTGGGATTATAGATGTGAGCCACTGCGCCCAGCCTAATTTTTTGTGTTTTTAGTAGAGACGGGGTTTCACTGTGTTAGCCAGGATGGTCTCGATCTCCTGACCTCGTGATCCGCCCGCCTCGGCCTCCCAGAGTGCTGGGATTACAGGTGTGAGGCACCGCGCCCGGCCACCCTCAAATATTTGCTGAATGAATGGCTATCGTTCTTTGTCAAATCCCTTTCTCATTAATCCCATGCACTGAGTTGAATGGCATGAAATATGTTTGGTTTCTCTGTCTAGTTTGAGTTCCTGAGATCTAGTTGGTGAGAGACATGATGTTCTACTGGTTGCTGTCGATTGTTGGAAGACAAAGAGCCAGCCCAGGATGGCAGAACTGGTCCTCTGCAAGAAACAGCGCATCAGCTGCCGAGGCGCGTTCCATGGCCCTGCCCACCCAGGCACAGGTGGTCGTCTGTGGAGGTGGAATCACGGGCACTTCTGTGGCCCATCACCAATCCAAAATGGGGTGGAAGGATATTGTCCTTTTGGAGCAGGGCAGGTAAGGATCAGACTGCATTTGGCTCATGGCTGTGCTGCACTAATCGTATCAGATTCCCTCTCCTTTCAGAGATACTGCCCCACCAGTAGCTAATCTAAATGTTGCTAAGTAGCATGAGAAGAAGCAAGGTGGAATCTCCTGAATTTTGTTTAAGGATGACTAATAATGCTCATGTTCTCTGGTTTTTAGAGAGTTGGCAAATTTCGTCGTTTTCCTTTTTTTTTTTTTTTTTTTTTTTTTTTTTTTGGTGGTGGTGTTTTGGTAGACAGGATCTCGCTTTCTTACCCAGGCTGAGCTTGAATTCCTGGCCTCAAGCAGTCCTCCCACCTTGGCCTCCCAAAGTGCTGGGACTACAGGCATGACCCACTGTACCCAGCAACATTTTAGACTTTGACAAAAATTTGTGTTTGTAAATAATGTGGACTGCATTTAAGCAAAGCAGACAACTGCTTGTGTTTGCTTAATTGCTAGGTTCTTAATATTGTTCTCATTCTCCAAGAGAAATATGCTCTATAGGCTTAGTTTCTCTGTGCTCACCTTCTTTTAGGTCAAGTATTTTCTGCTCTATTGGCTTGTAAGCTAAGTCCCTTTATATTAATTTGTAATAGTTACAGAGATTACAGAATGGATTCTTATAATCCATCATTAATTAATATTATACCACTATACAAGTAATGTTAGATTCATACAACAATATTGGCCGGGCATGGTGGCTCACACCTGTAATCCCAGCACTCTGGGAGGCTGAGGTGGGCAGATCACCTCAGGTCAGGAGTTCGATACCAGCCTGGCCAACATGGTGAAAACCTGTCTCTGCTAAACATACAAAAATTAGCTGGGCGTGGTGGTGTGCACCTGTAATCCCAGCTACTCGGCAGGCTGAGGCAGGAGAATCGCTTGAATCTGTGAGGCGGAGGTGGCAGTGAGTGGAGATCATGCCACTGCACGCTAGCCTGGGTGACACAGCAAGACTGTCTCAAAAAAAAAAAAAAAAAAGAATACAGGCCTTTCACTCTGATAATTCTCAGCCTGTGTTTAGCTAATGTTTTCTTCTTCTCTTTTTTTTTTTTTTTAAGATGGGGTCTTGCTGTGTCACCCAAGCTGGAGTGCAGTCACACTATCACAGCTGACTGTAGCCTTGACCTCGTGGATTCAAGCAGTCCTTCTGCCATAGCCTCCCAAGTAGCTGGGACTACTGACATGCACCATCACATCTGGCTGATTGTTGTATTTTTCTGTAGAGATGGGATCTCCCTGTGTTGCCTAGGATGTTTTCTTTTCTTTCTTTTTTTTTTTTTTTTTTTGAAATGGAGTCTCTCTCTGTCACCCAGGCTGGAGTGCAGTGGTGCAATTTCCGCTCACTGCAACCTCCGCCTCCTGGGTTCAAGCAATTCTCCTGCCTCAGCCTCCCAAGTAGCTGGGATTACAGGCACCCACCACCATGCCCAGCTAATTTCTGTTTTTTTAGTAGAGACAGGATTTCACCGTGTTAGCCAGGCTGGTCTTGGACTCCTGACCTCAGGTGATCCACCCACCTTGGCCTCCCAAAGTACTGGGATTACAGGCATGAGCCACCACACCTGGCCTAGGCTGTTGTCTTATGATCAGACTTGGGTTAGAGACTTTTATAACCATCACTGTATTGAGATACAATTTGCATACCATGCCACTCATCCTTGTTAAGTGCTGAAATCTGTTTGTACAGAGTTGTGCATCCATCATCATAACCAGGTCATACATTTTTGGCAGTAAGACCACAGAAATTAGGCTGGACTCTCAGCAGTGCACCACATCAGGAGGTGTATGGCTGTCCTGTCTCACTTCTGGTGGTGATAACCCTGGTCACCCAGTTACATTGGTGTCCTCCAAGCATCTCTAGCACAGAGACCCTGTTTTCTCCCCTTGTAACTGGCCAGTGCCCTTTGAGGAGAGATGGATTCTGAGATTATGCCAATATCCTGTTCATATCAGACCTCCACCTACCGGGCTTAGCATCCGTTGACAACTGTTGCCTGAGTCAGCCACCACCATGATGGTTGACAAATGGTGATTTTTTGATTATACTTCTACATTTATTATAGTTGGCATATTACTGTCAGGAAGAGATTTCCTTCTCCCCCATTTATTTACTCAGTTATATATCTGTATACACACACACACACACACACACACACCCCAGTTTAGACTCATGGATTTCTATTTTATGCAGTGGATAGTTTTTTTTTTTTGAGACAGAGTCTTGCTTTGTCACCCAGGCTGGAGTGCGGTGACGTGATCTCAGCTCACTGCAACCTGTGCCTCCCGGATTCCAGTGATTCTCCTGCCCCAGGCTCCCAAGTAGCTGGGATTAATAGTTGCATGCCACCACACCTGGCTAATTCTTGTATTTTTAGTATAGATGGGGTTTCACCATGTTGGCCAGGCAGGTCTTGAACTCCTGACCTCAGCTGATCCACCCGCCTCAGCCTCCCAAAGTGCTGGGATTACAGGCATGAGCCACCGTGCCTGGCCTGCAGTGGATACTTTTAAGAGCAAAAGTGGGTTTTGTTTTTGTTAATGTTTTTGAGACAGGGTCTCACGCTGTCACTCAGGCTGGAGTGCAGTGGTTCAATCTCAGCTCACTACAACCTCTGCCTCCTGGGCTCAAGTGATCCTCCCACCACAGCCTCCTGAGTAGCTGGGACTACAGGCATGCACTACCATGCCTGGCTAATTTTTTGTTTTTTTGGTAGAGACGTGATTTCACCTTGTTGTCCAGGCTGGCCTCAAACTCCTGGGCTCAAGTGATCGGACCACCTCAACCTCCCAAAGTGCTGGGGTTACAGGTGTGGGCCACTGCACTTGGCCTCATAATGCTTCCTTGATGTCAAAGTCGTTCTCCTATTTTTTGAAATCCTTTTAAATTTAATTATCAGGTATTTCCACAAAAAGTGATAAACTAATCTCAGTGTAAATGTTTCTAAGTGGGAGAACCTAGGGAGGTTCATTTGTGGTTTAATTTGTTGCTTCAAGATTATATAATACCTTAGAATTGATATAAGGCAGACTATTTAAACCTCACACTTAAAAATAATTATGCCAGCCAGGCACGATCGCTCACGCCTGTAATCCCAGCACTTTGGGAGGCCAAGGCGAGTGGATCACCAGAGATCAGGAGTTTGAGACCAGCTTGGCCAACATGGTGAAACGCCGTCTCTACTAAAAATACAGAAATTAACCGGGAGTGGTTATGCGCATCTGTTAATCTCAGCTACTCGGGAGGCTGAGGTAGGAAAATCGCTTGAATCCAGGAGGCGGAGGATGCAGTGAGCCAAGATCGCGCCATTGCACCCCAGCCTGGGCAACAGACCAAGACTCAGTCTCAAAAAAAAAAAAAATTATGGCTCGGCCAAGTGCAGTGGCTCATGCCTGTTATCCCACGACTTTGGGAGGCCAAGGTGGGTGGATCACCTGAGGTCAGGAGTTCAAGACCAGCCTGCCCAACATGGCGAAACCCCGTCTCTACTAAAAATGCAAAAATTAGCTGGGTGTGGTGGTATGAGCCTGTAATTGTAGCTACTCAGGAGGCTGAGGCAGGAGAATTGCTTGAACCTGGGAGGCGGAGATTGTAGTGAGCCAAGTTTGTGCCACTGCCCTCCAGCCTGGGCAACAGAGTGAGACTGTCTCAAAAAATAAAAGTTATTCTTATGCCTTATCCGTGGCTTGTGAAATGGTTTTATACTGCCCTTTATCTATAATTATTCCTCTTCTCTATCTTCACTATTGTTCTCATAGATCAATGGGTCTTAAATCTGTCTGCACATTAGAATCAGCTGGGGAGCTTTTAACAATTACCAGTGCCCAGATCTCTCCCCAGAACAAACGAGAATCTCTAGGGGTGAGGCCAGGCATCAGTATTTTTAAAAGCTTCCCGGGGGACTCTGATGTACCTCCAAGGGCGAGAGCCACTGTCAAAGCTGCTCAAGGAGTGCTATCCCAGCAGAGACGTCACCAGAGCTATAGGTGCTGACCACCAGCCAGTTAATGGAACTCCCACCTGGGGTGGAGCTCCACACAGTTACAAAGATGATAGAAAAATCTCTTTAGGGAGCTGACAATCTTATGTGGAAAATATAATTATTAGAGTAAATACAGTAAACTCAAGTGACAGGCATGCTGACACAGATGTTAGTTTATTTACTGAGTGATAAATAATTTGGGGAAAATGACCTTAGAACCCCCCCACCTGCTTTCTTCACATATGGGTCCCTTGCAAAACTGGGTCTTTGGGCCCTAGCATTACTGTAGCCTTTATATTCTGTTGCTACCACAAATTAGAGAACATTTTTTTCAATGTAAAGTTTATGTACTTTTGAATAGGCAATGTATTTATATGATTCAAAATTGAAAATATGTAAAAGAAGCTGGGTGCAGTGGCTTATGCCTGTAATCCCAGCACTTTGGGAGGCTGAGGCGGGTGGATCATCTAAGGTCAGGAATTCGAAACCAGCCTGGCCAACATGGCAAAACCCCATCTCTGCTAAAAATACAAATTTAGCCAGGCATGGTGGTGTACACCTGTAATCCTAGCTACTTGGGAGGTTGAGGCAAGAGAATTGCTTGAACCTGGGAGGTGGAGGTTGCGGTGAGCCGAGATTGTGCCATTGCACTCCAATCTGAGTGATGAGCAAAACTCCGTCTCTAAAAAAACAAAAAACAAAAAAAAAAACACAAAAATTAGCTGGGCATGGTGGCACACACCTGTAATCCCTGCTACTCGGGAGACTGAGGCAGGAGAATAGCTTGAACCCAGGAGGCAGAGGTTGCAGTAAGCCGAGATTGTGCCATTGCACTCCAGCCTGGGTGACGAGTGAAACTGCGTCTAAAAAAAAAAAAAAAAATATATATATATATATATATACACACACACATATATATATACACAAACATATATATATATATACACATATATATATACACACATGTATATATATACACATACACATATATACACACACCACACACACACACACACACACACACACACACACACATACACATATATATATGTAAAAGAGTATACAGGAAAAAGACTCCTCAATGTTCTTTCCTTTTCTTTTTTTTTTTTTTTTTTTTAAGATGGAGTCTTGTTCTGTCACCGAGGCTGAAGTGCAGTGGTGCAGCCTCAACTCCTGCAACCTCTGCCTCCTGGGTTCAGGCGATCCTCCTGCCTCAGCCTTCTGAATAGCTGGGATTACAGACGCCTGCCACCATGCCCAGCTGATTTTTGTGTTTTTAGTAGAGATGGGGTTTCGCCATGTTGGCCAGGCTGGTCTCGAACGCCTGACCTCAAGTGATCTGCCTGCCTCAGCCTCCCAAAGTGCTGGGATTATAGATGTGAGCCACTGCACCCAGCCCTCAATCTTCACTTCTAACAAAAAGCTTTCCTCTCTGGAGGGAAGTTAAGTTCTAGTTATATTCTCTACTTCTATAAGCAATTATGTGTTGGTAGGTTTGTGTATATGTGTATGGGTATTCATTTATTATATTTTTTCCCTTTTTTATATAAGTGGGAGCATACCTTACACACTGTTCTTCACCTTACTTTTTCATTATGATTGTTCCATATTGGTACATAAAGACCTTTTCATTCTTTTTTATAGCTGCATAATATTCCATTGTATAGATGAATTCCAAAATTTTATTTTATTTTAGAGATGGGGTCTTGCTCTATTGCTTAGTCTGAAGTGCAGTGGCACAATGGTAGCTCACTGCAGCCGCAAACTTTTGGGATCAAGGGATCTTCCTGCCTCAGCTTCCCAAGTAGCCTGGCTAACTTTTATCTTTATTTTTTTTACTTTTTTTTGAGGTGGAGTCTCGCTCTGTCACCCAGGCCGGAACGCAGTGGCACAGTGTTGACTCACTGCAAGCTCTGCCTCCCGGGTTCACGCCATTCTCCTTCCTCAGCCTCCCGAGTAGCTGGGAGTACAGGTGCCCGCCATGATGCCCGACTAATTTTTTGTATTTTTTGTAGAGACGGGGTTTCACTGTGTTAGCCAAGATGGTTTTGATCTCCTGACCTTGTGATCCGCCCATCTCAGCCTCCCAAAGTGGTGGGATTACAGGCGTAAGCCACCGCACTCAGCCTTTATTTTTATTTATTTATTTATTTTTATTTATTTTTTTTTTGGTAGAGACATGGTCTGGCTATGTTGCCCAGGCCAGTCTTGAACTCCTGGCCTCAAGTGAACCTCCTACCTCAGCCCGTCAAAGTGCTGGGATTACAGGCATGAGCCACTGTGCCTGGCCTAAACTATACAAAATTTTAAATCTATCCCATGTCATTGAACATTTTTCTCACCCTGTTGCCCAAGCTGGAGTGCAGAGATGTGATCACAGCTCACTGCAGCCTCTACCTTTTGAACTCAAGGGCTCCTCTGGCCTTAGCCTCCCAAGTAGCTGGGTCTGCAGGCATGTGCTACCATGCCTGGCTAATTTTGTTGTTGTTGTTGGTAGAGATGGGTTCTCCCTGTGTTGACCAGGCTGGTCATAAACCCCTGTCCTCAAGCAGTCCTCAATCCTCCTACCTTGGCCTCCTCAAGTGCTGGGATTATAAGTGTGAGCCACTGTGCCCAGCTTGTTTCCATCTTTTGGTATTAGAAACAGTATTAAATGAGAAACCCTGACCTCGTATTCACAGATGACGTCAATCTACCTAATAGCATTTTGCATCCATCCTGCAGGCTGGCTGCTGGCTCTACCAGGTTCTGTGCTGGCATCCTGAGCACTGCCAGGCACTTGACCATTGAGCAGAAGATGGCAGACTACTCAAACAAACTCTACCATCAGTTAGAGCAAGAAACAGGGATCCGAACAGGTAAGCAAGTGTCTTCCATTTATTGCTTTGCCTGTCCCTGAGATTGTTATATTCATTTCTGTATTTGGTCCTCTGCCAGGTGTGCCTACTGCTTTGGTAATTAAAACTTGGGTTGGCCGGTTTTAAACATGGTGGTTCATGCCTGTAATCCCAGCACTTTGGGAGGCCGAGGCAGGCGGATCACGAGGTCAGGAGATCGAGACCATCCTGGCTAACATGGTGAAACCCCGTCTCTACTAAGAAATTAAGAAAATATGTAAATTATCCTTACTGTACTTCTTTTGAAAATAAGATACCAAATTGCTTCAACTCTTTCTTCATAAGAATTAAGAGTCATTGTATTTTAGGAGAATTGTCATTGGCCCAAGTGTAATTATGGTTCTATATCAGGTGTGTTGATTACAGACAACAGGAATTGACTCTGGCCAACTTGGAGCTTGTTGGGAGGAGCTTGGGCCTGTGGAGTTGGCAGGAGGCTGCCAGCTGGAGGCAGCCTGGAAGCCAGGATGTGGGGACTGCACCGCAGGCAGTCCCTCAGCCAGAACAGGAGCAGCCTGGCCTGGCTGATGCTGCCCTTGAGATGGTGACCTCTAGCCATTCACCTACGTGCTCAAGACTGACTGTTCCAGGAGGGTCTGATTGGATAAGCTTAGGTCGCATGCCCACTGTTTGGCTATACTGGGGAAGAAGAAGGGAGAATCCGACCCTTGGTAGCTGATGTTATTGTGAGTGGCCTTTGCTAAGGATTACACTCCCCCAAGACTAGGAGGAGAAAGGGTGAAACTGCCTAAAAGGTGGGAAGAATAGGGATGGTCGAATCCCTGCCCAAAACTGTCTTTTTCTTTTTTTTTCTTTTTTTTAAAGACGAAGTCTCACTCTGTTGCCCAGGCTAGAGTGCAGTGGTGCAATTTTGACCCACTGCAACCTCCACCTCCTGGGTTCAAGCAATTCTCCTGCCTCAGCCTCCCCGGTAGCTGGAATTACATGTGCACACCACCGTGCCTGGCTAATTTTGTATTTTTAGTAGAGACAGGGTTTCACCATGCTGGCCAGGCTGGTCTCAAACTACTGACCTCAGATGATCCGCCCCCCTCAGCCTCCCAAAGTGCTGCGATTACAAGCATGAGCCACTACACCTGGCCTAGAATCTCATTTGATCCTCACAACTTCACAAAACTGTGAGCTGAGAATGTTTGGTCAGGGCATGGAGCCTTAGTGCATCTGAAGTTCTTAAAATTTTGCAAAGAAGCTCAGAGAAGCTGATTTACCTGCCCAAGGATATTGAGTGGCAGTCCCAGGATTCATCACAGGCCTTCTAACTTATAATCTAGTGGATTTTCCACTCTCCCGTCCTACATTTGGTCTGATCTGTCTCATTTGGGCTCATTTTTCTTACAGGTTACACAAGGACAGGCTCAATCTTTCTGGCCCAAACTCAGGACCGACTGATCTCCCTGAAGCGCATCAACGCAGGGCTGAAGTACGTAAGAGTCTAGAAGCGTGTCCTGACTTTACCACACTGGCCTCTGCCAAAGAGCCTGTGAATGTCATTGTCCCTTGTGTTCTGTGGCAGTGTTATAGGTATCCCTTCTGAGATCATCTCCCCCAAGAAAGTGGCCGAGCTTCACCATCTCCTCAACGTGCACGACCTGGTGGGGGCCATGCATGTTCCTGAGGATGCAGTGGTGTCTTCCGCTGACGTGGCTCTTGCCCTGGCAAGTGCTGCCTCCCAAAATGGTGAGCAGGTTTTTGCATTTTCTTAAGATAGGTTAGCAGGGAAGACATTACCTAAGGAAGTGTCTCACAGTAGGAAGTGACACCAACTCAAGTTTGGAAAGATTATCCTCTTTGGGGTACTCAGCCTCCATTTTGAACACTTATAATTTTATTTATCTGTTAATGAGTGTTTTCCCTCAGGGCCACATTTTTAAAGTTCTAAAGAACTGCTTTTAGTGCTAATTAATGCCCGTTTTTTGGAGACGGAGCTTCACTCTTTTCGCCCAGGCTGGAGTGCAGTGGCACAATCTTGGCTCACTGCAACGTTCGCCTCCTGGGTTCATGTGATCCTCCTGCTTCAGCCTCCCGAGTAGGTGGGACTACAGGCGTGCGCCACTACACCCAGGTAATTTTTTTGTGTATTTTTAGTAGAGACGGGGTTTCGCCGTATTGGCCAGGCTGGTCTTGAACTCCTGACCTCAGATGATCCACCTGCCTCGGCCTCCCTAAGTGCTGGGATTACAGGCGTGAGCCACTGTGCCCTGCCAATTAATGCCCTTTGGACTTAAGGTAATATTTTCCCCCACAGGACTTGAGAAGCTCAAGGTGAAAACACACCTTGGAAGTTTAATCCACACCTGAAATCATAAGCCCAGTTGCATTGAATGAGGGGAAGACTTAACTAGTGTCCAGGGTATCATATCCATGGTATGAGCAGGTTAGCACTTAAGGCGCACTATTTACATCCTCTCCTCTTTGCTCCATAGTTTATGATTCCAGGAATTTAATTATTGTGTTCCAAAGTCTGTTTTTAAACTGACTTGCTATTTTCAATCTCGAACAAGGCCCATTTACATAGTCTCAGGATGTGATTCTAGGGTTTTGTGTTTTTTTTTAAATGAAAGCATTGAGCCGGGCGTGGTGTCTCATGCCTGTAATCCCAGCACTTTGGGAGGCCAAGGCAGGCGGATCACCTGAGGCCAGGAGTTCAAGACCAGGCTGACCAGCATGGTAAAACCCCATCTCTATTAAAAATACAAAAATTAGCAGGACATGGTGGTGCATGCCTGTAATCCCAGCTACTTGAGAGGCTGAGGCAGGAGAATTGCTTGAACCCAGGAGGCAGAGAGCGAGCCAAGATCACACCACTACCCTCCACCCTTGGCGACAAAGCAAGACTCCGTCTCAAAAATAAAATAAAAAAATAAATTAAAGCATTGACTTGACTTTGTCAGTGTTTCTTCTGGGTGGAGAACCTGCTGCACATGCCTTCATTCTGGAACATCAGATGAAGCACCAACTCTTTCTTTACCTTGGAACAGGTGTTCAGATCTATGACCGGACATCTGTTCTTCAAGTAATGGGCAAAAAAGGTCAAGTTACTGGAGTGGAGACCGATAAAGGACAGATTGAATGCCAGTATTTTGTCAACTGTGCTGGCCAGGTAGGTCAGCACCAACACTGATTTTCTTATTTAACGTATGTCTCCAAGATTTTTTTGGTGTAGAGAAGTAAGGTTAGTATTGTGATTCATTACACAGATATCAGTAACTATGCTGTTTCTTGTAGGGTATTCTAAATCAGAAACCTACACTTAGTCTGCAAATAGAAGCCTGTGTGACCTTGTCCTTCCTCCACACTGGGTTGATGGGTGCTATCCTGGTCAGGAAGGCCAGCAAATGGTCAGGCATTGACGTGAATCCTTGGCGCTGGGTCTTGGTGTTACATTTCATTCTACAACCTAGCAAATAACATATTAGGCTATTTTATTGTGTCAGGAATGTGGACACTAATTTCCGGGACACTGCTTCTTTTAAAGCAGATTGGCTCTTGCCTTCCATGCTATGATCCCGAAGTGAACTAAGAAATACTTTTGCCACGTGAAGTTCATTTAGTGATTGCTATTTGGGGTTTGTAGCTGAGCCCAGGCGTTTTATCAAAAGGACCTCCTTTGGTTCCCATGAGCTCCTTTGACTAGCTGGTAAATATCTCTTCCTTTGATCTCAAAGTAATTTTTATGTCTTAAAAAATGTAGTATTGCTCCCCATCCAAATAATTGAACTAAAGCAGGCTGACTTCCCACACCTGACACTGTAGCAAGAGCACACATAAGCCACTTGGAATTAATCTCAAGAGGCTGAACTTGCTCATTTTTATTTCTGTTCCCCTTCCCACCCACAAATCAACCTGTCCATTTGTAGTGGGCATACGAGCTGGGTCTGTCCAACGAGGAGCCGGTTAGTATCCCGCTACATGCCTGCGAACACTTCTACCTCCTGACTCGCCCCTTGGAGACCCCTCTGCAGAGCAGCACACCAAGTGAGGACTTGCACTTTTTTAAAAAATCTTGTTTCTTTGCCAGTGTCCTGTCCTCTGAAAAGGAAAACTTTCTGCTAAGGACAGACTGTGTCTGAAAGAGTCTTTCATTTCTAGAGCATGTTACAGGGAGGTGGACCCAATTCTGACTTTTCTTTATTAACTCTTTATGAAAGGATGGCCAAAATTTCCATTAATACATTTTTTTGTTTTTGTTTTTTGTTTTGCAAGCTAATTTTAGTCTTAAACAGAGGTCATTGAGAATATTTGGACTGTCTTGTTGACTTTTTAACTTGAATACTATGGATAGTAGAAATGTCATAGGTAAACGATAGACTTAGGTGGGTTCGTGGTTCCAAGCACTATAGGAGAGGGTTCTCACATCCTTTTGACGGTCTTCATGCCTAGAATGGGCTCTGCAATCCCCCTTTCCGTTAAACTTTCGCTTGGCACAGTGGGAGTTACGTGGTGGGGACTAGTCAAAGCTTCTAGGTAAGGGATAATCAGAGAAACAGTCTCCACTGAAAGGCTAAATGGGAGGATCTTCCCCCGTGACCTCAAAAGGTATTTTAAAGCTAATGAATGCCTGCGTTCATTGAATGTTCTTTCATTAATAAAGCCATTAATGGGTGTTTTTGTTTGGTTGTTCTGTCCATTTAGAAAGCTGACTTGCCTCTAAACCCTTGTTTTTTCTTCCACTCCCCACTCCATGTCATTTCTCCACCTCAGCTATTGTGGATGCTGATGGAAGAATTTATATTCGGAACTGGCAGGGTGGCATCCTGTCTGGGGGCTTTGAGAAGAACCCAAAACCAATTTTCACTGAGGGCAAGAACCAGCTGGAGATTCAGAATCTACAGGGGACTGGGATCACTTTGGTATGTGAACTGCATTATAACAGTAGTGCCTTATATTTGTTTAAGATGTTATATTTTTCAAAGTCTTTTGAAGAATAGTTCCTTGTTTAATGTTTATAACATCGCCATGAGGTACAACAGTGGTTACAGAGGGTGAGTTTGCCTGGTCTGAGGATGGAGTTACTAGGTAGCAGATTCAGGGGACTAAAATCTTAGTTAATGGACATTTGCCTTATTCTTTTTTAATTTTATTCTTAGTTTTACTTTTTTCTTTTATTTCTTGAGACGGAGCCTTGCTCTGTGCTCAGACTGGAGTGCAGTTGCACAATTATAGCTCACTGCAGCCCCGAACTCCTGGTCTCATAGCTTTTTTTTTTTGTTTTTGATAGAGACATGGTCTCGCTATGTTGCCCAGGTTGATCTCGAACTCCGAGGCTCAAGTGATCCCTTCCACCTTGGACTCCCAAAGTGCTAAGATTACAGACGTGAGCCACTTTGCCTAGCCCTTTGTGTGTGTGTGTTTAGTCATCTCTATCATTTTGTGTGTGTGTAAGATGGCGTCTTGCCCTGTCACCTAGGCTGGAGTGCAGTGGCATGATCATAGCTCACTGTAGCCTCAAATTCGTGAGCTCAAGTGATCCTGCAACATCAGCCTCCCAAGTAGCTGGGACTACAGGTGCTTGCCACCATGCCTAGCTAATGTTTAAATTTTTTGTTGAGATGGGGTCTCACTGTGTTGCCCAGGCTGGTCTCGAACTCTTGGGCTCAGTCAGTCCTCCTGCCTCAGCTTCCCAAAGTGCTGTGATTACGGGCATGAGCCATGATACCCAGCTGCTTTTTTTTTTTTTTTTTTTTTGAGATGAAGTCTCGCTCTGTTGCCCAGGCTGGAGTGCAGTGGTGTGATCTCGGCTCACTGCAACCTCTGACTCCCCGGTTCAAGTGATTCTCCTGCCTCAGCCTCCAGAGTAGGTGGTAGGTGGGATTACAAGCGCCTGCCACCACTCCTGACTAATTTTTGTATTTTTAGTAGAGACAGGGTTTCACCATGTTGATCAGGCTGGTCTTGAACTCCTGACCTCAGGTGATCCACCTCCCTCAGCCTCCCAAAGTGCTGGGATTACAAGCATGAGCCACTGCGTCTGGCCTTTTTTTTTTTTTTTTTTTGAGATAAGAGTCTTGCTCTGTCGCCCAGACTGGAGTGCAGTGGCACAATCTCGGCTCACTCCAACCTCCACCTCCTAGGTTCAAGTGATTCTCATGCCTCAGCCTCCTGAGTAGCTGGGATTACAGTCGTGCACCAACATGTCCAGCTAGTTTATGTATTTTTAGTAGAGACAGGGTTTTACCACGTTGGCCAGGCTGGTCTTGAAATCCTGGCCTCAAGTGATCTGCCTGCCTTGGTCTCCCAAAGTGCTGGGAGTAAAGGTGTGAGCCACTGTGCCCAGCTCTGCTTCTTTTTTTGTGTGTTTTTTTTTTTCTGAGATGGAGTTTCACTCTTGTTGCCCAGGCTCGAGTGCAATGGTGCGATCTCGGCTCACCGCAACCTCTGCCTCCTGGGTTCAAGTGATTCTCCTGCCTCAGCCTCCTGAGTAGCTGGGATTACAGACATGCGCCACCACGCCTGGCTAATTTTGTATTTTTAGTAGAGACAGGGTTTCTCCATGTTGGTCAGGCTGGTCTCGAACTCCTGACCTCAGGAGATCTGCCCGCCTCGGCCTCCTAAAGTGCTGGGATTACAGACATGAGCCACCACGCCCGGCCCCTGCTTATTCTTTATTCACCTAAAATTATTGCTCAGATTTTAGGTTTTAGGAGGAGACTTCTTTCAGTAGGACTTCATATAAAATTGAGGAGTTCTTTAGAAAACAGAATTGTTTTGTTTTGTTTTTCAGAATTGTTTTGTTAGTGTAGTATTTTATTAAATTTTAAAATAATTTTATTTGTTTATTTATGTATCCATTCATTCATTTTGAGATGGAGTCTTGCTCTGTTGCCCAGGCTGGAGTGCAGTGGTGCGATCTTAGCTCACTGCATCCTCCACCTCCTGGATTCAAGCAATTCTCCTGCCTCAGCCTCCCAGGTAGCTGGAATTACAGGCGCCCACCACAACGCAGAGCCAATTTTTGTGTTTTTAGTAGAGATGGGGTTTCACTATTTGGCCAGGCTGGTCTTGAACTCCTGACCTCAAGCGATCCACCTGCCTCGGCCTCCCAAAGTGCTGGGATTACAGGCATGAGCCACTGCACCTGGCCTTTAAGGCCTGTAATCCCAGCACTTTGGGAAGCCAAGGCGGGCGGATCGCCTGTGGTCAGGAGTTCAAGACCAGCCTGGCCAACATGGCAAAAACCCGTCTCTACTAAAAATATAAAAATTAGCTGGATGTGGTGGCGCGCACCTGTAATGCCAGCTACCTGGGAGGCTGAGGCAGGAGAATTGCTGGAACCCGGGAGGCAGAGGCTGCAGTGGGCTGAGATCGCACCACTGCACTCCAGCCTGGGTGACAGAGCGAGACTCCATCTCAAAAAGAATAATAATAATAATAATGTAGTTACCTAGTTCCAAGTTTAAAAAGGTGAAAGAGTCTCTAATGAAGAATTTCCCTCTGACCCTTGATGGGCTTTCGTTTTTTAATAAATTCTTATGGAAAATTTCAAACTTTTAAAACTGGATAGAAGCTGGGCACAGTGGCTTACACCTGTAATTCCATCATTTTGGGAGGCCAAGATGGGAGGATCACTGGAGCCCAGGAAGTGAAGACCAGCCTGGGCAACATGGCGAGACTGGAGACTATGTGTCTACTAAACAAACCTGGCGAGAGTAGTGTGATGAGCCCCCATGTACCCATTATCCAGCTCTGGTCTGGTTTCATCTTTTTCTGCTGTCCACTGGATTATGCCCTGATGGTAGATTTCCTTTAAAGCAGGGTCTGTCTTTTGCAGCTATTCCAATGCAGAACATTGCCTTTTTTTTTTTTTTCCTGAGATGGAGTTTCACTCTATTGCCCAGGCTGGAGTGCAGTGTCACGATCTCTGCTCACTTCAACCTCCACCTCTCAGATTCAAGTGATTTTTCTGCCTCAGCTTCCCGAGTAGCTGGGATTACAGGCTTCCACCATCATGACTGGCTAATTTTTGTATTTTTAGTAGAGGCGAGGCTTCACCATTTTGGCCATAATGCTCTTGAACTCCTGACCTCAGGTGATCCGCCCACCTTGGCCTCCCAAAGTGCTGGGGTTACAGACGCAAGCCACCATGCCCAGCTCAGAACATCACCTTTTATTAAAATCTCTGTGGCCGCCATTTAAGAGCTTGTCCACTCACACTGGTCCCTTCAAGATTATTATCTGTAGATACGTTTTACTTGCTGTTCTCTGCTGCTTTCCTTTCTAACCAATATCTTTTTTCCTCAGTCTTTATACCAAGTATTTTGCAGCTATATCCTGTAATTCTACCAAGGTTTCTGCTTTGTAATAAATGGCCCAGTTGGCTTGTCTTTAAAAAAATCTCTTCCAGCCGGGCGCAGTGGTTCACACCTATAATCCTAGCACTTTGGGAGGCCAAGGCAGGCAGATCACTTGAGGTCAAGAGTTCGAAACTAGTGTGGCCATCATGGTGAAACCCCATCTCTACTAAAAATACAAAAAATTAGCTGGCGTGGTGGTGCACGCCTGTAATCTGAGCTAATTGGCAGGCTGAGGCGAGAGGATCGCTTGAACCTGGGAGGCAGAGTTTGCAGAGAGTTGAGATCGTGCCACCGCACTCCAGCCGGGGCAACAGAGTGAGACTCCATCTCAAAAAAAAAAAAAAAAAATTCAAGAGGTTTTCTGAAAGGGGAGAGTGTAAAAAAGTAGAGGGGTTGAAAGTGGTTTAATTCCTTAAAGGTGAGAACTCTATTTGGTTTTGTTGTCATTGCTCAGAGCCTCTGTTGAGTTCCCTTCTGAGGAGGATGCCAGAATTAGAGACTCTGGAGATCATGAAGTTGGTGAACTGCCCAGAGACCTTCGCATCAGACATGAGGTGCATCATGGGCGAGTCTCCTGCAGTGTAGGGCTACTTTGTCCTGGCAGGAATGAACTCTGCTGGCCTTTCATTTGGTGGAGGAGCCGGAAAGTAAGTCTTTCTCACTCAAAGTCAGCTGTGAACATAAGTCAACTTGCTGGGTCTCTTCCCTTCTAGAATTACTTGTTATTAACATGGCGTGTGGTATATTTAATCTAGTATGTTAAGACTAATAAGAAGATACATGTAATTTTGGAGTTGTCCCCTTCTAAGTATGAGAGGCTCCCCATGTTCCAGAAATGTCATCAGGCAAAATGTTTTTGCAACTCATCTTTTGGAGTTAGCCACAGATCCTGTGGGATATTCTTTTATATTTTTTCAATTGTAACAAATATTGGTCATTTGAGTGTGTATTTGAGTTTGGTAGCCAAGTGTGTTGATTGAGGTAGGTATTTGAACTAGGTAATACACGTTTTGTTTGTTTTTTTAGACAGTCTTGCTCTGTCACCCAGGCTGGAATGCAGTGACATGATCTCAGCTCACTGTAACCTCCACCTCCTGGGTTCAGGCTGTTCTCCTACCTCAGCCTCCCGAGTAGCTGGGATTAGAGGCGTGTGCCAGCACACCTGGCTAATTTTTCTATTTTTAGTAGAGACAGGGTTTCACCATGTTAGCCAGGCTGGTCTTGAACTCCTGACTTCAAGTGATCCACCCACCTTGGCCTCCCAAAGTGCTAGGATTACAGGCATGAGCCACCGTGCCCGGCCACAAGTTTTTGTTTAAAAATTAGACACTAGGCCGGGCGCGGTGGCTCACGCTTGTAATCCCAGCACTTTGGGAGGCCTAGGTGGGCGGATCACAAGGTCACGAGATCGAGACCACTCTGGCTAACACAGTGAAACCGCGTCTCTACTAAAAATACAAGAACAAAATTAGCCGGCCGTTGTGGCGGGCGCCTGTGGTCCCAGCTACTTGGGAGGTTGAGACAGGAGAATGGCGTGAACCCGGGAGGCAGAGGTTGCAGTGAGCCGAGATTGCGCCACTGCACTCCAGCCTGGGCGACAGAGCGAGACTCTATCTCAATAAAAATAATAATAATAAAATAAAATAAGACACTAATGAACATTAAATAAGCCAGTCACAAAAGGACAAATACTGTGTGGTTCCACTTATATGAAGTTGCTAGAGTTGTCAGATCATAGAGACAGAAAGTACAATGGTGTTTGCCAGAGGCGGGGGAGGGGAGCTATTCTTGAATGAGCACAGAGTTCCACAAATGCAAGAGGAAAAGAGTTCTAGGATGGATGGTAGTGAAGGTTACACCGCAGTGTGAATGTACCCACTGCCACTGAACTGAATACTTACAAATGGGTAAGATGGTAGCCACGATGAAAAGCTTATTTTAAATTTATGAGACCAGTTCTCTTGAGTGATTTGTAGAATGGCTCTAAAAACAATTACAGAAGAGGAGTTACAAAAATGTTTGGAGCAAAGGAGATGGGGTCACATAACTGTATAATCTTGAGGTGAGAGAAAAAAACCCATTGGATATTTAGAGTATATTTATATGTGTTTTAGTCTTATTTCTTCATAGATGAGGCTTATAACTTTTTTTGAAACAAGATCTTACTCTCACCCAGGCTGGAGTGCAGTGGCACCATCATAGCTCACTGCAGCCGCAAGTTCCTGGGCTCAAGGGATCATCCCGCATCAGACTCCAGAAGAGTTAGAACTAACTACAGGCATGTGCCACCATACCCAGCTCTTTTTTTTTTTTTTTTTTTGAAACGAAGTTTTGCTCTTGTTGCCCAGGCTGGAGTGCAATGGCACAATCTCGGCTCACCGCAACCTCTGCCTCCCGGGTTCAAGTGATTCTCCTGCCTCAGCCTCCCGAGTAGCTGGGATTACAGGCATGTGCCACCACGCCGGCTAATTTTTTTTTTTGTTGTTGTTTGTTTGTTTTTGTTTTTTGAGATGGAGTTTCGCTCTTGTTGCCCTGGCTGGAGTGCAATGGCGTGATCTAGGCTTACTGCAACCTCTGCCTCCCAGGTTCAAGCAGTTCTCCTTCCTCAGCCTCCGTAGTAGCTGGGATTACAGGCGTGTGCCACCACACTGGCTAATTTTGTATTTTTAATAGAGACAGGGTTTCTCCACATTGGTCAGGCTTGTTTCGAACTCCTGACCTCAGGTGATCCGTATGCCTCAGCCTCCCAAAGTGCTGGGATTACAGGTGTGAGCCACCTGGCTCACTTTGAAACTTTTCTTTTTTTGGTAGAGACGGGGTCTTACTTTGTTGTCCAGGCTGGTCTCAAACTCCTGACTTCAAGCAATCCCCTGCCTCAGCCTCCCAAAGTTCTGGGATTACAGGCATCAGCCAATGTGTCTGGCTGGCTTCTATGTTAAATGCCTCCTAGGGAATCTTATCATCTGGGGTAAAATCCTCATAGTAGTCTTTTGAGAGCAGTACACAGACCCATGTTCGTTGCTTCCAGAAAAGTTAAGGAAAGTGCCCAAAACTATTCAGCTGGTCTATGGCAATTTAGGATCTTTTGATTCTGTTAGTTCTCGATTTGTAGAATATTAATTTTCTCAAATCTCACACCTGAGCCCCAACAAGTGCCCTCTGTCTATATAGGTACCTTGCCGAATGGATGGTACATGGTTATCCCTCAGAAAACGTTTGGGAATTGGACCTGAAACGTTTTGGAGCCCTCCAGAGCAGCCGCACCTTTCTGCGCCACCGGGTCATGGAAGTCATGCGTAAGTGAAGCTTTATCGCAGTTGCTCCTAGTTGCAGGTATCTTCTCGGTGGCCCGTGTTGTCATTCAGAAGGAGCAAAGTTTTCCTCAGTTCTTTAACAAGTGCTTTGAGTTGGACATTTGATTTGACTGTTTCAGGCCTGAGTTAAGGGGCTTTATGCTCCTCATGATATATATGTAACATTTTCTTTAGTGCATCGGACCTTTTTTCCTTCTGGGAACAAGAAAGTAGAATAGGAGTTACAGTTGGTACATAGCAGCTTCATAAATATTCTAAGCAATGCCTTCTTCCCGGTCTGCCTTGAGAGACCGTATGTCGAAGTGCGTGCTTTCTGCAGTCTGCCTTGAGAGACCCTGTGTCGAAGTGAATGCTTTCTCACTCCCACTTAGTTTTTGAGAAAATGCTTTCTCACTCCCCACTTAGTTTTTTCTTTCCAAGTCAGAGAATTTGCCAAGTTATTCTCAGAGCTTCAGGCTTCCGTGAGTGACTTTCACCATTAATCCACCCTACAGCAGCAAGATTGGGAGCCACTTCCCATATAAATACAAAACATACATTCCTGCTCTCACTCCCGTGTTCTCGCCCTGCTTCAACTTTGAAGGACTGGCCACTTCATCTTAATTTGTTATTCTACCTTGATCTCTGATTTATTTTCTAGGAAGCCCTTAGAAAGCTTTTGTATCAGGAATTGAACCAAACCACGTGGGTTCAAGTTGTAATTTCATTTTCCTGTACTGAGGAGCTGTTCTCAGACTTTGCCAAATGGTATCTAAATATTTTGGGCATACTTATGCTCAGGACTAAGTTTCTGTGTTGGCTCTGACCACCATTCTTGGTTACAAGTAAACTGTTAGTTTGGTAGTTGAACAACATTGTTGGTGAGGACTCTGGATGGCCTTTAATGCCTGAGTGCTCACTTTTGGCCTGGGAAGAGGATGTACATCCATGGAGATGAAGGACCTAACAGCAATATGTTTAACTGCTAAGGTTCTTTAATTTTAGCAAATATTTTGGTTAAAATGTTGAACTTGGCTGGGTGTGCTGGCTCATGTCTGTAATCCCAGCACTTTGGGACGCTGAGGGAGGTAGGTCACTTGAGGTCAGGAGTTTGAGACCAGCCTAGGCAACGTAGCGAAACCCTGTCTCTACTAAAACCAAAACCAAAAAATTAGCCATGCCTTAGTGGCACACACCTGAAGTCCCAGCTACTTGGGAGGCTGAGGTAGGCGAATCACCTGAGCTGGGGAAGTTGAGGCTGCAGTGAGCCATGATGGTGCCACTGTGTACTCCAGCCTGGGCAGTGGGACTGAGACCCTGTCTCAAAAAAATAAAATAAAAAAATCAAAGTTTTTTGTTTTAAAGTTGAACTATTATAAGCCTAAATTTCCCCACCCATAGTTACTTTGGAACCTGTACAAATCATAATTGAGCTTGAGCTTCTGCTTGGTGATATGACACTTTTGGTAGCCAATTCTCATGAAATAGAAGTGGCAGGCACATAGAAAATGGGGAAGGCGCCAGGCGCAGTGGCTCAAGCCTGTAATCCCAGCATGTTGGGAGGCTGAGGCAGGCGGATCACTTGAGGTCAGGAGGTCTGGCCTGACCAACATGGCGAAACCCTGTCTCTACTAAAAATACAAAAATTTAGCCACGTGGTGGTATGTGCCTGTGATCCCAGCTCCTTGGCAGGCTGAGGCAGGACAATCACTTGAACCCGGGAGACGGAGGTTGCAGTGAGCCAAGATCGCACCACTGCGCTCTAGCCTGGGTGATAGAGAGGGATTCCATCTCAACAAAAAATAAAAAAAAAAAATAGAAAAGAAAATGGGGAAGGGGAAGATAGAACCTAAAGTACCAGGAGATGGAGAGATTGTCACCATGCAGAGAACCCCACCTGGCTTCCTTCTCCTGTCTCCCAACCTCCCCAAGCCTTGATGTGCCTTTTGTTTGGGACGGTGTGAGATCAGGTCTTCTCTTTGCAAGGGACCACAGATCCCACTCTTCTGGCTTTTTTTACTTATTGCTGTTGAAGATTAGACATTAAGGGAAATGAAATTTTTTTTTTTTTCCGAGATAGTCTTGCTCTATTGCCCAGGCTGGAGTGCCGTGGCGTGATTTCGGCTCACTGCAACCTCTGCCTCCTGGGTTCAAGCAATTCTCCTGCCTCAGCCTCCCGTGTAGCTGGGATTACAGGTGCCTGCCACCATGCCTGGCTAATTTATGTATTTTTAGTAGAGACAGGGTTTCACCACATTGGTCAGGCTGATCTCGAACTCCTGACCTCGTGATCCGCCCACCTTGACCTCTCAAAGTGCTGGGTTTACAGACGTGAGCCACCACACCCAGCCTAAGAGAAATGAATTCTGACCCTAGCTTTGTTGTGTGAATAATGTCATTGGTACAATACAATGTAACTTCTCAGATTTCAGAGCCACCTAATCAAGCTACAATATGTACCCTTTCACTTCAGAAGTGAGTTAATTATCAGGGAGGAAATGTCTGTAACAGGTCTGAGATCCTAACACAGGCACAATGAAGAATCGAATGCCATTTTTTCACATTTTGTTACCACCTGTGTCCCACTTAGTAACCTTGTTCTCTGCTATGAAGCTTAGTAAGGTTTAGGACCCTGACCTTTCTGCCATCATTTCTACCTACTAATGTGGAATGCTGAATGTGAATACAGGCCGAGTCATGCCGTGACACGTAGCTCCAGGGAGGGACGATAGCAGCTTGGCAGGATTGTCTTTCCTTCTGGAGCATGCCTGATACACTGGGTAATTTTGAAAATTAGACTACATTAGCCTGGAAATTGGGCCGAGCAGAGTGGCTCACGCCTGTAATCCCAGCACTTCGGGAGGCCGGGGCGGGCAGATCACCTGAGGTCAGGAGTTTGAGACCAGCCTGACCAACATGGAGAAACCCTGTCTCTACTAAAAATACAAAAATCAGTGTGGCACGGTGGCACGTGCCTGTAATCCCAGCTACTCGGGAAGCTGAGGCAGGAGAATCGCTTAAACCCAGGAGGCGGAGGTTGCAGTAAGCCAAGATTGTGCCACTGCACTCCAGCCTGGACAACAAGAGCAAAACTCCGTCTTAAAAAAAAAAAAAAACAAACTACGTTAGCCTGGAAAGCTCTTTTGAATAGAAACAACTCCAGAGTCTAGTGGATATTGGCTACTCAGGTCTAGAATCTGTGTCTTGGGCTTTGATAGACTACTCGTGTCTTTTCTAGCTTTGATGTATGATCTGAAGGTTCCCCACTGGGACTTCCAGACCGGTAGGCAGTTACGCACCTCTCCTCTCTACGACCGGCTGGATGCACAGGGAGCCAGGTGGATGGAGAAACATGGATTTGAGAGGCCAAAGTACTTTGTTCCCCCTGACAAGGGTAAGAAGTCACATTCTCATTTTTGCTCCTTTTTTTTTTTGTCCTGGGAATTAATAAAACGTATTTTCAAATGCATAGGCTAGAATGTGTTCACAGAAGAAAAAGAACCACGTGGACTACACTAAACTCTACAGGGCCTTGTGATTTTTCCATTCCGTAGACCTCCTGGCATTGGAGCAGAGCAAGACTTTCTATAAGCCAGATTGGTTTGACATCGTGGAGTCTGAAGTCAAGTGCTGTAAGGAAGCTGTGTGTGTCATTGACATGTCCTCTTTCACAGAGTTTGAGATAACAGTAAGTATTTGGGAACCAAAGTAATAGATTAGGAAACTTTGCATATTTATTGAATGCCTTTTGTTTTTCATCTTCAAAACTGATTCCTGACTGGGTGCAGTGGGTCATGCCTGTATTCCCAGCACTTTGGGAGGCCAAGGGGGGCGTGGATCACCTGAAGTCAGGAGTTCCAGACCAGCCTGGCCAAGATGGTAAAACCCCGTTTCTACTAAAAATACAAAAATTAAGGCCAGGAGTGGTGGCTCATGCCTGTAATCCCAGCAGTTTGGGAGGCCGAGACGGGTAGATCACCTGAGATCAGGAGTTCAAGACCAGCCTGGCCAACATGGCGAAACCATCTCTACCAAAAATACAAAAAATTAACCAGGCATGGTGGCGGGCACTTGTAATCCCAGCTACTCGGGAGGCAGGAGAATCGCATGAACTCATGAGGTGGAGGTTGCAGTGAGCTGAGATTGCGCCACTGCACTCAGCCTGGGCAACAGAGTGAGACTCCATCTCAAAAAAAAAACAAAAACAAAAACAAAACACTGATTTCTTAAGAATTCTGGTATATTTTAGTGTTTCATCTGTATTGTGACATTTTTCTGAAATTTTAGCTCCTTGTTTCGGGTTTTTAATTTGCTAGAGAGGCCTGTTTATCATAAGAATCAATAGCTAGCATTCCCTGGAGCTTCTTGCAGTGGAGTAGGTCTGCAAGTGTTGTCACATGGGAATTGGCTGATTGAATTTTCTCAATGAGGTTCATTGCTGGTGGGGCCATGTGGCGCAGCCAGGTGCTCTCACTCTCACTCTCTCTGTTTCATTCCCTAACCCTGCAGACCACTGGGGATCAGGCATTAGAAGTTCTACAGTACCTCTTCTCCAATGACCTGGATGTGCCTGTGGGCCACATTGTGCATACTGGCATGCTCAACGAGGGTGGAGGGTATGAAAATGACTGCAGCATAGCACGACTGAACAAGCGCAGGTGAGATGAGCTGCCGTCCCGCTCTGCTTCCTCCAACATGTTGATTCCTTAGGGGTACTGTAGCAGAGGCTCTCAGGCGCTTCTCCACGAACCATAAATCCCAGGGACTAAGAATCATTACATGAAATCAAAGCCAGTTTATTAGCAGTCCTAAACAAAAGAAATCACCAGGAGGAAAAGAAAAAAAAGCCCACCAGATTATGTACCCTACTGGGAGAAGATGCCTTGTCTTTTTTTTTTTTTTTTTTTTTTTTTCTGAGACAGGGTCTCACTTTGTTACCCAGGCTGGAGTGCAGTGATGCAATCATGGATCCCTGCAGCCTCGACCTCCTGGGCTCAAGTGATCCTCCCACCTCAGCTTTCCAGGTAGCTGGGACCACAGGTACACGCCACCACACCCAGCCAGTTTTTGTATATTTTGTAGAGATAGGGTTTTGTCACATTGCCCAGGCTGATCTTGAACACCTGAGCTCAAGCAATCTGCCCACCTTGGCCTCCAAAGTGCTGGGATTACAGGCGTGAGCCACTGTGCCCAGCCGATGTCTTAACGTTAGTAAATCTGTATAATTTCTTGGCATTAACAGGAAGCCAGAATTTTGTTTTGTTGTTAGGTGGTGTATCCTAGAATGGTGCTACTGGCCTTCTGTGAAAGCTAAGAAATCATTTCCTAGTATTTGCCTCATTGCTTTGAAACCAAATAAGATTTGATTGCTTCCTGATCCTTTTGCTGCTACCTGGTTTTGATTATTTTGGGGTCTCACTTTTCAGTTTCTTCATGATCTCTCCAACCGACCAGCAGGTCCACTGTTGGGCCTGGCTTAAGAAACACATGCCGAAAGACAGCAACCTGCTCCTGGAGGACGTCACCTGGAAGTACACAGGTACGGGGGTTCGGGCTCTGCCACGTCGAAAAGGCCAGCAGATGCAGATGTGTCCACGTTTGCCTTCTTTACATTTGACTCTCAAAAATGAACATTAGAGTTAGCATAAAAGAGGCTCTCTGGTCATAGAAAATTGATCTCTAGGGGATGCGGTGGCTGACGCCTGTAATCCCAGCACTTTTGGAGGCCGAGGTGGGAGGATCACTACTAGGTCAGGAGTTCGAGACCAACCTGGACTATATGGTGAAACCCCGTCTCTACTAGAAATACAAAAATTAGCTGGGCGTGATGGCACACGCCTGTAATCCCAGCTACTTGGGAGGCTAAGGCAGGAGAATCACTTGGACCCGGGAGGCAGAGGTTGCAGTGAGCCCAGATCGCACCACTGCACTCCAGCCTAGGCGAGTGAGACTCCATCTCAAAAAAAAAAAGCAAAGAAAATTGAGGGCTGGACACAGTGGCTTACACCTGTAATCCCAGCACTTTGGGAGGCTGAGGCGGGCGGATCATGAGGTCAGGAGTTCGAGACCAGCCTGGCCAACATGGTGAAACCCCATCTCTACTAAAAATAAAAAAATTAGCTGGACATGGTGGTGCATGCCTGTAGTCCCAGCTACTCATGAGGCTGAAGCAGGAGAATTGCTTGAATCTGGGAGGCAGAGGTTGCAATGAGCCAAGATCATGCCATTGCACCTCCACCTCCCGGGTTCAAGCGATTCTTCTGCTTCAGCCTACCAAGTAGCTGGGATTACAGGCGGCCGCCACCACGCTGGGCTAATTTCTGTATTTTTAGTAGAGATGGGGTTTCACCATGTTGGCCAGGCTGGTCTTGAACTCTTGACCTCATGATCCACCTGCTTCGGCCTCCCAAAGTGCTGGGATTACAGGCATGAGCCACCACGCCCAGCCCCCGTGAGTACCTAATTTTTAAGGATGACTTGGTTCCCTGATTTTCTCAACCTCAGCAGTCTTGGCTTAACCCCTCCCACCTTCCCACCTAACTGATCTTGCCCCTTGGCCCCACCAGCGTTTGCTCTCCCAGGCTCTCATTCTCAATTCCTTGTAGTAGCAAATATGATATACGTCCTGCTCCTGGATTGGGATACTACAGAATGTTACTGAACAAAAGTCATGTTCTCGCTTCTCTTAGGATGGATGACATGTAATTAGCACAAGCTGATGTCACAAACACTGGTGTCCAGAATAATGCTTTCCTTATCTAGTAAGCATTAGGATATGTTTGAAGTGGATTTAGCTTCTCTGAATTTAAAGTCTGTATACTTTTTGGTTGGGCAGATCTCCACCGGGTACTGATTTGGGGTTGGGGCTTCTTCCATCACATAGCCTTGCTGGGAAAAGGAGGAGAACGGGAATTGTGTGGGGTGGTTATGGCCAGCCCTGCTGCGTTCAGCAGGCCCTGTTGGCAGAGGTGTATTCGCCAGAATCGGGGTGCTTAGCATCCATCCTTGGAGTGTCTAAGCAAAGGGACATATTCCTGGTCTCTGCACCCAGGCCTGGCTATAGCTGAGCAAGTCTGCAGTAGACCTTTCCCATTGGCTCAGCTGTTCAGAAGGAGAGCTGGACATCTCTTGTTCTTTTCCATTTAGCCCTCAATCTGATTGGCCCTCGAGCTGTGGATGTGCTGTCTGAGTTGTCCTATGCCCCTATGACTCCAGACCACTTCCCAAGCCTCTTTTGCAAGGTGAGTGCTGATAAAGTTCTGTTTCTTAAATGGGCAGAGAATGTGTCTTTCATAGCGGTGGCAGTTACATATTCTTACTATGGTGTTAACATCCACAAAGAGTGTCTTGGCTGGGTGAGGTGGCACATGCCTGTAATCCTAGCACTTTGGGAGGCCGAGGCAGGTGGATCACCCAAAGTCAGGAGTTTGAGACCAGCCTGGCCAACATGGTGAGACCCTGTCTCTGTTAAAAATACAAAAATTAGCTGGGTATGGTCTCACGCACCTATAATCCCAGCTACTTGGGAGGCTGAGGCACAGGAATCGCTTGAACTCTGGAGGCAGAGGTCGCAGTGAGCCGAGAACACGCCACTGCACTCCACCTGGGTGACAGAGTGAGACTCTGTCTCAAATAAAAGAGTGTGCTGGCCAGGTGCAGTGGCTCACGCCTATAATCCCAGCACTTTGGGATTACATCTTATATTTATAAATAAATATAAAAATACAAAAATTAGCCGGGTGTGGTGGCGCATGCCTGTGGTCCCAGCTACTCGGGAGGCTGAGGCAGGAGAATGACTTGAACCTGGGAGGCAGATGTTGCAGTGAGCCGAGATTGCGCCATTGCACTCCAGGCTGGCAACAGAGCAAGACTGTCTCAAAAAAAAAAAAAAAAAAATGTGCTGCCCTTCATTAGCAAAGAAGTGACTAAGTATATTTATTTATTTATTTATTTATTTATTTATTTTGAGACAGAGTTTCACTCTTGTTGCACAGGCTGGCGTGCAATGGTGCGATCTCGGCTCACTGCAACCTCCACTTCCCGGGTTCAGGCGATTCTCCTGTTTCAGCCTCCCGAGTAGCTGGGATTACAAGCGCCCGCCACCATGCCCAGCTAACTTTTTGTATTTTTAGTAGAGACAGGGTTTCACCATGTTTGCCAGGCTGGTCTTGAACTCCTGACCTCAGGTGAACCACCCACCTCAGCCTCCCAAAGTGCTGGGATTACAGGTGTGAGCCACTGCGCCCGGCCTTATTTGTTTATTTTTTACACTCCAAGCTTGCTTTATTTAATAAGCATTAGGATATCTTTGAAGTGGATTTAGCTTCTCTAAATGTAAAGTCTTTATGCTTTTTGGTTTCTGTAGCACTGGATTAAAATTTGAAGTTACAGGATTATGACACACAAAAATGCCTTTCGAAGTTAGGTCCCTTCTCTCCATGCAGTGTGGCCTCTTTTCTGTACACAGAGTAACTTCTGTGTCTGTGGCATCTTCAGGGAAGAAATGGCGTAGGTGAATCTCTGAACTTCCTACATAATTTTCTTTCCTATAAGTGGCAACCACAGCTGAGTGAAACAAACTGTAACCGAATGAAAGCAATGACAACGGAATCCTCCCCAGGAAGCTGCTGATTAGAGAGGGCCAAACGGACAGACATCTTGGCCACCTGTAACGAGCAACTTCCAGGCGGTTACTGATGGAGACTCTTTGAAGTTCACCCAAAGTGGGATCCACCTACAAATTGTTTCACAGTTTTCCTTCTTCTCCGAGGCAAAGTGAAAGCAACAGAAAACTTTCCACTGTTAGCCATCAGTGGACCCCTCCCAGCGTTTGCTCTGCTGCTTGGAGGAGTGACCCATACGCTCAACACCTGGCGAGTGCTGCATCCTGTCAGCCTCCTGTGGAAGCGGTTCACTTCGGTGCTGTCCAGGACTTTCCACTTTCCTTTATAGGAACAGTGATTGCGTCAGTGGCCGCTGTTAGGGAACTGAGCTGCTATGTAACATGTTCTGAGAATCAGAAGCCCATCTTTGACCCCAGGATAGCAGATTAATTATGTCTGTGGGCATCGGGCATCATCTTTTGTATGGCAGGTGGCCAGGGTTTGTCTGCCGATTCCCCCAGAGAAGACACTCGCCTTGTCCTCATTGTGCCTGCTACCCTCGACTAACATAAGGACCTGGCAAAGAGGAATATTTTGTGCTTGTCAAGGACTTTCCTCCACTCTCTACCATCAGCTTGGCTAAAACTCCTGAGATGGTAACAGTAGCAAGCAGAGATGTCACATAGGCAGTGCTCCATTCTCGGTGCCTCAGGACCTGGAAGTTAACCACTTTTGGGATGAAATTCTTGCCTTGACGTCTGTCTCCCTCAACAGTAAACAGAGGGTGCAGCACTAATGAAAGGTTTCCCCAGGCGTCCCTCCCTTGACAAGCAATGTGAGTGCCCAGGCTGACTGCTGCCTTTGTCCCTGCAGGAGATGAGCGTGGGCTATGCAAATGGGATCCGGGTGATGAGCATGACGCACACAGGAGAGCCAGGATTCATGCTCTACATCCCCATAGAGGTGAGAGGGCCCCCTCCCCTCCCCTCCCCTCCCCTCCCCCACTGTGGGGTGCCAGTGCTCCCAGCAGCGCGTTCACCAGCACTGGCAGGTTTGGAGAGCTGTATCTGATTGGGCCTTGGGAACTGAGGTAGGCTGCATTGAAGAGATTTGACCATTTTTAACTAAGTTATATGAGTTTTTTTGAATAGGTGATACATTTAAAAAGTATTTGGCACCATCTCATCTGTTCTCACCAACTGTCACCAATAATATTAGTATTACTTTTATATGTCATTTCAGATTTGTATGCATATTGCAAGCAAATTCATAATGAATTTTTTTTTTTTGAGACAGGGTCTCACTCTTTTGCCCAGGGTGGAGTGCAGTGGCATGACCGTGGCTCACTGCAGCCTCGACCTCTTGGGCTCAAGCCACCCTCCCACCTCCGCCTCCCGAGTAGCTGGGACTGTAGGCATGTGCCACCATGCCTGGCTAATTTTTGTATTTTTTTGTAGAGACAGGTTTTGCCATGTCGCTCAGGCTGGTCTCAAACTCCTGACCTCAGGTGATACACCCACCTTGTCCTCCCAAAGTGCTGGGATTATAGGTGTGAGCCACCATACCCAGCCAAGCCCCCTTTTTAAAAACAGAAATGGAAGCATACTGCTATTCTTCATCCTGTTTTTTTTTTCACTTCACAATTTTTTTTTTAATTGAGACAGAGTCTCACTCTGTCACCTAGGGTGGAGTGTAGTGGCATAATCTCAGTTCACTGCAACCTTCGCCTCCCAGGTTCAAGTGATTGTCCTGCTTCAGCCTCCCAAGTAGCTGGGATTACAGGTGCACGCCACCACACCTGGCTAATTTTTGTATTTTTAGTACAGATGGGGCTTCACCATGTTGTCCACGCTTGTCTCCAACTCCTGACCTCAAGTGGTCCACACACCTCAGCCTCCCAAAGTGCTGGGATTACAGGCATGAGCCACTGTGCCTGGCCCCAGGTAATTTTTGAGTAGTTTTTTTTTTTTTTTTTAAGTATTTGTACTTTTGAGAATCTCATAGGTTAACATGTTTACAACAATCTCTTCATCTTGTCTTCTAAATCAGCCCCTTCTATTCCAGTTCCAGGAATAGTCAACCACGCCAGAAACCTGGGACTCACCTGGTCTCCCCACTCACCTCTCCCTCCACCTCCCGCTCATTACCCAGCCTCACAGGGCTGTCTCCTCAGTGCCTCTCCTCTGTTCGGACCTCACTGTCCCCACCACTGCTGCTGTGGCAGAGAGGGTTGTCAGCCCTGACTTCGAGAACAATCTCTTACTGATTTTCCTGCTTCTCATGTCATCCCCCCTCCCTCTGCAGGGTTGTCTTTTTAAAACGGGAGGTCACTTTACTCACTGCCTTGAAACCCTCAAGGGACTCCCCTTTGTCGTGAGACCAAGCTCTCAGTCCATAGCCTGGCCAGCCAGGGTCTCCAGGGTGTGGCAGGCCACGCTGCCCCAGGGCTGCGGCCTGCACTGCGTGTGATGTGGGTCCTGCAGCCGAGTGCGTGCTCCCCATCCACAGCTGGATCTCACCTCGAATCCTGCTTTCCAGTCACACTGAGGTTTCCCACTCCCATATTTGCTCACTAAAATGCATCCTGGCAGCCCTCCCCTGTGCTTGTGGAAAGTCGCGAATTGAGGATCACATGAACCCCCACTCCCCCAAGTTGTCCTGACAGAGACCTCCTGTCTTTCATTTGATTGATTGATTGAGACGGAGTTTCGTTCTTCTTGCTTAGGCTGCTGGAGTGCAGTGGCAAGATCTCGGCTCACCACAACCTCCGCCTCCCAGGTTCAAGCAATTCTGCCTCAGCCTCCTGAGTAGCTGGGATAACAGGCATGCGCCACCGTGCCTGGCTAATTTTGTATTTTTAGTAGAGACGAGGTTTCACTATGGTGGTCATTGGTCAGGCTGGTCTCGAACTCCTGACCTCAGGTGATCCACCCACCTCAGCCTCCCAAAGTGCTGGGATTACAGGCGTGAGCCACGGCGCCTGGCCCCTCCTGTGTTTCAAAAGCTCAGCCCAAGACCACCATCATCCCACAGTGGAGCCTTTCCTTCCCCAAGAGAATGGCCCCTTTGGGGTTCTCACACACCCGTTTCTGATGTGTCTTTATTTGGTTATCTGCCCTGCTCGTTCTGTAAGTCCCTCTGAGAAAGACTCGAATTCTCCCAAACTCCAACACCTCACGTGGTGTTTGGTGTTTAACAGGTGATTAAATGAATGGGCAAAAAGTGGAGGGCAAAATCTTTAAAATGTCTTTTAAGATTTAAGGATTTTAGGCCAGGTGCGGTGGCTCACACCTGTAATCCCAGCACTTTGGAATGCCGAGGCAGGTGGATCACCTGAGGTTGGGAATTTGAGACCAGCCTGACCAACATGGAGAAACCTTGTCTCTACTAAAAATACAAAATTAGGCGTGATAGCGCATGCCTATAATCCCAGCTTCGAGGGAGGCTGAGGCAGGACAATCGCTTGAACTCGGGAGGTGGAGGTTGCAGTGAGCCGAGATCATGCCATTGCACTCCAGCCTGGGCAACAAGAGTGAAACTCTGTCTCAAAAAGAAAAAAAGATTTAAGGATTTTAAATGTTTGATTTTTTTTTTCTTTTTGAGATAGAGTCTTGCTTTGTCGCCAGGCTGGAGTGTAGTGGCGTGATCTCGGCTCACTGCAACCTCTGACTCCCTGGTTCAAGGGATTCTCCCACCTCAGCCTCCCGAGTAGCTGGGATTACAGGCACACGCCACCACGCCCAGCTAATTTTTTGTATTTTTAGTAGATACGGGGTTTCACCATGTTGGCCAGGATGGTCTCGATCTCCTGACCTTATGATCTGCCCACCTCAGCCTCCCAAAGTGCTGGGATTACAGGCGTGAGCCACCGCGCCTGGCCTGAAAATTTTTAAATGATTGTTTGCCGACTTTACAACAGGATGCTGTTGTTGTTCACAGGCCAGTAGGTGGCGCTGTGGCACGTGATCTGAGCCTCCTGGATTCACACAACTGTTCATGTGGAGAACCCAGTGCCGGGGACCCATTAGCACCCCAGTCAGGCTATGCGTCTCCCTCCCAAGGGTGCTCACCTGGTGTGGCCTCCATGGCACAGGGGGAGTGAGATGAGGCTCCTTTAGTACACCCTCCCTTGAGAAGAGCGACGTGTGCTTACCCTCCAGTGGCTTGTTCTCATGAAAGGCTCCACAGTTAGGGACCTTCAGATGCTTAGATCTGGGGTGTCACCTGACTCAAGCCCCTCAGAATCCCAGATTGTTGTGGTGGGTCAAGGGCATGGGGCTTTGGGTTTACTGGCCTGGGTCTGAATGCCAGCATTGCCTCTTCCTTGGTGTATACGACCTTGGGTGGTTACCTTTCCTAGGCCTCTGTTTACTTGTTTTAAAATGGACAGTGATGCCTACTTTATAGGGTTGTTATGAAACTCAAGTAATGAATATAAAATACTTGACCCAGACTGGCATGGTGGTTCACGCCTGTAATCCCAACACTGGGAGGCCAAGGTGGGAGGATCGCTTGAGCCCAGGAGTTCAAGACCAGCCTGGGCAACTTAGGGAGACCCCCGTCTCTACCAAAAATAAAAAAATTAGCCAGGTATAGTGGTGCGTGCCTGTAGTCCCAGCTACCCGGGAGGCAGAGGTGAAAGGATCGCTTCAGCCCAGAAGTTCAAGACTGCAATGAGCCGTGATCGTGCCACCGCACTCCAGCCTGGGTGACAGATCAAGGCCCTGTCTCAAAAAATAAATTAACAGATCAGGCGCAGTAGCTCACACCTGTAATCCCAGCACTTTGGGAGGCTGAGGCAGGAGGATCGCTTGAGCCCAGGAGTTCAAGACAAGCCTGGGCAACTTAGGGAGACCCCGTCTCTACCAAAAATCAAAAAATTAGCCAGGTAGAGTGGTACGTGCCTATAGTCCCAGTTACCCGGGAGGCTGAGGTGAAAGGATCGCTTCAGCCCAGAAGTTCAAGACTGCAATGAGCCATGATTGCGCCACTGCACTCCAGCCTGCGTGACAGATCAAGGCCCTGTCTCAAAAAATAATTAATTAAATACTTGACCCATTGCACGATCTTTCCATGCACGACAGCTGCTCTTCTATTATTCTTCCAGGATGAACTGCACAGCCTGCCCCCTTGGGTTTCCAGGTTGTGGGAGATGAGCAAAACTGAATGACCTCAGTAGGCCAAGAGCAAAGGATGTGGGTCCAGACCTGGTGGCCAGTTGCTTGTGACAGGAGCTGGGCTGGAGTCCCCAAGTGCCACTAGTGCTGACATCTTTTAACTGTGTTCATCCTCAAGGTTCATCCATGGGTCAGAATTTACTTTTTAAGGCTGAAGAATATTCTGTTGTATCTTTTTTTCTTCTCCATTCATCCCTTGGTGGACATTTGTGTTACTTCCATGTTTTAGCCATTGTGGATAGTGCTGCTGTGAACACAGATGGACAAATACCCCCGAGACCTTGCTTTCAGTTCTTTTGGGGATATACTCAGAAGTGAAATTTCTAGTCTGGGTGCATTGGCTCACGCCTCTAATCCCACCACTTTAGGAGGCCGAGGCGGGTGGATACCTGGGGCCAGGAGTTCGAGACCAGCCTGGCCAACATGGTGAAACCCCATCACTACTAAACATACAAAAATTAGCCGGGTGTGATGGCAAGTGCTTGTAATCCCAGCTACTCAGGAGGCTGAGGCAGGAGAATCGCTTTGAAACCGGAAGGCAGAGGAGCTAAGATCGTGCCACTCCACTCCAGCCTGAGCAACAAGAGTGAAACTCTGTCTCAAAAAAAAAAAAAGAAATTTCTGGATCATATGGTAATTCTTTTTTTTTTTTCTTTTTTTAAGACGGAGTCTCACTCTTGTCACCAGGCTGGAGTGCAGTGGTGCAATATTGGCTCACTGCAACCTCTGCCTCCTGGGTTCAAGCAATTCTCCTGCCTCAGCCTCCCGAGTAGCTGGGACTACAGGTGCGCACCACCACACCCAGCTAATTTTTGTATTTTTAGTACAGATGGGGTTTCACCGTGTTGGCCCAGATGGTCTCGATCTCTTGACCTTGTGATCCGCCCACCTCAGCCTCCCAAAGTGCTGGGATTACAGGCATGAGCCACCAGGCCCGGCCGATAATTCTATTTTTTATGTTTATTTTTTAGAAACAGAGTTTCACACTGTCACTCAGGCTGGAGTGCAGTGGTATGATCATAACTCACTGCAGCCTTGAACTCCTGGGCTCAAGTGATCCTCCTTCCTCAGTCTCCTGAGTAGCTGGGACTACAGATGTGATGCTACCATGCCTGACTTTTTATTTTTTGTAGAGATGGGTTCTTGCTATGTTGCCTAGACTGGTCTCGAACTCCTGGCTTCAAGCGATCCTCCTGCCTCAGCCTCTCAAAGTGTTGGGATTACAGGTGTGAGCCACCACACCCAGCGTCATTCTATTTGTAATTTTTTGAGGAACTTCCATAGTGTTTTCTACATTAGCGGTACCATTTTACATTCTCACCAACAATGCACAAGGATTTCAGTTTCTCCACATCCTCACCAACATTTGCTCTTTTCTTGTTTTTATTTTTAATAGGAGCTCTCCTAATGGGTGTGAGGTGATATCTCATTATGGTTTTGGCTCACATTTCTCTAGCGATGTTGGGCATCTTTTCATGTACTCACTGGTCAAATGTTTATCTTGTTTGGAGAATTGTCTATTCAAGTCCTTTGTGATCATGGTTTTCTTTTTGATGCTTGCTATAATTTTGGTCTCTTTAGTTGGACTCCGGTGCTATTTTCCTCAGTATATTTGATGGTCTACCACAGGGGTCCCCAACCCCTGAGCCACAGACCAGTGTGAGTCCGTGGCCTGTTAGGAACTGGCCTGCACAGCAGGTGAGCAGCAGTTGAGTGAGCGAAACTCCATCTATGTTTACAGCTGCTCCCCGTTGCTCACATTACCACCTGAGCTCTGCCTCCTGTCGGATTAGCAGCCTTGTTAGATTCTCATATGGGAGCATGAACCCAATTGTGAATTCCGCGTGTGTGGGATCTAGGTTGCACACCCCTTGTAAGAATCTAATGCCTGATGATCTGAGGTGGAACAGTTTCATCCTGAAACCATACCCCCGTCCCAATCTGCGGAAAAATTGTCTTCCATGAAACCAACCGGTCCCTGGTGCCAAAAAGGTTGGGGACCACTGGCTTACAAGATACTCTATTCCCATCTTTAGTTCTCTTGCCCCAAACATAGAATTAACTACTCTACTAGCTGTGTTTGTTCTTTTGGTGTAAAAAAATGATTTGAATTCAAAACATGGGGTTCTGTCAAAATAGCACAGTGAATTTGTGAATTGATCATGTCTCTGCTCCAAATAAAGAAACAAACTACAAGAAGAGAAAAAAACAAAAGAACTGGTTCAAAAACAAGATAAAGAATTCCACACGCCAGAAACACAGCAAAAGCGCAAAACGTGGGACGAGAATGAAGCTGTGGGCTTGTTGCATGTGGGGCCTGGCAATCGGGCTGAGAGTTCAGCTGCTGTGGGCTGAAGGGGTCTGAATAAACTCCAGCATAGAGGGGACAGGGCCAGCTCACTGCTTCCTCCCGTTTCATGCAAACCAGCAAACAGAGACAAAGGCAAACTGCCGCTGCTGTGCACCTGGGCTATGGCTTCGAGAACAAACGACTAAGGAGATGGAAACTCACCAAGCCAAACCCACTTCATGGGTTCTGAACAGGGTCTGTGTGATCTTCCTAGGTTACCCAGGCCAGAGTCCCAAACTGCCATTCGAAGATCAGACCGTAGAAGTGTGGATGCCCCGATGGACAGGAGCGGGTAGCTGCAGAAGCATTAGGCAGGAAAGAGCAAAGGAGCACAGGAGAGCCGGTGAAAGAGCAGCTCCTTAGGCAACATGTTTGCCTCCTCCTGTTTCCATGGAAGACATCACAGGGGTGGGTCTCTCACCTGCTGGCCTTTGCTGTAAAGGGATCGGGTGGCAAGTGAGCCTCTTCACTGAGGCCCCAGATGTTACTGTTCGGGGCTGTCTATTCCAGGGTGACTGGTTTCTCTAGAGATGACTCCTCCGGTCTCCTGCCTGGGGAGGAGGACGTGCCTGAGCCAGGGTACGCCTGCATGTAGATTTCCTGGGGACAGACAGCAGGAAGGAACCGAGCTTTCAGAGCCCAGGCCCCCAGCCTTACCTTTTCTCCTGCTTTCCTCCCCTGCTCCTTCTCCCAGCCTGCAGCTTTGACTCAGGTCCTCAGTCTTGGAGCTTGACTCCATCTCTCGTCTCCTGCAGCTGGGAGCGGGCAGGTAGCCAGGCTGTGTGGGGCTTGGAGAGGACCTGGGTGTCCCACCCTTTTGTAGAGAAACTTGTAGCTGCCCCAGTTTTCAGCTCTCTGCCTCACTCCTGCTTCCTGCTGCCCCCAAGTACTCAGTCTCTTGCAAGCTCTGCAGAGCTCATTTCTTTTTCTTTCTTTCTTTCTTTCTTTTTTTTTTTTTTTTGAGACAGGGTATCACTCTGTCATCCAGGCTGGAGTGCAATGGCGCAATCATGGCTCACTGCAGCCTTGACATCCTGGGCTCAGGTGATCCTCCCAACTCAACCTACCAAGTGGCTGGGCCTGCTCAGCTGATTTTTAAATTTTTTGTGGAGACGGGTTTTGCCATGTTGCCCAGGCTGGTCTCAAACTCCTGAGCTCAAGCGATGCTCCTGAGTTGGCCTCCCAAAGTTCTGGTATTATAGGTGCGAGACACCACACCCCGCCTTTTTTTTCTTTTGAGACAGGGTCTCCCTCATTTGCCCAGGCTGAGTGCAGTGGTGGTGCCATCACAGCTCACTGCAGCCTTAACCTCCTGGGCTCAAGCGACCTTCCTGCCTCAACCTCCTGAGTAGCTGGAACCACAGGCACACCCCACCGTGTCTGGCTATTTTTTGTATTTTTTGTAGAGACCAGGTCTCACTATGTTGCCCAGGCTGCTCTCAAACTCCTGGTCTCAAGTGATCTTCCTGCCTCAGCCTCCCAAAGTACTGGGATTATAGGCATGAGCCTCTGCGCCTGGCCTATTTGGTTGTTTTTTAAAAAATAATTTTGGGCTGGGTGCAGTGGCTCATGCCTGTAATCCCACCACTTTGGGAGTCTGAGGCAGGTGGATCACGAGGTCAGGAGTTCGAGACTAGCCTGGCCAACATGGTGAAACCCTGTCTCTACTAAAAATACAAAAAATAGCCAGGTGTGGTGGCAGGTGCCTATAATCCCAGCTACTCAGGAGGCTGAGGCAGGAGAACTGCTTGAACCCAGGAGGCGGAGATTGCAGTAAGCCAAGATTGTGCCACTGCACTCCAGCCTGGGTGACAGAGCAAGACTCTGTCTCAAAAATAAATAAATAAATAAATAAATAATTTTGGGGCTCTAGTAAGAAGAGATGGCTGATCTGCTCTCTGTTAACTTCCTCTCCTTTGATAGATGTGCCTGGGGGCAGAAGAGGGGCAGCTTGCAGATGGCAGCCTGTGCATAGAGGCCCTGAAGGGGCTTGTCTGTTTTTATTATACTGACTTTCAACTAACTTGACTGCTGCTGCCTCTGCCTTTCTCAGTCCTGAGCCTTTCCGGGTTCTGCAGGGCTCACCAGAGCCCTCCTTGGTTAAGCTCTTTCTGCCTGAATTCTTGGCCAGGGCTTCCTCTGCCTGGCCACTCCACCTGCCTGACACCTCCTAGAAATGTGTTGAACTCTGGTCCACCTCTCAGATGCTACCCTTCAGATTGGGCCAACTGGATAGAGCAAAATGGAAAAATTTTAATATTCCTTCACTGCCATTCTGATGGGGTCTTGGGAGGAAGAAAATAGAAACACATTTCAGAATGGAGTTCTTGCTCATTATCTAAGATGTTTTTGTTTTTTTGAGACAGGGTCTCACTCTGTTACCCAGGCTGGAGTGCAGTAGTGCAATCTCAGTTCACTGCAACCTCCGCCTCCCGGGTTCAAGCGATCCTCCTGCCTTAGCCAAGTGGCAGTAACTACAGGCGCAGGCCACCACGCCCGGCTAATTTTTGTATTTTTAGTAGAGACGAGGTTTCACCATTGTGGCCAGGCTGGTCTTGAACTCCTGACCTCAGGTGATCAGCCTGCCTTGGCCTCCCAAAGTGCTGGGATTACAGGTATGAGCCACCGCATCCAGCTCATTAGCCAAGATGAACCTCATTGTGCCGACTTCCCTAAGAGCACTGACTGGCTTCCTTATGCTGGGAGAGGGTGGAAGATGAGGGGCATGGGATGGGGGTAGGTGGATGGAGTGGGGTAGGGGAAGGGGAATAGGTGGGATGGGTTAGCTTTGCTTTCTTATCTCCAAAGCCAATGGTGGCAATAGGTAGTTCTGTTTATAAACAAGAGGGTGGCCAGGCATGGTGGCTCATGCCTGTAATCCCAACACTTTGGGAGGTGGAGGCAGGTGGATTACCTGAGGTCAGGAGTTTGAGACCAGCCTGGCCAACATGGTGAAACCCCGTCTCTACTAAAAATACAAAAAATAGCCAGGTACGGTGGCGGGCACCTGTAGTCCCAGCTACCTCGGAGGCAGAGGTTGCAGTGAGCCAAGATCGCACCACCACACTCCAGCCTGGGTGGCAGAGGGAGACCCTGTCAAAAAAAAAAAAAGAGAGATATTTTACTTCTGCATTTTCCACTAACAGTATGCTCATTCTAAGACATTAATTAGGCACCAAATTAAGAAAGAAAACCCCACTGTATCCTATTCTTGATTACTCTAGTGAGTTCTTGTTCCTATCTGTGTTAGTGATTACTGGAAAGGGTGTTCTGATCCAGACTCCAAGAGAGGGTTCTCGGATCTCATGTGAGAAAGAATTCAGGGCGGGTCCACAGAGTAAAGTGCAAGCAAGTTTATGAGAGAAGTAAAGAAACAAAAGAATGGCTATTCCACAGACAGAGCAGCACTGAGTGCTGCTGCTTGGCTATTTTTAGGGTTATTTCTTGATTAAATGCTAAATATGGGGTGGATTATTCATGAGTTTTCCAGGAAAGGGGTGGGGATTTCCCTTCTTTTCTATCATGTAAGGTCACTTCTGGACATTTTTATGGCCCTTGTAAGCTGTCACATGCTGGTAGAAGTGTCTTTTAGTATGCGAATGTAATACAATTGGCGTTTAACGAGCAGTGTGGCGAATGTAATACAATTGGCGTACAATGAGGTCACTTTGGTTGCCATCTTGGTTTTGGTGGGCTTTGGCTGGCTTCTTCACTGCAATCTGTTTTATCAGCACGGTCTTTATGACCTGTATTTTGTGATACCAGTCTTGCCAACCTCTGTCCTGTGACTGAGAATGCCTAACCTCCTGGGAATGCAGCTCAGCAGATCTCATCCTCATTTTATCCAGCCCCTGTTCAAGATGAAGTCACTCTGGTTCGCATGCCTCTGACAGTAGGTGGACTTTTTTTTTTTTTTTTTTTTTGAGACAGTTTTGCTCTTGTTGCCCAGGCTGGATAGAGTGCAATGGCGTGATCTCGGCTCACTGCAACCTCCGCCTCCTGGGTTCAAGTGGTTCTCCTGCCTCCACCTCCCAAGTAGCTGGGATTACAGGCACCCGCCACCATGCCCAGCTGATTTTTGTATTTTTAGTAGAGATGGGGTTTCACCATGTTGGCCAGGCTGGTCTCCAACTCCTGACCTTTGGTGATCCACCTGCCTCGGCCTCCCAAAGTGCTGGGATTACAGCTGTGAGCCACTGCTCCTGGCCTAGTAGGCGGACTTCTTAGGTGGCCTCCAGTGTTCCCCTCCTGGTATTCCCACCTTCATGGTGTAAACCCCTCCCCTTGAGAGTGAGCTGCCCTAGTGACTTGCTTCTACCCAGTGGCACATGGCCCAGGTGATGGGATGTCACTTCTGTGATTCAGTTGTAATCTGTCTCACTGACTCTCTCCCTTGCCTGCTGGCATGTGTGCTCTGATGGCGCAAGCTGCTGAGTTAGGCCCATGTGGCATGGGACTGAAGGCAGCCTTATGTCAACAGCTAGCAAGGAACTGAGGCCCTTAGGCCCACAGCCCATGAGGAACTGAATCCTGCCAACAGCCATGTGAGCTTGGAACTGGATCCTTCTGTTGCTGAGCTGGGGGTGACTACAGCTCACCTGCAGCTGGTGAGCAACTCAAAGCAGAGACCCAGGTGAGCCGGGCCTGGACCCCTGAGCCAAGGAAACTGTGAGATAACAAATGTGTGTTGTAAGCAGCTGACTGTTAACGGAAATTTTCTAGGCAGCCATAGGTAACCAGTACACCATGCTAGGTCAGATTAAATGTCCTCAGATTAGCATCCCTTCCATTCCCTGGTTCCTGAATGTGGCCATGATTTTTAATGCATGAAAGAGCCATGGCAGGGAGATTATCTGTAGGTCAATAAAATCATACTAACCAGGAACACAGGCTGATTGCCCTTCTTCCTCTTCTTGGGGAAAGAGAATACTGGGAAGTGGGATTAATTTTAATCCCTCCCCAAGACCCCAGTTTCCAGCCTGATATCATTTGCCCAGCAGTGCCAGTGGTCCCAGGCCCTCAGGTCTGGCCCAGTCTGCGACTGCGGCTTTCTGCCTTGAGATGTCATTAGTTCTTGTCTGGGCCTTCAGCCAAACATGGTTGGCAAGAGTCATGTCCAGTCTCTCAAGGACAATTTTGGGGCCGTTTCCTGTGTAATTATAGGGTGAGCAGCAGGGTAGATGGTGCTATTACAGCAGCAAATTAGCCTGAAGGGCGGCCTCTGCAGCTCTAGGACTCCCACGGAGGCTGGCTTAGGACACAGCTCTCGCCTCTGTGATGGCCTCCCCATAAGTATCTGGGGTCTGGTGGGCTGTGGGTGCAGAAGCATTGTTTCTTCTGGGAGGGTATCCATTTCACCCCCAAACCTTTGGATTTTATTTTGTGTTATTTATTTATTTTTGAGACAGGGTCTTGCTCTGTTGCCCAGGCTGGAGTGCAGTGGTGCGATCTATCTAGGCTCACTGCAGCCTCAAACTCCTGGGCTCAAGCAATCCTCCCACCTCAGCCTCCCGAGTAGCTGGGACTATACGCACATGCCACCATGCCTGGCAAATTTTGTCTTGTTTTTTTGAGACAGGGTCTCACTTTGTCACCCAGGCTGGAATGTACACGGCTAATGAAATTTTTTTTTTTTTTTTTTTTTTTGTTGAGACGGTCTCATTATGTTGCCCAGGTTGGTCTCAAACTCCTGGCCTCAAGGGATCCTCCCGCCTTGGCCTTCCAAAATGCTAGGATTACAGGTGTGAGCCACTGCGCCTGATTTGAACGTTTGGATTTTATAGTCAAGGTCTGCTGACTCTCTGTCATTGGTCCACACTGGTTAAAATCTGGAATGTCTGTGTGTGGGGTACATGAGAAGTAGCCTGAGTGGTAAATGTTGACTGTTATCCTGTCCCTGCACTCCATATGTGGTACTCACCCCTAAGCATCAGCTTTCTGCCAAGGGCACAGGATGCCTCTTGATAAATATTATATGGCAGAGAAGAGTGCAGGAGAAAGGGTCTACTTTGGATAGGATTTTAGGGAAAGCAACTCAAAAGAGGTGTTTCAGCCTAATGACCTGAAAGGTAAGAAGGAGCCAGAAGGCCGGGTGCAGTGTCTCACGCCTGTCATCCAAGCACTTTGGGAGGCTGAGGCGGGTAGATCACCTGAGGTCAGGAGTTTGAGACCAGCCTGGCCAACATGGTGAAACCTCGTCTCTACTAAAAATACAAAAATTAGCCAGGTGTGGTGGTGGGTGCCTGTAATCCCAGCTACTCAGGAGGCTGAGGCAGGAGAATCACTTGAACCTGGGAGGTGGAGGTTGCAGTGAGCCGAGATTGCGCCACTGTACTCTAGCCTGGGCGACAGAGTCTCAAAAAAAAAAAGAAGAAGAAAGAGAAGGAGGAGGAGGAAGAGGAGAAGAAGGAGAAGAAAGGAGGAGGAGGAGGAGGAGAAGGAGAAGAAAGAAGAAGAAAGAAGGAGAAGGAAAGAAAGAAAGAAAGAAGAATCAGCCAGCCAAGTAAAGAGCTGGAGGAGGAACGTCCAGGGTTAGAAGCATCCAGTGCAGCCATCTGAGTGGGAAGGAGGCTGGCCTGTTCTGAGAGTGGGTTGAGGCTGGGGTGGCTGAGCAGGGGCAGCATGAGAGGAGATCCATAGGTTGGTGCAGGTCCAGGTCATGCAGGGACCCGTGAGCCCCGATGAAGAGCTTGGGTTTTCATTCCAAGAGCAGTGGGAAGCCCCTGGAAGCTCAGGCACAGGAGAGGTGTGACCCGAGGTACACCTAAGAAAGATCACTGCAAAGGCAGCATGGAGCATGGGTCCCCTGGAGCTGGAGGGGATGCAGGGAGGGTGGTTAGGAGGCACCGTGGTCATCCAGGAGAGGCAATGGCTTTGGGTTAGGTGTTGACTTCATATGCAGTGGAAAATGGAAAGACTCGTGCTGTCTTCGGGGTGCAATTAACATGATTTTGCCAGTGGATTGGAAATGGTGCATGAGAGAAAGAGCAAAGTCAAGGATGACGTCTTCATTTTTGGCTTAAGAAACTGGGAAGAGGATGGTACCATTTAATCTGATGCAAAAGCCTGGAGCAGGGGAGCTGCAGAGGCCGGAGATGAAGACTGTCTGGAGGAAACAAAGGTGAATTCCTGTCTCTTACCACAAACAAGGTGAAAGTTTTATAAAAGTCTTAACCTACAAGGGCAAAGAGAACATAGGAGGACTCGGTGGCAGACGAGGATGGCCAACATAGTTTTACAAGGCAGACAGCAGGTGGAGGATTGTAATTGATGAAGCAGAGCAAGAAGCTGCACTGCACGGGAGGCCGATGAGAAATGAGCCACTCTGTCTAGTAGACCACTTGAGAGACTCAGGGTTTGGGGACAGCAAGAAGGCAAGAGCGATACTAGGGTCTAAAAACAAGTGGAGTAGGCTGGGCGCAGTGGCTCACACCTGTAATCCTAACACTTTTGGAAGCTGAGGTGGGCGGATCATGAAGTCAGGAGTTTGAGACCAGCCTGGCCAACACGGTGAAACCCCATCTCTACTAAAAATAATTAGCCGGGCATGGTGGTGTGCACCTGTAGTCCAAGCTACTCAGGAGGCTGAGGCAGGAGAATCACTTGAACCTGGGAGGGGGAGGTTGCAGTGAGCGGAGGTTGTGCCACTGTACTCCAGCCTGGGCAACAGAGTGAGACGCCGTCTCAAAACAAACAAAAACAAGTGGAGTAGTTAAGCAACCGCATACAGAGGAGTTGGACACCCACCTCCCCTCCCAGACCCCAGCTCCTGCCCATTCTCCAACTGCCGCAGACCAGAAGTGTATTCAGGCCCAAGGCTTGGGGACTTGAGGGACAACAGAAGGCTAGGGAGGTGCAGAGCTGAAAATCGGCAGATAGATAGAAGTCTTGAAACTTGAAGTGGAGGCTGAGTGCGGTGGCTCACACCTGTAATCCTAGCACTTGGGAGTCTAAGGTGGGGAGACTAGCCTGGGTAACATAGCAAGACACTTGTCTCTACAAAAAATTAGCCAGGCGTGGTGGCGCACGTCTGTAGTTCCATCTACTTGAGAGGCTGAGGTGGGAGGATCGCTTGAGCCTGGGAGGTCAAGCTGCAGGGAGCTATGATCATACCACTGCACCCTCAGTGACAGAGTGAGACCCTGTCTCTCAAATAAAAATAAAAAACTTGAAGTGGATGAAAAGATCTAATATGAAAGGTGAAAATATAAAGCTAATGATGTGTAAGTATGAGAATAGATTTGGGACTTTAAGCTGGGGAAGGACTTCTTAAATATGATTCACAAAGCACTAACCATAGGGGAGAATGGATAGATTTGTCTACATCAAAATAGAGGATTTCTGTTCCACGAAGCTCCCCACAGATAAAGTAACAGACAGATGGGACTGACTGAAGAGAGTTGCCACACAAAACCGAAACAGGAGTTGTTTCCTGAATATTCAAGGGATGTCTGCAAATCAACAAGAAAAAGAAAAGAAACTCAATAGAAAAAAAGATGAGCAAAAGATAGAAGTAGCAATTCACAGAAGGGGCAATAAACATGGCCGTGGGGAGAAAGCTCTATCAAAGTAACTTCAGAATACTATTGCAGTCCTAAGATCTATAAAAATTGGGAAGTTGGGTAATACGCAGTGTTAGGTTAGCAAGCATATTAATAAGGGACCATCACAATCATACTTACACAGGATATAATGTGTGCAGGCTCTGCTCCAAGCCCCTTATATGTAATATTTTGTGTAATTTTCCTGACAAATCTATGAAGCAGGTGGTTTTATTATTCCCATTTTGCAGATGAGAAAATGGAGATAGAGATTTGTCTTTTTCACTCTGTCGCCCAGGCTGGTGTGCTATAGTGCGATCTCAGCTCACTGCAACCTCTGCCTCCTGGGTTCAAGCAATTCTCCTGCCTCAGCCTTCTGAGTAGCTGGGATTACAAGCATGCATCCTGGCTAACTTTTTGTATTTTTAGTAGAGATGGGGTTTCACCATGTTGGCCAGTCTGGTCTCCAACTCCTAACCTCAGGTGATCCCCCTGCCTCGGCCTCCCCAAGTGCTAGGATTACAGGTGTGAGCCACCGCGTCCGGCCAAATAGCCTGAACACCTACTAGTTTATACATCTTGGATTCCAAGTCAAGCCATCTGACTTGAGTCCATGCTTTAAGCTGCTAAAATATACTGTGGTTTCAGAAATGGTAACCTCATGAACTGTGAGTAGGAGCATAAAGGACTGCAGCCACTCTAGTGTGCAATCTGGCTGTACTTAGAGACATGAACTATGCCTATATTCTATGTTCCTGCAAACTCCTGGACATGGACTCCACAGAAACTTGCTCAGGTCCTTATGAGGACATGTGGTAGCTTTGTTTGTGGCGGTGGAGAGCTGGAAGTAACCCAAGTGTCCAGCACTAGGAGGTAGGTAACTAAACCATGGCAGATGACTACAGTGGATCCCCACCTTAGTGGACTAGCAGCGTAGGCAGAGTTACGTCATGACGACAAACAGCCCTGAAATCTCAATGGCTGAACCCAAGTTTTATTCCAGCTAACATCAAATTGAATGCAAGGCAAGTGTTTCTCTAGGACATCTCTGCTCTCTAAAGGGACTCAGCAGTCAGGCTGCACCCTGTGTGACTTGCCATCTCAACATGTCCCTCCTCTATCGCCCAGGCGAGAGAGACAGGAGAGGGTTTTCACTGTCTCAGTCTCACTCTCTCATCAGGCTGGAGTGCAGTGGCCCGATCTCGGCTCACTGCATCCTCTAACTCCCTGGTTCAAGCAATTCTCCTGCCTCAGCCTCCCAAGGAGCTGGGATTCCAGGCATGCACCACCACTCCCAGCTAATTTTTGTATTTTTAGTAGAGACGGGGTTTCACCATGTTGGCCAGGCTGGTCTCTCTCCTGACCTTGTGATCCACCCACCCTTGCCTCCCAGAGTGCTGGGATTACAGGCGTGAGGCACTGCGCCCGGCCTGCTTATATTTTTTCATTGTCCAGAACTCATCTCGTGGCCTTCTCTGGAGCAAAGGGGTGGCAAGTGTAGTCTGCAGTATGTCCAGGAAAGAGGAATGTGGAACAGGATTTGGGAACACATAGTACTGTTGCTGCCACCAGCAGTTACAAGCTATGAACTGAATGAATCTATACATACAGCCATGAAGACATGTCTTTAAAACATAGTTTTGAGTTTTAAAAAAAGGTAGGAAAGAATGAGATTAAAGGGAAACTTATAGAAATTAAAACACATGCACATAGAACATTATGCTGCATGGGCTGGGTACGGTGGCTCACGCCTGTAATCCCAGCACTTTGGGAGGCTGAGGTGGGCGGATCACCTGAGGTCAGGAGTTCAAGGACATTATGCTGCATGTTCTTCGCGGATCCATCCATATCTAAGGACATTTATTAAACACATTGAAGTGGCTATAGCTTATGTGTGTGGGAAGGAAGGGTGGTTAGAATGATAGAGGAAATCAGGTAAAAAAAATCAAAGGACACGTTTGATGATGGTGATGATGATGATGGCAGTCATGAACTGAGGAGTGAGATTCATGCCACTCTACATTTGAGGTTCTTTCTCCAGCCATGTAACTCTGGCAATGGAGTAGAATAGGGAGGAGGGGGAAGGTGAGAACGTAGGTAGAAAGAGCTGTTGGGCAACTGTAGCAATAAAACAGAAAAGAGATGAATGTTTGCACATAGGCAGGGGCAGCAGGAATGCAGAAGGGCAGGTGTCAGAGAGCGTCCACGTGGTAGGACCCACAGGACCAGGTGGCTGAATGCAGAGGCTGAGGCTGAGCAGGGCGGCCAGTATGGCTCCTGTGTTCTGATGGCGTGTAGTGGCGTGACCAGCCAGGGTCTGGAAGAAAGAGGAATGAGTATTGGAATCAGAGGCATCAGATAACGATGTGGGATTCTTTAAGATATCAGTTGAGTCAAATGAGTGTCTAGAGAAAATGGAGCCAAAGGAGCTCAGGAGGGTCCAAGAAGCAGTTAAGAGTACCATGATAGAAGTGCCAGGGATCAAGTCAGGGAGGTAAGGTAATATGGTTTCGTTGTGTCCCCATCCAAATCTCATCTTGAACTGTAGCTCCTGCAATTCCTACATGTCACTGGAGGGACCCAGTGGGAGGCAATTGAATCATGGGGGTGAGTCTTTTCCATGCTGTTCTCATAATAGTGAATAAGTTTCACCAGATCTGATGGTTTTATAAAGAAGAGTTCCCAAGCACAAGTTCTCTCTTGTCTTCCGCCATGTAAGACGTGCCTTCTGCCTTCTGCCTTCTGCCATGATTGTGAGGCCTCCCCAGGCACTTAAACTGTGAGTCCATTAATCCTCTTTTTCTTTATAAATTACCCAGTCTTGGGTGTGTCTTTATCAGCAGTGTGAAAACGGACTAATACATAAGGGCTCAGAAGGGCCAACTGGATGGGCAAAGAAGCCATTGGTGACTTTAGTGAGAGCGACTTTAGTGGAATGGTGGGGGGGCAAAAGCCAGATTGCAGATGATTAAGGAAACAGTTGGAAGACAAGGAAGGCAACAGACATAGATTAGCCATTTGCTGAAGGTTAACTGGGAAAAGAAGGATGGAGGAAGGCTATACCGGGGGCTGCAGAGTGCAGATGTGCATGTGTAATATGGGAGGGAGCTGAGGGTTTATATGCTGAGGGGTAAAAGGTGGGATGGAGTCAGGATTGAAAATGAGGAAGAGAGGCCAGGTGCAGTAGCTCACGCCTGTAATCTCAGCACTTTGGGAGGCCGAGGCGGGCAGATGACAAGGTCAGGAGTTTGAGACCAGCCTGACCAACATGGTGAAACCCCATCTCTACTAAAAATACAAAAATTAGCCAGGTGTGGTGGCACACGCCTATAATCCTAGCTACTCAGGAGGCTGAGGTGGGAGAATCACTTGAACCTGGGAGGCGGAGGTTGCAGTGAGCCAAGATCATGCCATTGCACTCCAGTCTGGGTGACAGAGCGAGACTCCGTCTCAAAAAAAAAGAAAAAAAAAAAGAAAATGAGGAAGAGGCCAGACACGGGGGCTGACACCTGTAATCTCAGCACTTTGGGAGGCCGAGGCAGGCAGATCACTTGAAGTCAGGAGTTTGAGACCAGCCTGGCTAACATGGTGAAACCTTGTCTCTACTAAAAATACAAAAATTAGCTGGGCATGGTGGCAGGCACCTATAATCCCAGCTACTCGAGAGGCTGAGGCAGGAGAATCGCTTGAACCTAGGAGGCAAAGGTTTTAGTGAGCCGAGATCACGCCACTGCACTCCAGCCTGGGTGACAGAGCAAGACTCGGTCTAAAAAAAAAAAAAAAATGAAAACAAAGAAAATGAAGAAGATAGGGGCTCTACATGAACCAAGGATCCTAGCTGGTTATTTTGATTAAAAGATGACTCAAATGATGTTAACACTGATCAGACTTTAGCACGAGAGCTGCAGAGAAGGAAGACACTATGATGAGAATATATTTGGGGTTTTGAGCTGGGAAAAGACTTCTTAAATATGATCCAGAAAGTACTGGCCATAAGGAAAAAATGTTAACAGATTTGTCTGCACCAAAATCTACCAAGAGAGTCCTTTCAACTAGAACTGCCGTCACCACAATGATGAACATGGGGAAAGAGGAGAGGTACCTGCTGTATATTCTCAGGCCTTTTAGAACACATGGAGTTGTTCCTCTGGCCACATCCACACGAACCTACAAGAAAGGAGATGTTATAGACGTCAAGAGATGCCCCACGGATGTTACCAAGGCAAAAGGAATGCCCCACAGATGTTACCAAGGCAAAAGAGGAAGAGACTACATGTATCTAGTATGCTGTTGGCATGGTTGGAAACAAACAACAGCATGATTCTTGCCAAGAGAATTCATGTGTGTGTATGGAGCATACCAAGCACTCCAAGAGCTGGGAAGGCCTTCAGAAACACGTGAGGGAAAATGATCAAAAGAGAAGGAAACGGCCAGGCACGGTGGCTCACGCCTGTAATCCCAGCACTTTGGGAGGCTGAGGCGGGCAGATCACCTGAGGTCAGGAGTTTGAGACCAGCCTGGCCCACATGGTGAAACCCCGTCTCTACTAAAAATATAAAACTTAGCCGGGCATGGTGGCGCGTGCCTGTAGTCCCAGCTACTTGGGAGGCTAAGGCAGGAGAATCTCTAGAACCTGGGAGGCGAAGGTTGCAGTGAGCCAAGACTGCACCACTGCACTCCAGCTTGGGCGACGGAGGGAGACTCCATCTCAGAAAAAAAAAAAAAGAGAAGGAAGCCAGAGAGTACCTGGGTTCAACTGAAGTGCCAGCCTGCTCCAGCCAGAGAAGCACAATTTGTGAGAACAGGGAAAACGAACCCAAGCTGCTGGAACCCAATCCTCTTGAATTAATGGCTTCATAGGTATTAAAAAAAAAAAAAAAGGCCGAGCGTGGTGGCTCACACCTGTAATCCCAGCATTTTGGGAGGCCAAAGCAGGAGGATCGCTTGAGCCCAGGAGTTCAAGACCAGCCTGGGCAACATAGGGAGACTCATCTCTACGAAAAATAAATAAATAAATGATTTTAAAATGGCACAAAAAACAAACCAGACCCCTGGACTGTTAAAAAAAAAATTGATTGTTCTACATCAAAATAAATGTTCTCTAACTTTCATGTGGGCAGGAACCATATGGAGACCATCTTAAAAACACAGATCCCCAGAGATTGTAACACAGTAGGTCTGGGGTTGGGCCCAGAAACCTGAATTTTTATTATTTTTTTGAGACAGGGTCTCTGTCGCCCAGGCTGGAGTGCAGTGGTACAATCTCAGCTCACTGCAACCTCTGCCTCCCGGGTTCAGTAGATTCTCCTGGCCTCAGCCTCCCGAGTAGCTGGGACTACAGGTGTGCACCACCACACCCGGCAAAAGTTTGTACTTTTTGGTAGATACTGGCTTTCACTGTGTTGGCCAGGCTGGTTTTGAACTCCTGGCCTCAAGTGATCTGCCCGCCTTGGCCTCCCAGAGAGCTGGGATTACAGGCGTGAACCACCACACCTGGCCAGAAACATGAATTTTTAACAAGCATCATAGTGAATTCTTCTGTCATTGGTTCTATGTTTTGAATAACTGCTAGAGAACGGCCAGCTGAGGTCCTAGTAAGTGAGAACAAATCAGTCAACCAACCAATCAGCACCACCCCCTTCCGGAAAAGTCCCAAGCATTTGACAAAGATTTGTCACCTACAACTATCTGCCACTGTGTGAAGAGGGCTACTTTAAATGAACCCAAGTCTTGGTAAGTTTTCTTGAGAAAAACAGAAACAGGTACAAAATGAAAACAACTGGGGATTAAGTAACAGTCATGAAGGCAGTGATCATTTAAATAGGACTGGAATGGGTGGGCTTGGAGCCAGGTTGCACAGGTTTGCAAAAGCCAATTGTTAAATTTTCAGAAATTTTGTGAGCTGGAGGCTAAACAAAACCATTGTTAAAAATTAAATTGGGCCGGGCGCGGTGGCTCACGCCTGTAATCCCAGCACTTTGGGGGGCCGAGGCTGGCGGATCACGAGGTCAGGAGATCGAGACCATCCTGGCTAACACGGTGAAACCCCATCTCTACTAAAAATACAAAAAATTAGCCGGGCGAGGTGGCAGGCACCTGTAGTCCCAGCTACTCGGGAGGCTGAGGCAGGAGAATGGCGTGAACCCCAGGGGGTGGAGCCTGCAGTGAGCTGAGATCGCGCCACTGCACTCCAGCCTGGGCAACACAGTGAGACTCCATCTCAAAAAAAAAAAAAAAAATTAAATTGGATAAACTTACAATTAAATAGATTACATTAAGAAAAGATTTTTAAAACTCTCAACACATTGCATTCTAATTTCTTTTCTTTTTCTTTTTCTTTTTTTTTTGACATGGAGTCCTGCTCTGTTGCCCAGGCTGGAGTGCAGTGGCATGATCTCGGCTCACTGCACCCTCTGCCTCCTGGGTTCAAGCAATTCTCCTGCCTCAGCCTCCGAAGTAGCTGGGATTACAGGCGCCCACCACCTCGCCCGGCTAATTTTTTGTATTTTTAGTAGAGATAGAGTTTCCCCATGTTGGCCAGGCTGGTCTCAAACTCCTGACCTTAGGTGATCTGCCCGCCTTGGCCTCCCAAGGCCAGGTGTGAGCCATCGCACCCGGCCCTAATTTCTTTACTACATTTTACTATCAGGTGTGCTCCTCAGGTTATTTTTGTCTATCTTATCTGTAAGGTGGAAATACTATGTAGCACTGTGCTCCTGCGCCTCTCCTTCCAACTCAGGTTGTTGGCTTGAAACCAGGCACCGTGGAAGTATTTATACCAGTGAAATTGGGAAAGGCTTACAAATCAATGCTCCTCATCCCTTTTTTGGAGAACTGATTGTTACATGTTTACCAGAACACCACTGACCATGGTCCTTAAAGTAATTAGGCTGCACACGGTGGCTCATGCCTGTAATCCCAGCACTTTGGAAGGCCGAGGCAGGAGGATTGCTTGAGCCCAGGAGTTCAAGACCAGCCTGGGCAACAAGGTGAGACCTGTCTCTATAAAAAAGTTAAAAATTACCTGGGCGTGGTGGCTCGTGCCTGCCCTCTCAGCTACTCAGGAGGCTGAGGCAGGAGGATCGCTTGAGCCCAGGACGTTGAGGCTGCAGTGAGCTGTGATCGCATCGCTGCACTCCAGTGTGAGAGACAGAGCAAGACCCAGTCTCGAGGAAAAAAAAAAAATTAGAAGAGTAATACCAGCAGTAAGGGAAATCGAAGCACATACTATCTGCTTGTATTAATGTATTCATCCCCCAGCAGCAGTGTGCAAGAGGACAGTAAGGGTGGAGGTGTGGATGCTTAACCCAGTCTTTTTGCACCCATAGCCTCTTCAAGTTCCTTCAAAATTTTGCCTGGGTGGCTTCAGCTGAAAGCAGAAATGGCAGGAAGTAATTGGGGGAGATTCCCAAATCTATGCCCAACTGGGAATCAAATTTTTCTCTTGCCAAGAGATGAGCTGAGGTGAGTGAATGACGCCATCTAGTGTCGAAGAACAGGTTGGCTCCAAAGAGCAATGATTAGCAAAAGATTTCTCTTGATTTGGGCCCTAGAAACACGACTTCCATAATTTCTTCTTCCTTTCTTTTCACATATTTTCTTTCCTCACTTCCATGTCTATACTGAGTCAATTCTTAATTATTCCCCCAATAAAAACAGCCTTTACTTTTTTTTTTTTGAGATGGAGTCTTGCTCTGTTACCCAGGCTGGAGTGCAGTGGCACGATCTCCAGCTCAGTGCAACCTCCGCCTCCCGGGTTCAAGCAATTCTCCTGCCTCAGCCTCCCGAGTAGCTGGGATTACAGGCTCCCATCACCATGCCCAGCTAATTGTTGTATTTTTAGTAGAGATGGTGTTTCTCCATATTGGCCAGGCTGGTCTCGAACTCCTAACCGTGTGATCCGCCCGCCTCGGCCTCCCAATTACAGGTGTGAGCCACTGTGCCTGGCCAAAAAACAGGCTTTAGTTTTTAAAAAAAGATCTCAATTTTGCACTGCTACCAGGCAAAAATCGGTAATGCCAAGAGTTGAATGGCATAGGAATGTACACAGGTATTATGTGTAATAATTTGCAGTACATTTGCTTAGGGAAGTTGTAAACATTTTCTCTTGTGGGCCATATAAATCAAATGTTTCTCTGCCTTCCCACATGTCCTGTATCCACCGCATTTTCCCAGACAGGGCAGATGAAAGTGGTTTTGTTAGCATGTTATAGTCTAACAAACAATCCTAACTCATTCTCAAGTTTTATTCTGCTTAATGGAAAATGGTAGAAGAAAAAGCCTTTGCATAACTACCCAGTGAATGGGAGATTTCATTCTTTTCCATAAGTTGAGGGCTATTTCCTGTTTTCTTTTTCATTTTTTTTTGAGAAAACTAACCCTTCATTGAGATATTTTTAAGTCGAATATCTAGTATAAAAAGTTTGCATTGTTTCAGCTTGTTTTCATTTAAACCTGTGGTTGTCTTTCATCTGCTTCTGGCAATTTTTTTTTTTTTTTTTTTTGAGACAGAGTCTCGCTCTGTTGCCCAGGCTGGAGTGCAGTGGCACAATCTCGGCTCACTGCAACTTCCACATCCCCAGTTCAAGCGATTCTCCTGCCTCAACCTCCCAGGTAGCTGGGATTACAGGTGCACACCACCACGCCCAGCTAATTTTTGTATTTTTAGTAGAGATGGGGTTTTACCATGTTGGCCAGGCTGGTCTTGAACTCCTGACCTCAAGTAATCCACCAGCCTCGACCTCCCAAAGTGCTAGGATTACAGGCATGAGCCACCACACTCCGCCTACTTCTCCATTGAAGTGCTCTAGTTTTGGTAAAATCTTCTCCTTGACTTCAGGACCCTCTCCACATTTATCCCCAGTCTATAACTCGCATATTTCGTGTTTTCAAACAGAAAACCGTAATTCAGGAGTGAACAGCATCCTCTGTAAGGTGTCACAGGAGCAGCCTGAAATCCATTAGGCAGTCATTCTGAAGCTGTGGTGAAATCGAAGGGAAGCTAATGTTGCAGCTAGGAAGATGAGATCCAGGCTGAGGATCACACTTTTTCCAGAATACTTTTTTAGTGTTTCCAAAGCCAGCAAAAGCCGTTTAGAAGTCTCATCTCCAGAATGCCAGAATACACAAATGTAAGGCTTTATTTTAGGGGTGGGCCCTGGGTTTTGCAGTCAAGTCAGCCGCTATTTGTATGAGCAAGACTTCATCGGTAGCACTACTGGGCTCCCCCTCTTCTACATGATGGCAGCAATTTGGCCTTAGAAAATATGCCTAAGTGACTCCACAGGCTATAAGCTATTTTCTTCATAAGTAGAAATGGAAGATTTCTGTTAGGAAGGTAGAAGTCAGTTTTGTCCGTATGTGGGCCAAACTATTAAAAATAATAAGGCCTGGGGATTCCTATGTTCTTAGATGCTCAATAAACATTTCAGTTCATCAAACTATGACCAACTTACAAGTCTGTGGCATTGTGCTAGTTCACTGGACCCTGGGAAAGTCTTTTAAATCCAAATGATACTTTTTGTTTTTTAAAGAGACAGGATTTTGCTCTGTTGCCTAGGCTGGAGTGCAGTGGCATGTGATCACAGCTCACTGTAACCTTGAGCTCCTGGGCTCCAGTGTCCTACCTCAGCCTCTTCAGTAGCTAGGACTAAGGCACATCCCACCACACCCAGGCAATTTTAGAATTTTTTGTAGATGGCTCTTACTATGTTGTTCAGGCTGGTCTCTTACTCCTGGCCTCAAGTGATCCTCCTGCCTCAGCCTCCCAGTGTTGGGACTACAAGCACCAGCCACTGCCCCCAACCCTGCATTATGTTCTTAAAGGCAGACCTGAATCCTGTGCGGTGTCAATTCAGGTGTGCACTGGCCCCTGAGCCTTACATACAGGACCCGTTCCTTAGGATGACGTTGCGTTCCCTTGCTTAGAGCCTCAGCACCATGGCACCTGGCTCTCCCCCGATGCCTGGGTCTTGCTCTTGCCCATTTCCTAGCCAGGGTTTGTGGTCCAGGCAACCTGTCACATCAGTGTGTTCCAAACATGGCACCCAGATCTCAAAAGCTTCTTCAACGCTCCCATGGTTTGGGATACACCTCAAGTTTTAACTTACGTACTTCAAGTTTCTTTTATTCAATTAGATACAAACCGTCTGACTTTTGGCTTCTGAAACAGGAAAGTCAATTTTGTTGTTTTCACTGTACCATGCTTTTTTATCTCAGAATCTTGATGAACTCTGAAATGACCCCTGATGGGGGCATGCCTCTATTTATGCTGAATAAGAGCCATTTTACATTTTACTACAGGTTGAGTGCCCCTAATCCAAAAATTTGAAATGCTCCAAAATCTGAAACTTTTTGAGCACTTACATGGTATTGAAAGGAAATGCTCATTGGAACATTTCCTATTAGGCATGCTCAGCCGTTAAGCATAATGCAAATATTAAAAAAAAAAATTTCCTAAATCTTTTAATACTTCTGGTTCCAAGCATTTCAGATAAGGGATACTCAAGCTCTACCTATTCCCAAATTCCCACTAACTAGCTCTTTGGCAGGTCTATGGAATAAAAATCGATGCTTCTGATTACTTTAAGGCATTATAACCTCATGAAGTGGTTTCTGAGATGCAACTGAGTTTTTGTGCTATTTTATTGTATTCTTATATCTTTGAAGATGAATAATCCACGTAGTGCATTTGAGAGGTTCTATCTGTTCAAGAGAGGAAATTTAATATCCGTGACTACTGTATGTCAAATGATTTAGTGCCTTATTTAATTTGTTCCTCTAGGAGTCCTGTGCACTTATCTTGGGGGAAACATTGTTCCATTCTTAGTAACATGCCTGTTTGGCCTGTGGTCTGAGGTACTTACAACTTGCTGCAGTGTGGTAAATGTGTCCCTTTTGAAACACTGTTCTGGGGACTTCAGAGATGACGGACTGCAACCTACCACCTCATAAATGAGGGATCTGAGGTACAAACTGGAACCCGGGTCTTCTGGGCTCAGAGAACTCTCCTCACTACAGCAGACTGCCTGTTTCCATTTAGGGGAATGAGATGCTCTTTCATAAATGATACCAAGTGCAAGAGAACTTAAGGCAGCTCCAATCGAAGACTGTCTTGGCTGCTTCTGGAAACTACAGATCACTACTCCCGAAGTCAAAAACGACTAGAACACAGCTTAAAAATCAAGCCATTTAATTGTATCTTTGAAGGTAAACAATATATGGAGCTGGATCACAACCCCTGAGGATGCCAGAGCTATGGGTCCAGAACATGGTGTGGTATTATCAACAGAGTTCAGAAGGGTCTGAACTCTACGTGTTACCAGAGAACATAATGCAATTCATGCATTCCACTTAGCAATTTTGTAAAATACCAGAAACAGACCCCAAGAGTCTTTCAAGATGAGGAAAATTCAACTCCTGGTTTTAGAGATAAATGAATGAAGAGTACCAAAATATTTGTTGACTTCTCTTCATTTTTCTCATACAATCTGAAGCCTGAGCTGACTATCATATCCCCAACTCACAGCAGCGAAAGCTGCAGTTCAGATTTGAGATCAGTCTCCATTCACTTCCACGTAGCACCACAGCAAGAGTGACCGGAGGCAGAGAGCTCTTGTTGGGTCAGCTTTCTAATAAGCATGTCAAGTGAAAAAGAACCCTCTAGCAGCACACTGATTTAGTTTGTAAGATTTTAATTTACAAATTAAAAAAGCTATTTAATACATGTTTTACTTTTTCTCCTTTTTCTCCTCTTTCTTTACATCACTCTTTTCCTTATCTTTATCTTTCTCCTTGTCCTCTTTCCTATCCTTTTTGCTCTCTTCTTTCTCCTGCCCTTCTTTCTTCTCTGCATCCCGGTTGGCAATCTTGTTGTTGATGAGGTTGTGCAGGGCGACCACGGAACGGATCAGCGAGGCCAAGTACACTACCACCATCTGGTCATTGGTCTTCAGGTAAAAGGCCTTGACGAACTCCTGCAGGCTGACATCTGGCAGCAGGTTGAAGACGTCCTGCAGCTGGTAGATGATCTGGTGGTTGATGGGCAGCTTGCCTGTGGCGACTTTTTCCAGGTAGCTCCTGATATCCAGAAGCTTGGAGTTCAGTCCCTTCAAACCATGGACCTGGTTTGTGATCCGCTGGGACAGAGTGCCCACCGTCGTGTCTTTGATATCTCTGTAATAACCCACAGTTAAAAAGGGCAGGAAAAGGCATCAGGGTACCATGTTATCAGGCAAGTTCTTACATTCTAAGAAAATTCCTAGCTTTGTTGGGTGAGGCAAGTTTTTAAAAGAAAAATGTCACTTCCCCATTTGATAAAGATTTCGTTATCAATTACCTTAATTTCGTTATCATTTGGAACACATTTTATCTTTCTCATCACAGGACATTTTTCAAAAAACAATTATAAAAGGGAGCTAAAATAAAACCATTTCCACTTAAGGAAAAAAAAATTGCTTAGGTCAACAGTTCAGATCTACCAATAACTTTCTGGGTAACCTTGTACTGAAGCTGTCTCTCTCAGCTTTCCTGTTCCTAAAAGGATGGCATTTTCTCTACATGCATCTCCAGAATATTGAGAAGCTTAACTAAGATGGTAATTTTTAGAACTAGAAGGAACCTCATTGACTGATAAAACTATAACCTTTTTCAAATAAGGATTATAATAGATATAGGATTTTAAAACAAAAGCTACTCCAAGATGAAGATTCTCTCCAGAAAATGGGCTACATTTGTTGAGAAGGACACCTAGTGGAGAGTGCAGGCCTGCATTTATTTCATACCTCTCTTCCCGTCAGTCAACATTATAGTTTCCAGACAAGGTATGCTATCCACAAAGTCATAAATTGTAACTCAAGACATTTTACAGTTGATGTAGTTCAAACACTTCAATTTACAGACAATAAAACAAAGGTCTGGAAAGGGACTGTGATTTGCTCAGAATGGCAGACTTGTTAGTGGACGGCCAGGACGAGACCCCAGGTCTCCATATTCCCGACACAGACCTCTTCCTTACACTGTGTGACCTCTCGGGCAGTGAATGATTTTGATGCTGTACTAGGGTCTCACCGTAACAAGTGTTCAACTCCAACTTCCTCAGCTTCCTCTGCTCCAATTTCACTGGTCACGTGTTCAAATGTTTTCGAGGTTGGAGTTCCATCCTGGGAGAGGAAGCCTAACTATAATTATTTATTTTCCACAAACGAACTGACATGTGTTCCTTTTCGCACCCTGAGTCTTTTGCTTTAAGTCAGCTCATTTAATGAGTGCATGACTGAGAATTTTCTATGGCAAGGGTGGGTAAGGCTTACTTTGAAAGCTTAGCCTTCAAAGCTAACATCACTGTGGTGCTGCTCAGTGATGCAGTCTGCTGGGGCACTGTGCGTTGAGAAAAATCTGGAAATTCCCTCAAGCCCACACTTGGCATGAACGCACAGGGAGGTCTCAGGTTGATTCTTAAAAGTATACCGCTTTGGCCAGGCACGGACCTGTAATCTCAGCACTTTGGTACGCCAAGAATTCGAGACCAGCCTGGGCAACATGGCGAAAACCCCTCTCTACTAAAAATACAAAAACTAGCCAGGTGTGGTGGCGGGCGCCTGTAATCCCAGCTACTCTGGAGGCTGAGGAACGAGAATCACTTGAACCTGGGAGGTGGAGGGTGCAGTGAGTCGAGATCACGCCACTGCACTCCAACCTGAGCAACAGAGTGAGATTGTCTTAAAAAAAAAAAAAGTATATAGTTCTTTCTAGAATGGACAATATACAGAATATCTGTACTGAAGCAAGTTCATGCCAGAAAATAAAACTTTTAGCCCTTTTTTGTCTCTTGGATCAAACGATTCCACAGTGCCCAAACCAATGCAATCAGAATAGTTGGCTTTCTGGTGGTCTGAATTAATCAAAGGATCCATTGGGGACATGGTTCATGGTGGTCACCCAGTGACATCCTGAAGGGACTTCGAAGATACTTTTCTCAGACCTTGTGCCAGAAGAGGCTGTACGTCTCCTGTCAAAAGGCTGTAAACTGTCTGTAAGGGAGGAAGGACAGCATAGTGGTAAGAGTACAGGCTCCACAGCCAGGCTACCTGGGTTCAAATTTGGCTCTGCCATGTATGTAATAGGCGAGCTCCAAGACCTTGGGAAAGTCACTCAACTCACACTAAGTACTATAAAAGTTAGCCGTGATTATTTTATTTAGGATAGTGTTAATCCTGCAAGGGGCATTCTCCTCTTTGCTTTGGATGCCAGGATGGTCAGAACCTTTAACAGTGTTGTGGGATTTCTTGGTAACCTTTACAGGCACTAATTCTTCTTGAGCTTCACCTTGTAACATGACCCATATGTCCCCTTTATCCCCTACTAAAAACACCTTGCTTCACTGGGGTGCATGTGTACGAGCAACCTCAATTCCTTTTCTAAAGAGGCAGGAGAAAAATTCACTAAAAACAACTGGGTCAAAACCAGGGATGAAAGCCCTACTGCAATTAGGCAATACATTTGGCTCTAAGCTCCCTGGTAGCCAGGCAAAGAGAAAAGCCCCAGGAAGACAGAGCTCGATGCAAGGAACATTTGCACAGAGCTATCCTAAAATACCCTTTTCTAAATCTTAAAACTGAAAGTAAGGATAAATACTGCATATCTAAATTCAAAAGGAGACCGTAATTCATCCCTTAAACTTTTCATTTGTAAAAGGGGAATTTGGATTTCTTGGTTTTTTGGGGGACAGCGTCTCAACTGTCGCACAGGTTGGAATGCAGTGGTGTGATCATTGCTCACTGTAACCTTGAACTCCTGGGCTCAAACAATATTCCCGTCTCAGCCTCCTGAGTAGCTTGGAATACAGGCATGGACCATCATGCCTGGCTAATGTTTTTATTTTTGTAGGTGTCTTGCTATGTTGCCCAGGCTGGTCTTCAACTCCTAGGCTTAGGCAATCCTCCCACCTCGGCCTCTCAAAGCACTGGGTGAGCCACTGTGCCTGGTTGGAATTTAGATTTCTATGTTCCTCTCCATTTCCAAAATGTGGTGATTAAAAAAGTCAAAGGGAAAAAAACTACCTTCTTTTGTTACGGAGACAAAGGATTTGTTGACCTGAAAATTGAAAAAAAAAAGCTAATCACCCAATAAGTAGCAGTCTAACCTCCCAGGTTCATAGCAAGATGACTTACATCATGGACTTCTTCCACTGAAATGTACGCTTCTGTAGGCAGCCCTAGGTCCTTCGGCTTCACATCAATGATGACCAATACCTGGCAGAGAAACACATCTTAGCAAGTCATCTCACGCCCAGCACAAAAGGGGTAATTTCAGGCATTCTTCTCACAATTACTAAAGCTATTTCTTGTAATCAATTAGAAATGAACCAGAATATTCAGCAAAAATGCATTTATGCTTCAAATGATCTCATCATTTCTTCTGCTTTTCGATCCCCTTCATTAATAAGCTGAGGGGCAGTACAGTGCCTAGCACAAGGACATTAGAGTCAACACAGCCAAAATTTCAATCCCAGTCCCACCCCTTACCAGACCTTCCTAACCATTCTGAACCTCAGTTTTCTCATTTGTAAAGAGGATATACAGTTACCGAGAGGATTACGAAACTCATACACCTGGTACTTAGCAGGTATAAACTATTATTTATCAAATATATTAGGTCACAGTATACTTCACAGAGCACTACAAATCAACAGAAGTTTATGGAGATAAAGCAGTAAGCAGATTTGCTACTCAAATTCTTCCCAGGATGCTCTTACTTGAGCTGGCTGGCAAAAAAAATCATTCAAGAGTTTTAAAAATAGACACCACTTACGGAATTAGGACAGTATCTTTTCATGAGTTCGTTGATGGCAATGTCATTCTTGTGTAGTTTAGGGCCTGTGTGGTACCAGCCAACTATTCTTTCCCTGGCTAGGAAGGAAAAAAATTAGCAGGCTTTAACTATTTCATGAAGATCTATACAACTCCCTCAAAAAGGATAAGAACATCAGTAGTTATGTCCTTTACCTCTTTGAAAATTCCAGACATATTTACCCTGGTGGTACTAAAACTCTAATGGAAGACTGACTTTACTGGATAGTTCTTCACTTTTCTGCCGCAATGAGAGGTTATTTCCCCTTGTACCCAAACCCAGGTCGCCTATTTGGCCTTAAATTGCTACTCTAGTTTTTCATGTATTCTACCTTATTCCTCTACTACCACTAGTCTTACTGAAGTGTAGCTAAGTGAAAGGGCCCTTGATGTTAAAGAAAAGCGAACAGAAGACCCCCATACACACAGTTCAATTCTATGCTGTAACACCTTAGAACATCAAGACATACCATTGACTTTCTTAAACATTCCATACATGTTTTCCAAATAATCATGGTCTAAAAACCATACAGAATCGTCTTTGTCATCTTCATCAAAAGGAACTAAAGAGGAAAAAAAAAGTTAGTTTAGGGTGCTTGATAGAAACCTAGAACACAGGTCACAATTGAAGACCCCTAGGCCAGTTCTGATTCACTTACGTGTTTCACTTGCCCAGCAAAGTATTAAAAAATTTTTTTTGAGCTGCCCCAAAAACTGGGAGAATTCACATAAAAATCCAGACTTCCAGCTTCTCTTAAAAAACTGGAATACCTGGCAACTACCAGCTACAGCCAGGTAGGGGCTGCCCCCTTTAAAAAAGACACATGCTTTTCAGTTTTCTAGAAGTCCAGTTACTTCCTGATATTTTTCAATTTGGCAAATGACATGACTAGCTGGTCATTTTAGACACTAGAGTTAGTGATCTCTACTCCAGAGGTCATCCAGTATCATCTTCTTTATTGTTGTTCCTTTAATCATTAAAGTAATACATGGGTACGTTCTTGTAAGGATTCACATAAAGGGGTAAAGTTCCCCATCTCTCTCCTTACTGTACCTATAAGAAGCGTGGTTAAACAGTTTAGTGCAGGGGCTGACAAACTGTGCCAGCTGCCTGTTTTTATAGAGGTTTGCTGGAATACTGCCACTTTTGTTTGTTTACATGTTGTCTATAGCAGCTCTTGCACTATAATGGCAGAGAGGAGCAGGTGCAGTGGAGACCACATGGCCTGCAAGTTTAAAATATTTACTGTCTGGTCTAGTGTGCAATCTTCAGGTTCTCTTTTCTATACTTCAGCAATTTTAAGACAATCTCTGGGTTGTAGTCAAAAGCGGTAACAAAGGTTTATATTTTTAAAGGGTAAACTGACATTTTAATCATGCTCGGAAAAACATAAAATTTGTCTTTTACCTGCAAAACTGTTCGATACATCAAGTACTTTCTTTTGCCATGACCCCAAAAGCACACCAACAACACGCTTCTGGTTTCCAACCTTGCCGATTCTGAATGAGAAAACAGATGGTCAGTGTGGATAGGCTCGCACAGAAACATGAACCCAACAATAAGATACTCAATGGGAAATATCAATGGCACAGATACAATTTAGTTTACCTGGGAACTAATCTCCCTAAACCAATGTAATAGGGTTAGGTTGATATTAACTATAAGGGGTAATTCATAAACTTGGTACTGACACCCACTGGCAGTTTTTACCTAACATTGACTGTGAAGTAATACATGCTTGGGAAAATTTCAAACTTCACAGAAATTTAAAATGAAGAAAATGAAAGCTTCCCAGATCTTAGTCTGAAAACACATTTAAGCTTTGCTACCACATTTAACTTTACTTTTTCTTTGCAGCTTTCCTTCACCTTTAAACTTTTCCCATCCTGAAATCTTTTTTGGAATAAAGATGATGGAGTAGGCCGGATGCAGTGGCTCATGCCTGTAATCCCAGCACTTCGAGAGGCTGAGGTGGGCAGATCACTTGAGCTCAGGAGTTTGAGACGAGCATGGGCAGCGTGGGCAACATGGCGAAACCCTGTCTACAAAAAATACAAAACTTAGCCGGGCATAGTGGGGATGTGCCTGTAGTCTCAGCTACTTGGGGCTGGGGGACTGAGGTGCAGGGACTACTTGAGCTCAGAAGGTCGAGTTTGAGGCTAGCTACAGTGAGCTGAGATTGTGCTACTGCACCCCAGCCTCGGCAGACCCTGTCTCAAAATAAATGAATGAATAGAGGAGGACTGAATGAGAAAGATTTTACTTGAGAATTTTTATCTCCATTTCAAACCTCCTCAGTCATTTTCTCCTAAGGAGTTACAAGTGCATCACTTACACACTCTCATTTCCTTGGTCTTCAAGAAGTATTTTTTAACCACTAGCAAATGTGTGACACAGAAATACAACCCTATGCTAAGGAAAGACAAAAGCCACTGTTAATTACATTTTCTTAACAGCTGCTAGTTTCACATTGGTTTAACTGTAGTATTTTTCTTAGCATATAGTTGGCAAATCTATAAATGGTTACTAGGTTTGGGGTTTGAATCAAACAAAGTTAATGATTCTGTATTTCTGGTGCCTCTCATTTTTGGGGGTGGGGGGGTAAGGGGGAAATTGAATTTCCAACTTCAAGGGAAACTTCCATACTCGTGGGCTTTTGTTTTGGTCTACCAAAGTCCATTTGTGTTTTTTAAAACCCTACACTTACTTGATAGAGAAGCTAGTGCTCTTCTTTGTTTTTGAGACAGGGTCTCACTCTGTTGCCCAGGCTGGAGTCCAGTGGTGTGATCTTCGCTCACTGCAGCCTCTACCTCTCAGATTCAAGTGATCTTCTCACTTCAGCCTCCCGAGTAGCTGAGACTCCAGGCACACACCACCACACCTGGCTAATTTTTGTTTTTTTGTTTTTTTTTTGGTAGAGAAGGGGTTTCACCATGTGGCCCAGGCTGGTCTTGAACTCCTAAGCTCAAGCAATCCGCCCACCTCGGTCTCCGAAAGTGCTAGGATTATAGGCATGTGCTACCAGGCTAGCCTGAAAGCTAGTGCTCTTAACAAGTGCTTGAATAGCACTGAAATAGTGCCTGCCCCTAGTATCCCATGGGAGAAAAATAGTAATTCCTCTCCTGTAGAAAAGCCAACATATCCTAGGCTGAGGGTCCTTTTCCGGATCCAGCTGAATTAGTTGCACACAGCAAGTTGCGGGAGAATGGACACTTTGCAAGAATGGCTTTATAGCAGATGCTCTGAACTGGGTCTTTACATTTGCCAATTCAACTAACAATCTTGTAAAACTTAGAAACATGTGCAACAGGTCTAGCAGGATGAACAACTCCAAAGCCAAGAGGTGGTGGATGTACACCCTCAAACAATGAGCTTACTAGATGACCTTTGAGATGTTTCCTTACCTTATTCATTAAGGTTCAAATCTCCAACTGGTCTTTTTTTTTTTTTTTTTTTTGGAGACAGGGTCTCACTCTCACCCAGGCTGGAGTGCAGTGGCATGATCTCAGCTCACGACAGCTTCGAACTCCTGGGCTCAAGCGATCCTCCCGTCTCAGCCTCCCAAAATGCTGGGATTACAGGCGTGAGCCACCATGCTCGGCCTCGTGTTTTAAATAAAAACTGAAACCTCATCTATATATACATTTTTTTTTTTGAGACGGAGTCTAATCAGATTCCCATTTAAAAATGTTAATGGGTTAAAACCACAGCTGATCCAGGAAGCCCTTCGGGGTGCTGAGCATCATCCAGATTTCGATAACAGGAACTCGGTCAAATGAAGACAAACATAGATACGACCCTGGGGGCGGGGGTCAGGGCCAAATTGAAGCTAGCCCCCTTAGCCCCACTCCGGCATCATCCAGGCATCATTCACTTTGCATCATTCACATTTCGGTGAAATCAACTTGGTTAAACGAGGATAAACATAAATACGACCCTGGGGCCGGGGTCAGGGCCAAATGAAGGTAGCCACCCTGCACCCCACTCCAGCATCATCCATATTTCGGTGAAACCAATTCGGTCAAACGAAGATAAACATAGCCTTGGGGCGGGGCTAAATGGAGCTAGCCCACTCCGCCCCACCCAAGCATCATCCAGACATCAGTCACTTTGCATTATTCACATTTCAGTGAAATCAACTGAGTCAAATGAAGATACGACCCTGGGGTCGGGGGTCAGAGCCAAATGAAGCTAGCCCGCCTCCGCCCCACCCTGGCTTTATCCAGATTTCGGCAAAACGAACTTCAAAACGAAGTGACAGACACGAGCTTGGGGGCGGGGGTCAGGGCCAACTAAAGCTAGCCGCATCTCCCGACCCCCAGCATCATCCAGATTTCGGTAAAACGAACTTCGGCAAAACGAACTCGGAAAGGGAACTCTGTAAAACAAACAGGCTAAACGGAACAGGCAGCCAAGGCCCCGAAGTGGCGGCGGCTGGGGCAGGGGCGGGAGGCTGGATGACTCCGGCATCGTGAGCCGACGCTGGTCTGGACTCGTGAACAAGTAAGGGTCACCAGCCGCCCTATCTGCGTCCCCAGCTCGTCCGCGGCCGCCGCGCCATCTCCAGCGTGCCCGTGACTCAGCAGCGGCTGCGCCGCCGGCCCAGCTATAGGGCGCTCGCTCACCGGTTGAAATGATCCACCACACTGAGCAGCACCAGGGGGTGGACCACCACCTTCTGCACTGCCAGCTCCGGCATCGCGACACACCCCGCTCGCCAGGCCTGGCTCCCTGCCACACGCAAACACCGGCAGCAGTAGCGGTCACCGGTACCCTTTCAGGCCCAGTTCCTCTTCTTCCGGTTCGTCAGCCCTCGCGCGGCCTCCTTCTTCCGCTCCCAGAGTGCCTCGCGCGGCGGGCCCGGATCTTCGCCACCGCCGTCATTTGTGGGCGGAGAAAGGGCTGGAGAAAGGCGGGAATCGCCCCTCGTCCCTCGCCGTGCGTTTCCCTGGACTTAAGGGCCGAAGGGACACCGGCGACTTGACCTCCTGGTATTGGCCTGTACCGTCACCTGCAGAGGCTTTTCGCCTCAATTCCTTCCCAGCACCCTCCCCCCGCCACCCCCCCAAAGTAAATAGTTGACAGTTTACTTTTCTACCACCCGGAAGAAGTTCACTTTTGCTTCAGGTCAAAATCCTCCGCGATTTCTGAGAGGAACTTTAAATCTCTAACATAAGAGCACGCTTTTAATGTAATTTGGTAATTTATCTCATTCTCGTTTTCATTGCCGGGGGAATTTCTCCTTTATCTTTACTGTGGACACTTTGCAATGAACGTGGCAACCTGCAGGTTTCCACCTGTCGTTATATTACTGCGTAACTAGGGCTAGAAGAACGCAATTGTGCCGTTGCTTTTGAAATCAAAATTTACAGAAGCGTTGAAGAAAAGACGGAAGGAAGGCAGTAAGGAAGTATGTTGTGATATGTAGCTAGGAAAGAGAAGACTAAGGTAGACAAAGACTTAAGCTTATTTGCAGGAGGCAAATTATAAGAAAAATCATACAGGTTTATATCGTCTCATTTGAAGTTGCTGTTTCTGTAAACGAAAACAGTACTTAAGCAACCTGAATTATTTACTTATATTTTGTTCTGTTTTTAAACAATTTTTGCTTTCCCTTTATCACCAGAGGATTTTCCCAACATTTTGGCCTCTTGTCTTTTTAAGGTGGACTTCCTGATCTCCAAATGTCAAGGGACACACTCAGTCTCTCTTATTTGTGGGTGGTGAAAAACATTAGCAAAGATTAGACTGAAATTTGGCCACCAATGAGAGACATTAATGTAGTCAGGAGTTTGAATTTGTCTGCATGTGAATTTATCTTTGTCTTCTGTCTGCAACTTGGCTTTATTTTCAGATTTTCTGCTAGATCTGCAAGGAAGTAAATGGCAGGATATGCTTAATATTCATAATTAATTGAAGAGACTCAATGCTATCTTTATTTTTTCATTTTTTTTTTTGGTACAGTTGGTGTCTCACTATGTTGTCCAAGCTGGTCTTAAACCCCCAGCCTCAAGCAATCCTCCCACCTCAGCCTCCCAAACTGCTGGGATTACAGGTGTGAGCTACTGTGCCTGGCCATTCATTCTTAATTATAACTAGAAAGATATAAGGGTTATGTTAATGGGGAAAGAAAACTAAGAATTATTGAATCTATTGAGTGCCTATAATATGCCAGCCCTGGTTCAGACGCAAATATTTAATCCTTTTAATTAATGCTTCTCAAACTTTGATATGCTTACAAATCACCAGGGGACCTTGTTAAAATTCAGATTCTGATTCTGTAGGTCTGAGATGGGACCTGAAATTCTGAGCTTCTAACAAGCTTTCAGGTGAGGCCCATGCTGTGTTAACAAGGCTTGTAACAACCTTACGAAGTCGGTATTTTCTCATTACAAATGAAAATTGTTGCTCAAATGTTGCTCTCGAGGTGGGCTTTTTCTCACGCTTTGAAAAAATTTTGTCTTTCTCCCCCTAATGTGTTTCTGCTTTAGTTTTCTCCATAGTTTTTACCACTTGTGAATAGTTTGTAGAATTTACTTATTCTGTTCATTCTTTGTCTCTCATTAGAATGTAAGCTCTTGTTTAGTTTGTAAACTCCTGTTTACTTTTTTTTTTTTTTTTAAATAAATGAGAGACAGTCTCGCTCTGTCACCCAGTCCGGAATGCAGTGGCACAATCTTGGCTCACTGCAACCTTCACCTCCCAGGTTCAAGCGATTCTCATACCTCAGCCTCCCAAGTAGCTGGGACTACAGGTGAGCGCCACCATGCCCCACTAATTTTTCTATTTTTAGTAGAGATGGAGTTTCACTGTGTTGGCCAGGCTTATCTGGAACTCCTGAACTCAAGTGATCTGCCTGCCTTGGCTTCCCAAAGTGCTGGGATTATAGGTGTGAGCCACTGCACCTGGCCCCTAGTTTACTTTTATATTATCATTGTCTTGAAAAGTGCCTGGCACATAGGAGACATTCAGTAATTACTATATAAATGAATAATTAGTTATGATAGTGAAATGGAAGATGACAATAAGGCTCAGACATTGGGAAGGATCTTTCCAAGATCACATTGCTGGTCAGGATCAAGCCAGGTTTCTGTGACCCCAGTTCCTAATTGGTTGGTGTGCCTGCTTGCAGCAGTCTTAGGCAAAAGAATTGCATTAATTTTATTAAGATACTAAATTTCAAACTTTAGAAAGTGATATATTTTATTTCACACTGAGTTCACTTTGCAGTTGTACTAAGCCTAAGCAAGCTGTTTCGAAGCTTATTGGGTGTCTCCAATCCTGACTCACTGAAGCAGTGTGAAACTGACTATGAGCTTAAAAAATTATTCTAGTTACACATGATCATTGTGGAAAAATGACACTATTCAGATAAATAAAAATGAATATAGAGCTGGGCATGGTGGCCTGTGCCTGTAATCCCAGATACTTGGAAGGCTGAGGTTGGAGGATCACTTGAGCCCAGGAGTTCATGACCCTTCCGAACAGTAGGACCTTGTCACAAATAATTAATTAATTGAAATAAATTAAAATCACCTGAAATCGTACCACATACAGAAAACTAAGATTAACCCTGGCCCAAAGTGCTTTTTTTTTGAGACGGAGTCCTACTCTGTCACCGGGCTGGAGTGCAGTGGCACAATCTCGGCTCCCTGTAACCTCCGTCTCCCAGGTTCAAGTGATTCTCCTGCCTCAGCCTCCCAAGCAGCTGGGACTATAGGCGCATGCCACCATGCCCAGCTAATTTGTTTGTATTTTTAGTAGAGACAGGGTTTCACCATGTTGGCCAGGAAGGATGGTCTCGATTTTGTGATCTGCCTGCCTCAGCCTCCCAAAGTGCTAGGATTATAGGCGTGAACCACCGCGCCTGGCCTAAAGTGCTGTATTTCTTAAGGGATTTCAGCATTAGCTTCCTAATTTCTCTTTTTGCCTTCCAGTTTTGACCTTCTCCCATCTCCATCCTCCACTCTGCAGCCAGACTTATTTTATTGATTGATTGATTGATTGAGACTGAGTTTCACTCTTGTTGCCCAGATCTCAGCTTGCTGCAACCAACACCTCCTGGGTTCAAGCGATTCTCCCACCTCAGCCTCCCTAGTAGCTGGGATTAGAGGTGCCCGCCACCACGCCTGGCTAATTTTTGTATTTTTAGTAGAGACGGGGTTTCATCCTGTTGGCCAGGCTGGTGCTGGGATTACAGGCATGAGCCACTGTGCCCAGCCTTATTTTAACATTTTTAATTTGTTATTTTTTTAAAAGAGTTAGGGTCTCACTCTGTCACCAAGGTTGGAGTGCAGTGGTGCAATCATTAGCTCACTGAAGCCTTGAACTTCTGGGCTCAAATGATCCTCCTGCTTTGGCCTCCCACAGTGTTAGGATTATAGGCGTGAGCCATGGTGCCCAGCCCCAGACATATTTTTAAAACACCCTTTTTAATGGAAAATCCCTACCCTGTGCAAGAGTAGGGAAAATAGTATAATAAAGCCCATGAACCTGTTACTGAGCTTCAAGTCTCCCTCACTTTTCTTAGGTGAACCCTAGTTCCTCTCCTTAAAGGTAGTCACTGGCTACTAGTTTCTGGCGAATCTTTCGGAAAGTTTTTTAAAGATGTATCTTTTGGCATCTGTATGCATAGCTTTCAAAATATGCAAATGGGCTCGGCGCTGCGGCTCACGCCTGTAATCCCAGCACTTTGGGAGGCCGAGGCGGGCTGATCACAAGGTCAGGAGTTGGAGACCAGCTTGGCCAACATGAGGAAACCCCATCTCTACTAAAAATACAAAAAAAAATTAGCCATGCATGATGGTCGGTGCCTGTAATCCCAGCTGCTTGGGAGGCTGAGGTAGGAGAATCACTTGAACCTGGGAGGCGGAGGTTGCAGTGAGCTAAGATCCTGCCACTGCACTCTAGCCTGGGTGACAGAGTGAGACTTCATCTCAAAAAAAAAAAAAATGCAAATGGAGTTTAACTCTACATAAAGTTCTGAAATTTGCTCTTTTGAGTTAATAATTTATCATTAACACACTTCCTTATAGCAAATCTAGGTCTACATCATCATTAATAGCTGCATAGAATGGATTTGATTTCTTCATAATAGATGCCTTCATCTACTCAGAGGCCCAGCTACAACATCATTCTCCATCAGCCTCTGTAGGCCTGGAAAGGGCAAAAGCTGTGCCAACGGTGTTTCTAGAATCTTTAATTTTTCCACTTAGATAATGACTCTTTTGCACTGTAAACTTTGGCAGTCTTCTATAACCAGTATCTCTGATGTTTTTCTCAATACTCACTTAACAATTTAACTCTGTGCCACTCTTCTAAATACTGGTTATATAGGAATAAACAAAACAAAGCTCTTGCCCTCTTTGAACTTATAGTCTTGTTAGAGGAGATAGACTATAAGCAAATAATAAATGTAAATCCTGTATAATATCCCATATGGTGTCAGAAAGTGTGCTCAGTCTGTCAGACATGCTCACCATGATCAAATGTGCCAGGCCCCAATGAATCATGCATCTGGCCTTCATGCCCTGGTTATCTCCTCCAAAATTGACTGTGAGCTTGGGCATGTGACTTGCTCTGGCACATGAGATATTAGCAAGTGTAATACAAACAGAGGCTTGAGTAACACTCTCATGTTGCAGCTTGTTCTCTTGGAATGCCCACTCTTGGAACCCTGAGTCATGTAGAAAAATCTGGCTACTTTGCAGGAGAGACCATATGGAATAGAAGAGGAATGCTTGGCCATTCCCCAGCTATTCCAGCCATTACAGGCAGGGTCCCAAGAAATGAGAGTGAAAAAACCACTGTGGATATTCCAGCCCTAGTAGATAGCATGTGGAGCAGAAGAACTGCCCAGCTGAGCCCAGCCCAGGTTATAAAATTCTGTGAAATAATAAGTCATCGTTGCTGTTTTAAGTCACTAAGTTTTGGGTGGTTTGTTGTGCAGCAACAGATAACAGAAACACTAGGCAATTTGTGAATTCTTTGTGAACCTAAGGTTCTTGGTAAATCCATTATCTGCCACTCAATGCTTGGTTATATAGCTGCTCCCTAAATGTGAGCTCCGTCACTTACTTTCTCTGTTATTTGCTGCATTTACTCTTTCATTTGAGGGTTATTTAGGCCTGTCATGGAATATCGCTCAGCTCAAGTGATATGATCAGAATCTGAAGAGGTTCCTCAAGCTAGGTAGCATTTTGGAAACATTCCAGCAGGACTGAGTTTGAGAGTGTGGAGAAACTGGAACATGGTAGAGAATAAATTCTTGATGCCTCTGGCACCCTTCCCTGTAATCTTTCTCCCTGTCGTCTCCGACTGTGAAGGTAATAGAAAAGAGCGTGGGCTGTGAGTCAGATCTAGATTTGAATTTTGCTTTTCCTATTCACTGGCTAGGATATTTTAAATGGGTCACTTAATCTCTCTACACCTCAATTTCCTCTATGTAAAAGAGGGATAATAATAGTGCCTGACTCGGGTGAGGGGAGCCAGGGATGGGAGACTACTGGGCTGTCCTGAGCAGAGACATATTTAAGAGAGTAGTGAGAAGTTTATGTTGGTTGGGTAGGACCAGTTTATAAAGGGCACAGGATTTTTATTGTAAGTCAGAAAGTGATATGAAAGAAGTGACATTTTTAGAAGATTAATCTAGTAGTAGTATGCAAAGTAGATTCACAGAAAGAGAGCTAGTGCTGGATGTGGTGGTGGCACCTGTAGTCCCAGCTACTTGGGAGGTTGAGGTGGAGTTCAAGACCAGCCTGAGCAACATAGTGAGACCTTGTCTCTGAAAAAAGAAATAATTTTTTTTTTTAAGAGAACAAGGAATCAGGAAAGCTCTGTTAGGAGGAATTTTAAATAATTTAGTATGAGGTGACAAATACCTGGGGTGGCAGAGGGAACAGAAAAAGAAACAGGGAGATGCATTTCAGAGAAAAATGGACAGAAAATGGTGATTGATTGCCTGTGAAAGATGAAGGAATGGATAATAAAAAATTACTTCAAAGTTCCCTGGCTGGGTGGCATGGCTCAAGGCCAAGGTAAGAGGATTGCTTAAGGCCAGGAGTTTGAAACCAGCCTGGGCAACATTTCAAGACCTTGTCTCTCCAAAAAAAAAAAAAAAAAAAAAATTAGCCAAGCATGGTGGCATGCACCTATAGACCTATAGTCCCAGCTACTACTTGGGAGGCTGAGGTGAGAGGATTGCTTGAGCCTAGGAGTATGAGGTTACAGTGAGCTATGATTGTGCCACTGCACTCCAGCCTGGGGGAGAGAGTGAGACTGTCTCTTAAATAAATGAAAATGAAAACTCCTGCTGTTTCATAATTTTCTTTTTTAATTTTTGAAAATATACTTACCAAAAAGATCTAAAAGCATGCTTTCTGTTCCTAAGAGTAATGTCCACTCATTGTTAGAACTTCACGTAGTACAGAAATATAAAACTTATAAAGTAAAAATCTCCCATAATCCCACCACCCACATATAATCACCCCTAACAGTTCGGCATGTGTTCTTCTAGATGAAATGTTTGTTTGAAAGTTCTGAAGAACCTGATTTCAGAGTGTAGTAGCGGCCATTGTGCCTCTTTGTTTTGGGGTTACTCGACTTGATAACACTTCTCATTTTTAATTTTAATCACCTAATCTCATAACTAATTGTAGGCATAATTAGTTACACATTTTGTGGTTGAGTCCCACAATTGCTCAGGAGCCTTCAGCTGTGCATCTTTGAAGACTGACCAGGAGACTTTTGCTCTGAGTCTTGGCCTTCTTCCAGTGTAATCAGGGAGCTTTTGATATTCTTTCTGTGTCTTGTCAATCCCTTTCATTACATGTACTTTTCTTACTTTTGGGAACATTGCTTTGGGTTTTCTTCATTTCTTTTAATATTTTTGATTTGACTATCAGATGACTGCTCTTGCATTCTAAGATAGCAGAACTTTTAGGTTAAGAAGATTTAAGTCAGCTCTCATTGTGTGATGTGTTAAATAAAGCATGCTTGCTGGTGTTTAGTGTCTGATTCAAAGTAGACGTTGTTTCATCTCTTACGTGATGCAATTCAGCATGGGGTAGACGTCTCTATTATGAAAAAAGCGTGAAGGAGTTTCCCTTCTAATTTGTAATTAAGGATTTAGTGGCTATCAGATGATCAAAGATTGGTTTTGATTTTTCTTATGTGTCAAATAAGGTTTAAGAATTGGAGTCTGATGGAAATATCATTTTGACTAAAATGCATAGAGTATAAAGAAGACCACTGGAAATCATAAAGGAGGCATTTTCTACATTGCCACTCCCCTTTTAAAAATATAACTGACTTATAAAATCATCTCTGATATTGTAGCCACTAATGGGGGCTGAATTTATTCAGAGGAATGCAGAAGGGAGGTGTAAGAAATCCATTTTCTTTTGTTCATTGAATTTTGGACTTAACTTTGAGAGAACCTGAAGAGAGTTTGATGATAATACATTTTCCTCTCCTTTGATCATTTTTATCTTTCAGTTTAGGGAGTTAGCCCCCACAGACTACAGCATCTTAAAAGAGTTGTTATTTTTGCTAAGTCCAGAACAAGGAATAACGGTCTTACAAGCATTTCAGCAATACTTTGAACTTTGCAGCCTCTATTTATCATCTTAAGAGATTTTGAAGAAAAAAGAATACATAGCAGAGATGCCACCTTTAGCCTAGGCTGTATGTGTTGTTGAGTTCAGACATCCTTGGGAATGTCTGGCAAACTAAGGTAGGCCCACTAGATCTCTAATTGTATGAGTCGCTGAGAGACCTGCAATGGCACTCATCTTAAGAGTCAGATACACTGGTTTGGCCCAGAAACGCACCCTCAGTTTTTGGAGAGAAAGTAGTGATTCGTGGGATAGTATGAATCTGCCACTCAGAGTTGGCTCTCAGTTCAGCCCCTTATATCTGAGTCCAGAAAGCCATGTTGGTAAGCTTTATGAGAAAACTGAAAGAGCTCTTTCATAAAAGCTCTGTGAAACATTTGGGCACAAGTAGTAGCACTGCTCATGTTATTTCTCTAACAGAGCGTAATCCAAAATGTGGGGAGTGGCTGGGCGCGGTGGCTCACGCCTATAACCCTAGCACACTGGGAGGCCAAGGTGGATGGATCACCTGACATCAGGAGTTTGAGACCAGCCTGGCCGACATGGTGAAATCCTGTCTCTACTAAAAATACAAAAATTAGCTGGTCATGGTGGCACAGTTGATAGCTCAATGAAGGCTGTGGAATGGGGGCTTTCAGGTTTGGTTGCCTGAGCCACCAGTCGTTCTGCTATGACATGGACAGGACCACAGGTGGCAGGAGGAGGAGGCCATAATGGTCGGGGAGACTTCTGCTCTGTGTTGAATTCCATAGCGTAGGATGCCTGAGTCGGCCCGAACTGGAGTCACAGGTATACCTCAGAGGCACTGAGGTGGGACCGGTTGTCCTGAGAGCACCCCTGGAACAGCCTAGCCCAGGAAAGGGTCCCAAGTGCACCAGCCATGAACAGACTTTGGAGGCCAACAAGGCCCCCAGTGACCAGGCCATAGGAGACATTGCATCAGAGACCATCAGACATTGGCCATGGCATGCCCAAGGACCAGTGTGGGGATAGGCCTGTTTCCTTCATGGCCACTGAGTCACGTAAACCCCATCCCTCTCTCCCCATGTGCCTGTACTCCTTAGGGAGAAAAGAGAGGGAAAGGAGGATGCCACTAAGAGATGGAAACTTCTCTTTTATTTTTTTTGAGATGGAGTTTCACTGTTGTTGCTTAGGCTGGAGTGCAATGGTGGGATCTCAGCTCACCACAACCTCCACCTCCCAGGTTCAGGCGATTCTCCTGTCTCAGCCTCCTGAGTAGCTGAGATTACAGGCATGTGCCACCACGCCTAGCTAATTTTGTATTTTTTTTTTTTTTTTTTTTTTTTGAGACGGAGTCTCGCTCTGTCGCCCAGGCTGGAGTGCAGTGGCGTGATCTTGGTTCACTGCAACCTCAGCCTCCCAGGTTCAAGTGATTTTCCTGCCTCAGCCTCCTGAGTGGCTGGGACTACAGGAGTGTGCCACCATGCTCAGCTAATTTTTGTATTTTTAGTAGAGACGGGGTTTTGCCATGTTGGCCAGCCTGGTCTTGAACTCCTGACCTCAAGTGATCCTCCTGCCTCGGCCTCCCAAAGTGCTGGGATTACAGGCGTGAGCCACCACGCCTGGCTGAGATGGAAACATTTCTAAAGAGATTGCTTGCTTTAAACCAATTTGAATATTTAATTTAATTTTGTTTTTGTAGAGATGGTGGTCTTGCTGTGTTGCCCAGTCTGGTCTCAAACTCCAGCCTCAGGCAATCCTCCTGCCTAATTTTTTAAAAGTTATTTTTTCCTATGTAATCAGCATGTGGTGGCTTGTGAAGGAAGGTTAGCTGTGGACAAAAATAAGGGAGCATATTCATTCCCTGCCCATTTGAACGTCAGGTTAACTGAGTTAAGTTTGTGTCCTATGTCGGTAGGTACTGTGATCCCAAACTCTGCGCTTTCTTTTTTTTTTTTTGAGACGGAGTCCTGCTTTATCACCCAGGCTGGAGTGCAGTGGCATGATCTCGGCTCACTGCAACCTCTGCCTCCCGGGTTTAAGTGATTCTCGTGCCTCAACCTCCCAGATAGGTGGGATTACAGGTGCCCAGCACCACGCCTGGCTAATTTTTGTATTTTTAGTTTCACCATGTTGACCAGGCTGGTCTTGAACTCTTGACCTCAGGTGATCCGCCTGCCTCAGCCTGCCAAAGTACTGGGATCACAGGCACAAGCCACTGTGCCCAGCCACTGCACTTTCTTTTCCTTGGGGAACACTGTATGAGGAAACTAGGTGTATTATACTTTGGGTCAGAGGAAGAGAACTCTTAATTTTTTTTTTTTTTTTTGAGACAGAGTTTCACACTGTTGCCCAGGCTGGAGTGCAATGGCATAATCTCGGCTCACTGCAACCTCCGCCTCCCGGGTTCAAGCGATTCTCTTGCCTCCGCCTCCCAAGTAGCTGGGATTACAGGCACCTGTCATCATAGCTGGCTAATTTTTGTATTTTTGTAGAGATGGGGTTTCACCATGTTGGCCAGGCTGGTCTTGAACTCCTGACCTTAAGTGATCCACCTGCCTCGGCCTCCCAAAGTGCTAGGATTACAGGTGTGAGCCAGCCACCACACCCAGCCGAGAACTCTAATTTCTGTAGGAAACTTAGGCAAGACACCCTGAGTTGCTAAGAACCTTTTATGCATTTTCTGTGGTTGTGCCTAATCTGGATGATGATAATAGTCAGTTCATTATCTTTTTGTTGTTTTTTTTGATACAGGGTCGTGCTGTTTGACCCAGGCTGGTGTGCAGTGGTGTGATCATAGCTCACTGCAGCCTTAAACTCCTGGGCCCAAGCAATCCTCTCACTTCAGCCTCCCGAGTAGCTGGGACTACAAGCATGTGCCACCATTCCTGGCTAATTTTTTTATTTTTTATTTTTTTGTAGAGATGGAGTCTCACTATGTTGCCCAGGCTGGTCTTGAACTCCTGGGCTCAAGCGACTCTCCTACCTTGGCCTCTATTAAAATATCTTAAGCCTAAAACTCATTCCTGAATTCCAATCTGGATAGGCTTCTGCCTACAGGACCTCCCCACTTACTGTGTTATCCAGTCCCTGTTTGTTCTCAGGCTCCCATGGTACAATGAGGGATCCTGGAGGGCGGGGATTTTGTGCAATCATTTCGTATCTCAAGGCAGGCCAGTGCTAGGCACATAATAAGTCTCAGTCATAAATACTTGTTGAATGAACGAAATTCTCAAAGCCATGTTTTTAAAAACTTCTAATAATTTTATGATTATTATAATTTGATTCTTTCCAGGAATGTAGGTAAGTGAACATTTGTATTGCTAAGAGGTCTTGTGTACACGGTGCTGACCTTTCAGTTGGTTCTGAATGTTTTAAATTTTTTCGTACTTCTGAGCAAGCCTCAATGACTGAACACGTGGCCCTCAATTTGTCTTCTTCAGTTTAACCTCCTTAAAGGTGGGGCTTATGTTTTGCTACATATAGTACAGTGATATGGGAATCCTAATACATGTAAGAAATATGAAGTACTAGTTTGATATAGTTTGGATATTTGGCCCCACCCAAATCTCATGTTGAATAATGATATGGTTTGGCTCTGTATCCCCGCCCAGTTCTCATGTCATATTGTAGTTCTCAGTGTTGGAAGGGGGGCCTGTTGGGAGGTGATTGGGTCATGCGGGCAGATTTCCCCCCTGGGTGCCATTCTCATGATAGAGTTCTCATGGGATCCAGTTGTTTAGAAGTGTGTAGCACCCCCCCAGTCTCTCTCTTCCTCTTGCTCCTGGCCACGTGAGGTCCCAGCTCTCCCTTTGCCTTCTGCCATGATTGTAAGTTTCCTGAGGCCTCCCAAGAAGTCAAGCAGTTGCCACCATCATGCTTCCTGTACAGCCTGCAAAACCATGAGCCAATTAAGTCTCATTTCTTTATAAATGGGGATGGATTCCTCATGGCTTTGTGCAGTCTTTGTGATAGTGAGTGAGTTCTCGTGAGATCTGGTCATTTAAAAGTGTGTTGCACCTTCCTGGCCCTACTCTCTCTCTTGCTGTTGCTTTCGCCATAGGAGTGCCTACTCCTGCTTTGCCTTCGGCTGTGAGTAAAAGCTTTCTGAAGCCTCCCCAGATCAGATGCTGGCACCATGCCTTCTGTACAGCCTGCAGAACTGTGAGCCAATTAAACCTCTTTTCATATAAATTACCTAGTCTCAGGTATTTCTTTATAGCAAGACAGGAATGGCCTAATATAGAGTTTTTAAAAAGTACTCTGTGAATACTCAACTATTAATATGATGTATTACTAGAGTAATGCTTCAGAAAAAAACCTGGAAGGAAATACACCAAATTGTTAACAGTTGTTGTCTTTGAGTAGTGACAGTGAGTAGAGTATATTTCACTTTTTTGCTGTTCTGTGTTTTTCAGTTTTTTCTGTAGTTTATTATTACCATTATTGTTTTTTAGTGGAAATCACTGAAGAATAGGTTATCCTATTAGCAGAGCAGTAGAGCATAGTGCAGTCTCTACAAGCAGACAGACTTGTACATTTTAACATCCTTAGTTTCCTCATCTATAAAATGAGACAATAATACAAAGGGTAAGTGTACTAATATACCTGTATTCTAGATCACTCTTGATTGCTAGAGGTGGAATCCTACTTCAACCAGCTGAAGCAAAAAGGGAAATTTATTATCTCATATTACAAGCAATTCAAAGGGCCCTGATGGTTCCAGGGATTTCAAATGATGTTTCATTTCAAATGATGTTCCACCTTTCAGCATCCTTTGGTGTTTTGGCTCCATTTTCAGACCAGTTTCCTGCCAGTGACTGGGAAACAGATGGCTAGAGAGTCCCAGGTTTACATCTTTAAAGGAAAGTATACCTTGAATTCTAAATCCTTATTTAGGAAACTTGATTGGCTTTGCAGGACCCAGGTTGTCAACTTAAAAATCACAAGATCTATAAATTTGGAAAGGAGAACTTTATTTCTTATAAAGGGTTGCAGCCTGTAGCTGGCTATCTTGCAGGCTGGGAAACGTAGCCTCTGGCAGAAACCAAAAGCAGGCACTTTGAGGGAGGGAAGGGTGGAATGAATTTATGCTGAATTGGTTGGTTAAATATCCATATTCAACAGGTTCTAGCAGGAGCTATGAATATTCACGAAGGGGGGGATGCATGCATGCATAGTAAGCAAACATGCATTACGTATGTCCCATGTACACTTTGGGTGGAGACTTAATATTTATTTTATTTTTTGAGATGGGGTCTCATTGCGTTACTCAGGCTGGTCTTGAACTTCTGGGCTCAAGCACTGCTCCTGCCTCAGCTTCCCAAAGTGCTGCAGTTACAGGCATGAGCCACTATGCCCAACTGAGAGTTAGCATTTAAATGAATTAAAATTAGGCTCTCTGTGTCAAAAGGTGAAATGGAGGACCCAGAGCCATCCTGTGTCCAGCCAGAAACAGTGCACAGTTGGTGGCCTCTTATCAGGAAGGAATGTGGGTTAATTGTGTTGGAACTGCAAAAAGGAGGGGAGTCCAGTGAAATCCATGGAGCAAGTCTTTTGAAAGGGCTGGTTTCTGTTTAACCCTTAGGAAAGAAAGCCTAATGGCAGTTAACAAGGTAGCAGGTCTAATGAGGGGTGTCTGAGCTCCTGTCCCATCATGAGTGGCCCAATTTTTAAGGTTTCTCTCTGGGGTCCCCTTGGCTAAGAATAGGTTCATTCAGTCAGTTCAGGGGCTTAGGATTTTATTTTTATTTCTCAGTGGCCATCCCTGAACTAACCACTGTGCCTAGGAGAATGGAGTTCTCTGTGCCTAGTTTGCGATCAGCCTGGGAATGGGGAAACTGTCATGGATTAGCTCACCAGGATCACTTGAAATAGGGAAGGACAAAGGGGGTGCTGTCACCAAAAGGGGGAATGAGTGCTGGGCAGGCCAAAACAAGTCTATCCTGTGATATGAAGAACTTAACACAATTGCTGGAACATAGTAAGAACCTAACAGACGTTAGACATGGTTGTCATTATAGTGTAGGGTTATCATCATTATATTTTATAACAGGTTATAAGAATTTCATACTTTTGTCTGGGCATGGCGGGCCATGCCTGTAATCCTAGTGCTTTGGGAGGCCTAGCTGGAAGAATTGCTTGAGCGCAGGAGTTCAAGACCAGCCTGGGCAACATAGTGAGACTTCATCTCTATTAAGAAAAAAAAAAATCATACTTTTATTTCCTGGTATTTGTATTTATGTAACCCAGTAGAATAAGAGTTGAAATTCACTTTTGTATGTACAATTTCTTTATCCTTGTCTTTTGCCTTGGGTGTTTTTGGTTTATGAAAATTGTGTTTTTTGGCTGGCCATGGTGGCTCATGCCTGTAATCCCAGCACTTTGGGAGGCTGAGGTGGGTGGATCACCTGAGGTCAGGAGTTCAAGGCCAGCTTGGCCAAAATGGTGAAGCCCTCGTCTCTACTAAAAATACACAATTAGCCAGGCGTGGTGTGCATGCCTGTAATCCCAGCTACTTGGGAGGCTGAGGCAGAAGAATGGCTTGAACCTGGGAGATAGAAGTTGCAGTGAGCCGAGATTGTGCCACTGCACTCCAGCCTGGGTGACAGAGAGAGACTCCATCTCAAAAAAAAAAAAAAAAAAAGAAAATTTTGTTTTTTAAAAAAACTCCTGTTTCTAAAATGTATTTATGATCATTTTCATTTTTCCCATGGTTAATTGTTACAGAAAGACCTGGTTTGTTTAAAGAGGTTTTCCTTGTTTTATGCTCGACACAAGCGATGACTGTATGTGTTGGCCTTGGATACCTACCTGCTTGTTATTCCTCTTGTTGTCATATTTCATTTAGCTGCAAATTAAAAAGAACTGAAAAAATTACAGCAATTTCTAGTTCATATCCAGGAAATGGAACTCTCCACAGGAACCTTTGCATGGTACAAATATGTTAGAAAATCACTTTCCATTGTGCTTTGAGAGCCTGTGAGGCCGTCACATTGGAGCACAGTTCACCTATCTTGGATGAAACCCAGAGAGACCGTGGTGTGTAGACTGCAGGAAACCTCCCATCTGAAGAGTTAATTTTCTTTCAGAATCTGTGTTAGAGGCTGCTGAGATTAAAACACGACACTTTAAGATTGGTACAGGAACACTTATAACTGTTGACGATAAAAAGAAAACCCAGGAGGTCAGACTCAGCCTTGGGAGTTACTTTGGTTTGAGCCTCATAAGACCTTTATTTTGAATTTTCCTCTTCTTTGATTATGCATGCTTTCTGCTTTAATAAAAAGAATTCATTAAATTAACATAAATAAGCAAACAACTAGTTTAGTCTCTTGAATATTTTAAGATGTCTTGAGGCTACTTTTGTTTTTGTGGCTGTTGGGGATCAGAAAAAGTATGATGCTTTTGGCCTGCTGAGTGCTTTGAACTAAAGGAGAGCCAAGGTCTCTCTGACCTTCTCCCACCCCCAGTCTCTTGTCCTTCTTTCCCTCTCTAAGCTGTGGGAGTGGCTTTCTCTGGAGTTTCCTTATCTGACTAAGGGAAAGTTCCTCCAGGAGGAATGTAATTGTCATGAGCCCTCTGCCTATAATCTCATCAAACAGCAAAGACTAACTCACAGGAAAGGAGACTAAAAAGGTCAGTACTAAAAAGGTCAGTACCTGAGAGACTTTATCTGTATAACGAGACAGCCTTTGTTCATTATGTGTTTCCTCTCCTCAACCTCCTGTAACCTGTTGCCATCATCACCCCCTAGAAACCCCAACCTCCATTTCTTTCTTTTTTTTTTTTTTTTTTTTTTGAGATGGAGTCTCACTCTGTTGCCCAGGCTGGAGTGCAGTGGTGTGATCTCGGCTCACTGCAACCTCTGCCTCCCAGGTTCAAGCGATTCCTGTGCTTCAGCCTCCCAAGTAGCTGGGACTACAGGCATGTGCCACCACGCCCAGCTAGTTTTTTGTATTTTAGTAAAGATGGGGTTTCACCATGTTGCCCAGGCTTGTCTCCAACCCCTAAGCTCAGGCAATCCATCTGCGTTGGCCTCCCAAAGTGCTAGAATTATAGGTGTGAGCCACCATGCCCAGCCCCAACCCACTATTTCTTTCTGTAGCTCAGGATACTACATAAACTTCAACCATCTGGACTTGAATCTACCTTTGCAAAAATTATGTCAGTGAGAAAATTATGGCAGTGAGGAGATCTGATCTGGCCAGTGCCCCCGCCTCTTGCCATTAGCTTTCAGCCTGCCTTAATTATTCCTTGGTTTAGGCTGAGCTAACTTTGGAAGATGTTTAGGTTGTAGTTTAAATGATAGTAGCCCTTCCCTAAAACTCAACCACTGCTAATAGAGACTACCAGGCTAGCGGGAGGAGAGGAGTCTGAATTCTGCTAAGGTGTAGACTGGTCACAAGATATGCAACTTCCCCAATTATGCCGGCAGATAACATCACTGTGGTCGACTGGCTTTTTGAGATATCTTTTCAGGTTTTTTTTGCATGTCTGATACCCGTGGCTCCAACTGGACCTAATGGCTCTGTTACAGGAAAGGGATCCCAATCCAGACCCCAAGAGAGGGTTCTTGGATCTCATGCAAGAAAGAATTCAGGGTGAGTCTGCAGTGCAAAGTAAAAGCAAGTTTATTAAGAAAGTAAAGTAGAGAAAGAACAGCTACTCCATAGACAGAGTAGGACGTTCCTGAAAGTAAGAGAAGGAACGCATCCACCCCTAGGTACAATACTCATATATATGGGGAGATGTGCTCTGCTACAAGGGTTTGTGATAAAGGATTAATTTTCTTAATTACTGTATTTTGCAAGAATCAATATTATTATCTTTAAAGCAAAATTAGGAATGCCCTTGTTCTCCAGATATCGGGATATCTGGACACTCCTAAGTCTGGGTCTGTTGGGTAAACATTATTAATTCATTCCCTTAACCATAAACATCTAGACGTTAGGAATACCTAACTTTCTGGGAATGCAGCCCAGCAAGTCTCAGCCTCATTTTCCAGCTCTCACTCAAAGTGGAGTCGCTCTGGTTCAAACACCTCTGACAGCTCCACCTGGACTGCCAAACCGCTCCTGTGGCCCCACACAGGAGCAGCTCAGCTCTAGAGGACAGCATCTGGCCAAGTGAGGTGGCTCATACCTGTAACCCCAGCACTTTGGGAGGCCGAGGTGGGCCTGAGGATCACCTGAGGTTGGGAGTTCGAGACCAGCCTGACCAACATGGAGAAACCCCGTCTCTACTAAAAATACAAAATTAGTTGGGTGTGGTGGCGCATGCCTATAATCCCAGATACTTGGGAGGCTGAGGCAGGAGAATTGCTTGAACCCAGGAGGTGGTGATTGTGGTGAGCTGAGATCACACCATTACACTCCAGCCTGGGCAACAAGAGTGAAACTCCATCTCCAAAAAAAAAAAGAAAAAAGAAAAAAGGACAGCTTCCACCCACTATGATTTTATCTCTAGCCCAACCAATCAGCAGCAAGCACCCATTTTCTACCCACTTCCATCCCTTCCCCCAAAACTGCCTTTGAAAAACGCCTAACCTACAAGCCTTTGAGATTGATTTGAGTAACAGCTCTGTCTCCCTCGTGGCATGGCCAGCCTCGTGTCAGTTAAACTCTTTCTTTACTGCAATGCCATGGTCTTTATTTGTGCAGCAGGCAGGGAGAGGCTGCCAGGTGGTTTTAGATGTTCTCCAAGTCTCATACTCTGTGGGACCCCCATGCATGTGCATGTAATACATTTTTAAGCCTTTTCTCCTGTTAATCTGTCTATGGCCAATTTATTCCAGAGACTCAACTTATTGCAACTCCAGAGGGTGGAAAGAAAGTTCCCTTCACCCTTACCTTGCCATTCTGATTCTTTTCAGAGCCATGCTTCATGGCTGTGTAAAAATGAAACTTTTTTTTTCTTCTCCGTTTTACTTGACTTTTGGATGTAGATTGATGGATGTAGCATCAAAACAAGAACAAGGTTTGAAAACAGTTGAAGCTCTTTACTTTTTTTTTTTTTTTTTTGACAGAGTCTCACTGTTCCTAGGTGGAGGGCAGTGGCATGATCATGGCTCTCTGCAGCCTCGATCTCCCAGACTCAAGTGGTCCTCCCACCTCAGCCTCCTGAATAGCTGGGACCACAGATGCATGCCACCATGCCTGGCTAATTTTTTGCATTTTTTGTAGAGACAGGGTTTCACCATGTTGCTCAGGCTGTTCTCGAACTCCTAGGCTGAAACAGTCCACCCACTTTGGCCTCCCAGATTCCTGGGATTACAGGTGTGAGCCATTGCACTTGGCTGAAGCTCGTTGTTTTTTTTTTTTTTTTTTTTTGAGATGGGGTTGCACTCTGTAACCCAGGCATGAGTACAGTGGTGAAATCTCAGTTCACAGCTACCTCTGCCTCCTGGGGTCAAGTGATCCTCTCATCTTCCAGCCTCCCGAGTAGCTGGGACTACAGGCGTGTGCTACCATGCCCAGCTAATTTTTTGTATTTTTGGTAGAGATGGGATTTCATCATGTTGCCCAGGCTGGTCTTGAACTCCTGAGCTCAAGCAATCTGCCCGCCTCGGCCTCCTAAAGTGCTGGAATTACAGGTGTGAGCCACTGCACCCCACCGAAGCTCTTTATCTTTCTAAAGACAGAAGTGTTTTCTCCTTTTCTTGTTTTCTTCAAGACATGAAATCAAAGAAGCATTTCTTTTTAATTTAAAAAGCTGAAGCAACAATATTCAATAACAGTTGTTGGAAGAAAAGAAAATCAGCCATAATCCTATCTCAAATGTGGCCACTGGTTTCAGTTTTGTATGTCCCTTCCATATCAGGGCACAGGCACATGTACTTGATCTGGTTGAAGTTGTGTTCTCTAAATGTCTGCAGTTTGTTCCTTATCTCAATAGTCCTCTGCTGTGCCTTCTATTGGCTCCCAGCAAGATTATTGCAGGTATCTCTTGGCTGCTTCCAGCCAGAATCTTCAAGCCATCTTCCACATCGCTGGTGTTCTTTCCTCCCACAAAGTGTAATGCTGATGTGATCTGAGAGATCAAAATAGACGTCCCTTTATCAACTAAGGTCGACCCTAAGGTTAAGGAAACAAAAAGTTACCTGCCGGGCATAGTGGCTCACTTCCGTAATCTCAGCACTATGGGAGGCCAAGGCAGATTGCTTGAGCCCAGGATTTTGAGGGCAGCCTGGGCAACATGGTGAAACCCTGTCTACAAAAAATACCAAAATTCGCCAGTCCTGATGGCATGCACCTGTAGTCCCAGCTACTTGGGAGGCTGAGGTGGGAGGATCACCTGAGCCTAAGATGTTGAGGCTGCAGTGAGCTGTGATTGCGCCTGTGCACTCCACCTTGGGCAACTGAGTGAGACCCTGTCTCAAAAAACAAAACAAAACAAAACAAAACAAAACAAAACCTATGGGTTGAGTGCTCAGGTCCCAGCTGGCATGGCAAATTTCTGAATTCTTATGGTTACAAGAAAACCACACTTGCTAAACTCCCTAACAATAGGAGCTATGAGACCCCTCCTAAGTCTGATTTACAACCCAGACCCCTACAACTCTGGACAGAAGACTGGCCTTACAAACATGCTTTTCTGATAAGCAATTTCAGGCCTTAAGCCAGTTTCAGCCGGCTTATAGAGGAGGCTACGCACCTTTGTGTCCTGTAGTTCACTTTTTGATGTGAATAGCTAAATTCCACCTCATTTTAATGCTAAAACCTCTCCCCAAGGTGAAGATAGGATGTATGTTACATATATGTTTGCCCATTGTGCATGCACTCAGCTCCCCTCATAAATATGTATAGCTTTCCCCAAACCTGCTGAATATGTATGACTCTATTGTGTGATGCAGGCCCTGTAGGGCATAAAACCCAACTTCTTCTTCCCCTCTTTGAAGAGAGAGCACCTTTGGCACATGCTGGAGACTGTCCATCCTTTCCCGGTTTGCAAACTGATATTGCCAATAAAGCTCTCCTTTCTACTATTTGGCCATCCTGGTGATCTTTCGGATGACACTGATATTAATTCCTTAAAATCCTTCAAAACCTTTCCAGTGCCACAGGATAAAATCTGAACTTTAAGAAGGTATCCAAGACTTCCCAACTTGACCTCAACCAACCTTTATGAAACTTATTTCCTACTGGTCTCACCTGCTGCCAGACCCACCTGAAATCCCAATGAATTCAGCTATTTCCAACAATTTGCTTTGCTCTGTGCTAGTTTAGTTGGAACTCCTTATACACCAGGAGCATTCTTATGTCTTTCTCAAGGACTCATTCAGAAGGTTATATTTTCTGTGGAAGCTTTCTCCTTGCCTTCTGCAGGCAGAGTTGGTTCTTCTGTGCTCTGGGTCCTCACAACACTTCGTGCATCTTTCTTTATTAAAAAAATTTGAGATGGTGTCTTGCTATGTTGCCCAGGCTGGTCTTGAACTCCTGGGCTCAAATAGTCCTCCTGCCTCAGCCTTCTGAGTGGCTGGGATTACAGGTGTACATATTTCTATTACAGTACTCATCATGTTTGATTGTAATGGTTCATTTGATGTGTATCTCTTCTGTACTGGGGTATGTGTGAAGTCCAGAACCACAGCTTAGTCATCTTTTTAGCATTCGCACCTAGCAAAAGTCAGACATTGGTCAACTGTATTGTGGAACTTGGGCACTATGTTACACAGTATATCCATAATGTCTTGGCCAATGATGTTTCAGTACACAAAAAAAACCCCATTATTCTGTGTAGTTTCCTACTTCATCCCACATAAAGACAAGACAACCCAAAACAAAGCCAAACTCATATAGAATGAGCAAAGTTCTTTGATTAAAAAATTCTCCTGTCAGAGCATGTAACTTTACATGTGCTCATTGTTTTGAATATAAATGAAATGAGTGGAAATATGACTGCAAAAATATATGGGTTACTGTTGATGAAACCATTTACAACCAAACTGGTTTGTTCTGGGTAGCTGTAATTTTTTCGAAAGGTACTATGTACAATTTCAGGTGTGTGTCAGATACCTCTTCACCCTCATTTCTCTCTTAACACCTTTTATCATAATTTCTGAAGCTCCCTTTTGTAGTTAAGAGTTAAAAGTCCCGAGGCGAGCTCTTCAGAACTCTAACACCTGCTTAGGGCTCAACTGGCAGGGGGAGAAATTGAAAAGCGGTGAAGAGTCTTTTCAGCAAAGTACTTAGCATTTTAAATAGTAGATGTTTGAAAAAAAAAAAAAAGGTAACAATAGTGTTGGAAACTCTTATACCACCCCACGCAGGGAGAGGCGTGTGAAGCTGTTTCGTGGATTCATACATTGAGTTCTCAAAAACCTTCATTTACAGAGATAGTTCCAACTTGATTTTGATCAAATTAAACATCTAAGAAAGTAGACTTTTCCTTGAGCATAGATTTATACTTTCTCCTTTAAAATTCAAACCCCCTTTCTTCTGACATCAAAGAGAGGACTCAAGGCTTTTAGAATCTTATTTCTAATAATATATCCCCCAAAACCCCTAGGATAATGTTTAGAAAATTAGGAAAAGAGTTTTGAAATAATTAAATGCTGGTTCTCATCTGCTATTTGATACTGGGTATAAATACCACATTCCAGCTTATTGACAAAGTTTTCAGAAACTGTGTGTGTGTTTTTAACCCTTAATGATTTCATATTATTGTCATGAATTTCCGGAGATTTTTAAGATTAAGAAGTCTTTTGTGGACTTTTTGAGTTTACAGCTTGTAATTTTTTTATCTTTTTGTTCCATAACTGGAAGAAATGGTTTAATTTTTTTTTTATTCCAGCAGAGGGAGACATCTGACCATGGACACAGTATTGCTGCTTGCCAGTATTCTGTAAGCCCATTTTATCAATATACATAAAAAACTCAATGTTCAAATTAACTAGTTCAATAAGTAATTTAGCTCATTGATTTTTGGGCATATCCTAAGTGCCATTACAAGCTACGGATATTTTAAATGCCATTACCTAATAGAAGGAATGTTTTAAGCACCTTTTATTGATTTTATTACTGCTTTATTTTGCTGTCTTGGTTTAAAATCATTTTAACCACTCCGTAATCAAGAAGAAATATATCGTTGGTGAAATACAGTCAATTTCCTAAAAACCTTTGACATCGTTAAATAAGGAATTACAGTTGTTAAATCATGTCATGCAATAACTGAGGGACAGAGGAGATATAAAATTTGGAGCAGTGGGCAGCTTACCAGTAAGCTGTGCTGACCTCCAGCATTCAGAATCTGCACATGTCAGTCACACTTTGGGTTTGCTTATGGTTTTTACATCAGCAAGAGAGATTTAAAATCTCGGGTAGCAGAGAAGGTGGAAGAATGCTAGCAAAATGTGATCTCGGGACAATTACATTGCTTTTTAAATGACCGCTTGTGACTTTCTGTTAAAATGATTCTCTAAGCAATTTTGTAATTTCATTTGCTTTTCTTGCTAGACTATAGTATATTGATATTCGGCCTACGAGGGGACCAAGGTGCTCACAGGGTCTTTTACCGCTTCCTTCTCCCGCTCATTTGATTTTATATTAGCAGTATGACTGAGCTGATCAGCTGATTAGATGGACAGGGACTATGGTCTATACACTGTTTAATCAAAGAGGTGCAGAAGTGGGTGGTGAGCACTGAAGCTCGATAGGAGCCCACTAATGAGTTGATTGCATTGACATTTGATGTAATTTAACTGTAGAGTGGCAAATATCAATACCTGTATATGATTTGGCAGATGGTTGTTGAACTGTGATTAGAAGTTTAGAATAATTCCCGGTAAAAGAGCACCTGGCAGTAACCCAAGACTGGAGAACTGAGTTCCCCATTAAATGGAATAGGTCCAGAAAGTCAAGTATTTTGATCATTAATAGAATCTTTCGTTTTCTTTTAGCAAATGTTAGCTTCAAGAGGAAATTGATAATTATGCATAGGTCTATTAAATGATCTTAGGGAGAGCTCTTTTCATTCCTTCAAATGAGCTCATATCTACAGTTGTGGCAGTTATTCACTGGCAAGGAAAGAAAACTAGCTAAGATGCTGATAGGCAGCATTTCAAATATATTGGCGATGTTGGAAGCACCTGGATAGCATTAATCTATTTGAGGTTGAAAACCAGATTCAGTTGTAACATTAATGATTATTCTATGTTATTTTATAATTTCAGTAAATATCTTAAGAAATAAGCTGTACTGAGCATCTATTATATGCAAGACACCGTTGTGTAGGTGTTTCAAATATAAAGAACACCAAGATAATGTCCCTTTCCCTCGGAAAGAGGGACACGTACAATGTGCATCCCATGAGACGGTGATCAGGAGCTGTGGCCACATAGATGGGAACAGTGGGCTCCTCTGTGGGAAGAGGACATGTCAGGGAAGGCCTCACCGGGGTGTCATTTGAAATAGATCTTGAACAGTTAAGATGGGCATGAGAGGTAGACTGGCAATACTAAAGCATAATCTGCTTTTGAAAAATTGTGAGTGAGTTTTTAAAAAATAAAGATCTTGTTGGGGCACAGTGGCTCACACCTGTAATCTTGGCAGTTTGGGAGGCCAAGGGGGGTGAATCGCTTGAGGTCAAGAGTTTGAGACCAGCCTGGCCAACATGGCAAAACCTGGTCTCTACTGAAAATACAAAAATTAGCCAGGTGTGGTGGCACGTGCCTTTGGTCCCAGCTACTCGGGAGGCTGAGGTAGGAGAATCACTTGAGCTTGGGAGGTGGAGGTTGCAGTGAGCTGAGATTATACCACTGCACTTCAGCCTGGGTGACAGAGCAAGACTGTCTCAAAAAAAAAAAAAAAAAAAAAAGACCTTCTTTCTTGTTTTCTTTTTTTCATTTTAATTATGTAATTTTAATATACCATTATACATGTGTATAAGAACAATAAAATAAATACAATGCATTGGCCTCCCAACTGAGATACAGAATATTACCAGTATCTTGAAGCCCTGGTGGGCTCTTGGCTAACCGTGCCCTTCTGCACTGCCATTACTTGAAATTATTTAATAATATTCTTTTTTTTTTTTTTTTTAAGACAGAGTCTCGCTCTTTCACCAGGCTGGAGTGCAGTGGTGCGATCTCGGCCCACTGCAACCTCCGCCTCCTGGGTTCAAGCGATTCTCCTGCCTCAGCCTCCCGAGTAGCTGGGACTATAGGCGCCTGCTACCATGCCCAGCTAATTTTTGTATTTTTAGTAGAGACAAGGTTTCACCATGTTGGCCAGGATGGTCCTGATCTCTTGACCTCGTGATCCACCCCCCTCGGCCTCCCAAAGTGCTGGGATTACAGGCGTGAGCCACCACGACCGGCCGACATTATTTAATATTGTTATATCCAGTTGCAAAGCACATGAACATCTGGATCTCTCAAGACCCACAACCCTTTTATTCATTGGTTAAATCCATGCCAGATGAAGTAAAGGAATGGGTGGATGTGTGTCTGGTGAATTCAGACAATGTGGAAAGCTCTTTTTTTGGTGGGGAGGAAGAGGAGTCCCAGATAACCTAAGTTACTGTCAATCTAATTTGAATAAATCAGGAAGTAGTCTGACTTATTCAAATTATAGCTTCTGCTTTACTTTGAGCTTTGTTGTTGTTGTTATTGTTGAGACAGGGTCTCACTCTGTTGCCCAGGCTGGAGTGCAGTGGTGCGATTATGGGTCACTGCAGCCTCAACTGATCCTCCTGCGTCAGTCTCCCAAGTAGCTAGGACTACAGGTGCACACCACCATGCCTGGCTAAGTTTTAAAATTTTTGGTAGAGACAGTGTCTCACTGTGTTACCCAGGCTAGTCTTGAACTCTTGGCCTCAAGCTATCCTCCTGCCTTGTCCTCCCAAATTGTTGGGATTACAGGCATGAGCCACTGTACGTGGCCCACTTTGAGCTTTATAGCTCTTTGTCCAGTATATCCAGATTGAATGACTAAACTAATAACTAATCCCAGTGTGTTGTGGTGGAGCCACATATGTTGCTATGGAGACTCAGTGACGATTTTCTTGCATATAGACTTCCATATCAGCATGGAATAGTCATCTTTAAGCTTGGCAACAGTATTTTCAGACTTACTTTTTAATTTGGCTGATGGCCATGCTCTCCTCCATCCACCCCCATTTTCATTTTCTACATTTCATAGGATTGATAAGTGAATATCTTTTTGTTGTTGTTGTTGTTGTTTTTTGTTTTTTTTGAAACAGTCTTGCTCTGTCACCCAGGCTGGAATGCAGTGGTGTGATTATAGCTCACTGCAGCCTCAACCTCCTGGTCTCAAGCGATCCTCCCACCTCAGCCTCCCAAGTAGCTGGGACTACAGGTGAATATCTTTTATATTACAGGTAATGGTTTGTTGAAAGAGTGGAACTCCACAGTATATAAACAAGCTGTTCTCTCCCTTCCTGTCAAATCCACTCTGTGGGCCAGTTTTTCCCCTGTCTCTAGGTGAAATATCAGGTGCATCTCTTAGCTTTTACAGCCTCTTTTAGACTTAAGAAAATACACACTGGTTGTTTGTAGCCATAGAATGATCCAATTTGTGTAATAAAAAAATGACCAGTCCAGGTCATATTCTGACCTTCATTCAGTGTTCAAGCTGCTCTTCTTCCCAAGGTGGGTATTACTTCAGGCTGATAAGCCTGTAGTAGGGGATGGGGAGGGGTTGACTTCTCCATTTCCCCTCCTGGTGCTTCCCCTCTCCACCATCCCACCACAGGCCTGGAGCTTCAAGGGGGAAGAGAGGAGGGGAGAGGGATAGGAAAGGCTTCCTTGGCAGATCCTATCCTGATTGGCTGGTTGTGTTCTCTGGCCTTGGCACATGCTCAGTCCTGACTCTCTAGAGGCACTTTTGGGTTCCCCTCTGGGAATGGCTGACTGCAGGCCACATGTTTCTACTCTGGCTGCATTCCAGGGTCCAGCTCCTCTTTCTGCGGAGGTGCCCTGAGTTTTCTAGATTGGGATCTCTTTTATTTGTTTGTTTATTTATTTTGTTTTATTTATTTTAAAAGAGGGGTCTCTTTTAAAATGTCCTCCTGATTGCCCTCCTGTTACCTAAGGGCTAATCATACAATTGTTGTGAAGATGAAATAAAATAATACATGTAAAGCACTCTTCCTGGCATGTATTTGTTGAATTAATTAATGAATGGTTTGTTGGGTGCCTTCTCTGTGAGGCAGTTTGCAAGTGCTTTATAAACCTCATTATACACCAGTGCTATGGATTTAAAGGAACTCAGATACATGAAGTTATTTGTAAAGTCACAAAGCTAGAAAGTGGTTAAGCTGAGATTTGCATCCAGCTGTATCCAGTAATAGCGTCTCTGGTCCTTTAGATATGGGGCTTATTGTTCTAAACCCCAGAAAATCTGGTCAATACCCATGGATCCTAGTGTCTGTTCTGTCTTCTGAGTCTCTTTTTTTTTTTTGAGATGGAGTCTTGCTCTTTCACCCAGGCTGGAGTGCAGTGGTGCGATCTCGGCTCACTGCAACCTCCACCTCCCGGGTTCAAGTGATTCTCCTGCCTCAGCCTTCTGAGTAGCTGGGACTACAGGTGTGCACCACCACACCCAGCTAAGTTTTGTATTTTTAGTAGAGATGGGGTTTCACCATGTTGGCCGGGCTGTCTTGAACTCCTGATCTCAGGTGATCCGCCCACCTCGGCCTCCCAAAGTGCTAGGATTACAGGTGTGAGTCACTGTGCCCAGCCTTGTCAGTCTCTTGAGTGTCAAGTGTGCTCTCAGTCTGCAGGGAAGCTCTTTTGGGCACTTTGACTTGACCGCACCTACATGACATCTGGACAGACTTGACTTCCTCGACATGAGTTCTTCACCTCCAGGGACCTTGGCCAGATTTCTACTGGTGAACTCAATTAGATTCAAGGAAATTCATCCTAAGAATCCAGATAGATCCTGGGTTTTCCTGCCAGTATATTATGCTTCAGTATTTCACAGGAGTTCATGGCACATGTGAAATCCTGGGACTCAGAGAACAATCTCGGGATGCAGAGAGATGACAGTGGGGAAGTAACCACACGTCTGTCTCTTGCCTCTATTGGTTCAAGAAAAGGCACCAAGTTTTACCCACTAAAGTTCTGTGATGCTGACTGCGACAGAGGACTCCGGAGCAACCTGTTCAGATTGGCCATCTCAGCAGAGGGGCCTGGAAGAATACAGATTCTTGTTCATTCTTATTTACGTGGAATTGTGGGTTAAGAAAATCTGCTTTGGAAAGAATTGGCCAGAAATAGACTAGGATAAGGCAAACCATGGAAAGGAAACAAAACCACTGGAACATTAGACTTAATTTGTTTCAGTAAAGTGTTGTTTAATGAAATCCTAATGTTCAAGCTTGGCCCTTCATACACTGCTAGGATATGTAGACTTAATCAGAATTCTGTAAAAGTCTACATTAAAATTAGCTAGCGTCTTGCCCCTTTAACTTTATGCCTGCCAAGCAGCAAACTTCCACAAGTAGATAATTTGAAAGCCTGACTTTTATTTGCTCTTGCTGCTTGGGGCAAAATGAAGTTGAACCCCAGATTGTAAACTAGCCAATTTCTGTTGTACAGACAGTTATTCAGCCAATTTATGTGGATTACTAACCCTTCTTTACTCTGCTGTGGCAATATTGTCAGGAAAATGCATTCAGAGTTCTTACTTTGTGAACTGTAAAATGAGTGGGGTCTTGTGAGAAGAATACTGACTCTAGTCCTGTTTTTGACTCTATGGAGGATTTAGCAATAATCAGAAAAAGACGTTCCTTACTTTTTGTGTCTCAGCTTCATCCCCCAAGAAAGTACAAATAATAAGACCTGTCCTTTAGGATTTTGTAAGGCTGTTATGGCAAAGTATTTTGAGCTCCTTGGAGAAAAAGCTATTCAGTAAGATAGCATTGTTAGTCCTGTTAACGTCAATTATATTCTGAAATATGATTTCAGAATTTCAGGATCCTGGGACCTGAGATTGAACCGGCAGCTGATCAATTCTGTGGAATTTAGAGTTCTTGTTCTCAGCACTGAACCAGAATTTTCTTTGGCAAAAGAGGGAAAGCATACAATTATGGTCAGAAACATAATAATAAATCTACTGTAACAACCTTCTTTCCACCACATATCTTTGCTGGTATTTATCTGAATATCCAGCTTATAAAAACAAGAAGAGATTGTCATTTCAACAGCACCAGCAACTCTGTGAGTACACAAAGCCATTTAAGCTATGATCTCTTTCTATTTTTCCAATGTGCATGTCTGAAAGGGTTTTCTTTCTTTTTGTTTTGAAAATTAAAGAAAGGAAACAAACAGTTAAAAGTATAGAAGGTCTACCCGTGCTGCTTTTTCTACACCTTGAGGACTAGCAAAATCTTTAATATGAGACTTTATTTGTACAAAGCAAAACTTCAAAACCACTCAAAAGCTTTTCTTATTAACTGCTGTCAGTCCTGTGATTTACAGAGGCAATAAAGAACTAGAGGGGGCACATTTATCATGGAGTTCTGCACACCAGGAGCCATTTTCTCCAGCGGTAAAGGCAAGTGATAAAACGAATTCTTTTGTTCTATAACCAAGACACATTCCCTGTTCTCTAAACTTGGGCACACCAGGCTGCTCTAGTGGCAGCCTGGCACTGCCCCATCCACACTGAATGATAAATTGTTAGCACAAAAACATTGATAGAACACCTAGAACACCTGGCTGTGAACAGTGCGATGTGCTTACCTTCAACACACAATAGTTAGCCGCCAACATGTTGGTACTATGAATTTCCAGTCTACTTTGAATAACACATTGTGTATGGGCTTTTTTTTCATATTGGAAGAGAAGGGAAGGGAATGTTAAATAGTGTGAAGGGTTTTGTTTTGTTTAGTAAAGATCATAACATTTAAATTTTGAATCCCGATTTTCTTGTGGTAGCAAAGAATGCCTCATCTGAATTTTGATGTGGGAAAGCAAAACCAGTTCTGGTATACATTTTTTCAATTCACTTTGTATTTGATTTTGAGTTTGTGTTATGTGTTTTAGGCAGGCAGGTGTGATGCACAGAGGTGCTTTTAAGCTGTCTCTGAGCTTTGATTACACATTTGTGAGTTTTTGAAATGAATTAGGCAGGCTTTGAGCTAAGCTGGACATAAAAGCTACAACAGTTTTGCTGTTTGGGAGACTTGAAAAATGGAGCATTTTTTAATATTCTGTAACTGAGTACATCCATCACCCAGTCGTATTTATTAAGTACTCACCTATGCATGACAACGTGTCAGGCACAAAGATTACTGTAAAAAATGCCAATTATTTGGAACCAGAGACAATGGTAGTGTTTACACTTAGGAGAAAATGAACACAAATGTTAAATTGTGAATGTTATTCCTAATGGGGCAAATTATGGAGTTAATTTAGTCTCTGAAAGAGACAAGCATGGTCAAGTAAAATCTCTTGACATGTCCCACTTATGCAATAATTAACTCTGCTCCTCGTTGGTGTCTTAATGAAAAATAATATGTTCCAAAGAGAGAAGTAAGGCAGAAGCTATTAAAAATCCAGGAAAAGAAAATTCAGATTGGGTACTTTTGTGACTTCTTGGCCATTCTTATAAACTTTTGGCTGGGAAGGAATTTGGAACAGTGTTATGTGGGAGTTTCACTTATCCATCCATTCTTTGCAGTGTATAATTTAGTGGTTAAACTTATTCTCTTTCTTCTGTCACTATCAGTTTCTTTTCACAGGAAGGGAAGTAGGTCCTTCTGTCAGTAATTTGGCAAAAGTGCTGAAAAGCCCATTATTCCTGTTGGAGAGAAAGCAAACCACCCCTGGTATGTGAGGACCTGGCAGGCTTCATAGAGAGAGATGAGTCCAAGCAAGCAGCTTCGAGTGAGAGATAGGTTTTTATTCTCCAAGAGACACTGAGCATCAGACAGTCTTGTTTTTTTTAGAGAAGGGTCTCACTCTATCGCCCAGGCTGGAGTGCAGCAGTGCGATCATAGCTCATAACAGCCTTCAGCTTCTGGGCCCAAGTGATCCTCCCACTGAAGCCTCTCAAGTAGCTAGGACTACAGGCACATGCCACCATGCCTGGCTAATTTATTTTTGTTTATTTATTATTTTTGTAGAGATGGAGTCTCACAATGTTGCCCAGGCTGGTCTCCAACTCCTGGGCTCAAGCAATCCTCCCATCTTGACCTCCCAAGGCACTGGGATTATATGCATGAGCCCCTGTGCCTGACCTAGACATTCTTCTTCAACCTGCTAACATTTTCTCAGAGTAGAGTTGTCCTCCACCTCCGCCCCTGCCTTTAAAACAAATTTGTTGCTATAGAAGACACAGAATGGAGAAGGAAAAAAAAGCCAAATCATTTGAATAAAGTAGTCATAGTTTATGGATTTTGTGTTGTGGACTCTGTACATTGGGAAGGGAGTGCATAAAGGATGGGGAAATTGAACGCTTTGTTTCATGGTGCACTTCTTTTTTTTTTTTTGAGCTGGAGTCTCACTCTGTCACCCAGGCTGGAGTGCAGTGGTGCAACCTTGGCTCACTGAAACCTCCGCCTTCTTTCTTCAAGTGATTCTTGTGCCTCAGCCTCCCCAGTAGCTGGGATGACAGGCATGCACCACCACGCCTGGCTAATTTTTGTATTTTTAGTAGAGACAGGGTTTCACCATGTTGGCCAGGCTAGTCTCAAACTGCTGGCCTCAAATGATCCACTTGCCTCGGCCTCCCAAAGTGCTGGGATTACAGGCGTGAGCCACTGCTCCCGGCCTGTGGTGCACTTCTCTTTTTTTTTTTTTTTTTTTTTGAGACTGAGTCTTACTCTGTCGCTCAGGCTGGAGTGCAGTGGCGCGATCTCGGCTCACTGCAAGTAGCGCCTCCCGGGTTCACGCCATTCTCCTGCCTCAGCCTCCCAAGTAGCTGGGACTACAGGCGCCCGCCAGCACGCCTGGCTAATTTTTTTGTATTTTTAGTAGAGACGGGGTTTCACTGTGTTAGCCAGGATGGTCTTGATCTCATGACCTCGTGATCTGCCCGCCTTGGCCTCCCAAAGTGCTGGGATTACAGGCGTGAGCCACCGAGCCCGGCCGGTGCACTTCTTATAGTATTTCCTTAACCAAAGGGAGCCACTGTGGAGTATCAGAGGGAAGCATCATTACTAACCTCAGCACATGCAAGCCTAAAGTTTTGGCTAATTTGGATGTCTGGGCACCATTGCAGAAAGACCGTCATAACGATTTGCTATGATTTTAGGTTCATACTTCACTGTTGGAAGGAAGGAAAAACTTTTTACAGAGGCTTACTTTTTTATATGGCTTTGAAGGGACTTGCATTTTATTTCTGACACTTATTGTATTGTAAAATCTCTAGTCTCTGATATTTAAAGGTGGAAACTTTTAACTTTCTCTCTTTTAAAAAAAACAACAGAACTCTAGGGGCTTTTTAGTACTATAGCCTCTCAAATAATCCTAAAGCTTTGAAAAATGAAATACTTTATTTTATGAAGGAGTTTTGGGGTCAATTTTTTTTCCCCTAAAATGTATGCTTTCATGTTGGGTAGTTTAAAGACCAGCTGTTAACTGAAACCAACCGTCAATGAAGTTGCATAAAGTTGTGTTTCCTATTAGTCTTGTATCTTTCCTATTAGTCATTTATGAAAGGATACAGGAATATCTAACGGAACTCCAAACAAAAATTGAAAAAACAGATGTTGAAAGCATATTGGCTTGATGGTTTGCTATTTTTTTTTAAGTAAAAAAGGTTAGTAATTATTAGTGGATTATGAAATAAGGCTTGTTTTGCGAACTTACCACAAAATTGTTAGTAGTAACTTGCAGTTGAAAATTGATGTTTTACTTACTGGAATTTCAGAGGATAAAAAAAAAGAGTTGAAGTTTATGCCTGGGAGCGCCATGGAGGAGGAACTATGACATTTTCAATAGTTGGGCATGTATGAGCCTCTAAAGGTGTGTTTATTATGTTGTCATGGTGAGCAGTGAATTAAAAAAATAACAAGACTGCTCCTTGGGTAGTTGTGACTTATTGGTAGTTATCTTTACAAGAGTTCCATGCTGACTTAAGTAAAGATCTTCAGGGGGAAAGAAAAAAACAAACTTTATTTTTCAAATAAATTCTGCTAAGAGCCTACAGGCTTCCATGACACTGCACTGAATTGTTATTAATGTGCGCTGCTGTGAGAGTAACGTGTGCTGCTGTTTAACAGTAACCCCTTCCTCTGGAATTTCAGAAAAGTGGTAAGAAAATGAGAGGCAGATTTCAGTACTGCTGCTGCAGTGAGTGTGCTGGTTGATGGGCCCAACATTTTTATCATTGGTTGTGCAAGTGAGTGTAGAAAGAGGCCATTATTTGGGGTCAGGTCACATATGGGACTGGTGAAATTGTTGGAGAGACATTTTTGGTGAGCAAAGGCATTGCTCCTGGCTGGGAAAAGCTTTGTTTAACCTCTTGCCTTTATTTTGGGTGCCCCATTTCCGTCCTTCTTCTGGGGGTTATGTGTGGTATTTTTTTTTTCTTTTTGAGACAGAATCTCATTCTGTCGCCCAGGTTGGAGTGCAGTGGTGCGATCTCAGCTCACTGCAGCCTCTGCCTCCTGCGTTCAAGTGATTCTCCTGCCTCAGCCTCCCAAGTAGCTGGGATTATAGGCGCGCACCACCATGCCCAGCTAATTTTTGTATTTTTAGTAGAGACAGGGTTTCACCATGTTGTCCAGGGTGGTCTCAAACTCCTGGCCTCAAGTGATCCACTTGCCTCTGCCTCCCAAAGTGCTGGGATTACAGGCATGAGCCACTGCGCCGGGCCCATATGTGTGGTATTTTTGAAGGCAGTGATGTGATCTTTCAAGGGTCTTCCTTGTTGACTTTAGAAATCTGTTATTAAAACCAAATATTTAGCACATATCATTGTCCTTTTTAAGGTCGATGATTAGCAGACTTGCTTTGAAGTTCATTATTATGATTATAGATGCCTTTTTCAATTGCAGTTACCTTTAAGGTTTCTTCCAGCTTGCATTTCCAAATTTCATCCAGTAATCTTTCTTCCCCTTTCTTTCTTGTCCTCCACTGCATCTTCCAGCCATGATGGACTGTTTACTTTTCTCCAAATGTGCCCGTTAGCACCTTGCCTCTGTGCTGTTGCTCGGGCTGTCTTATGGAATATGCCAACTCCTACCATTCTGTAAGGACCAGATCATATTATATTGCTTCGGAGAATGTTTCCCAAATCCCTGCACACACTTCATGGAATAAAATAGAGATCCTCCCTCCTGAGCCTCCCACAGTGCTGGGATTACAGGTGTGAGCCACGGTGCATGCTCTATTTGTTACCACATATTCTTTATTAACTTATTTAGGAACTTGCCTTCTGTCTTTCCAGGAATAGTGGGCCCTGCAAGTTAGAGGCAGTGTGATTCTTTATTATTATTTTTTCTAAGATGGAGTCTCACTCTGTCACCCAGGCTGGTGTGCAGTGGCACGATCTCAGCTCACTGCAGCCTCCGCCTCCTGGGTTCAAGCGATTCTCCTGTCTCAGCGTCCTGAATAGCTGGGATTACAGGTGCCCGCCACCACGCCTGGCTAATTTTTGTAGTTTTAATAGAGATGGGGTTTCACCATGTTGGCCAGGCTGGTCTCAAACTCCTGACCTCAAGTGATCCACCTGTCTCCCAAAATGTAGGGATTACAGGTGTGAGCCACTGCACCTGGCCAGGCAGTGATTCTTTTTTTTTTTTGGAGATGGAGTCTCGCTCTGCCGCCCAGGCTGAAGTGCAGTGGTGCGACCCGGCTCACTGCAACCTCCGCCTCCCGGGTTCAATGATTCTCCTGCCTCAGCCTCCTGAGTAGCTGGGACTACAGGCATGTGCCACTACGCCTGGCTAATTTTTTTGTATTTTTAGTAGAGACGGGGTTTCACCGTGTTAGCCAGGATGGTCTCAATCTCCTGACCTTGTGATCCGCCTGCCTCGGCCTCCGAAAGTGCTGGGATTACAGGCGTTAGCCACCATGCCCAGCCTGTGATTCTTATCTTTGTATCCTGCCTCTGATCTAGTATAGCACCTAACGTGGTTATACAGTAGATAAATTTCAGTGGTTGGCCGTGCACAGTAGCTCATACCTGTAATCCCAGCACTGCTTGCTTGACACCAAGAGCTCAAGGCTGCAGTGAGCTATGATTGTACCACTGCACTCCAGTCTGGATAGCAAAGCGAGACCTGTCTCTTAAAATTAAAAAAAGAACAAATTAAAAATCAATCCTGGCGGGGCGCGGTGGCTCACGCCTGTAATCCCAGCACTTTGGGAGGCCTAGGTGGGCAGATCACCTGAGGTCAGGAGTTCAAGACCAGCCTGGCCAATATGGAGAAACCCCATCTCTACTAAAAATACAAAAAATTAGCTGGGTGTGGTGGCGCGTGTCTGTAATCCCAGCTACTTGGGAGGCTGAAGCAGGAGAATCGCTTGAACCCAGGAGGCAGAGGTTGCAGTGAGCCGAGATTGCGCCACTGCACTCCAGCTTGGGCAACAAGAGTGAAACTCCATCTCGAAAAAAAAAAAAAAGGAGAAATCAATCCTAGGTTACTGTGGATACTTTATAACATAACATGAAACATTTAAGGAATCCAGAAACCTGTTAATTAGTCATTTAATTCTAATTCTGGTGGGTGGAGTTTAATTTTATTAGGGAGGACTGATGACCATTAGGGTGACAAGTGTCACCAAAGATGATGGCTGATAAGGTTCCTTCTGGTGTACAGTATCTCCTTTGCTGTCTCTGGTGTTTCTGCGATGACTCTGAGTGTACTTTGTGATGGGGAAAAGTTACTTCCACAATCTGAAAGCTGGTATTTTGGAGAATATTTAAAATATTTAAGGCCCATGCATTTTTCAGCTAATCTGTAGTTTTCCACAAATTGGTAGGGATCTTAGAGACTGTTACCACCTCCCCTGGGCAGAAATGTCTTGACGTATATACAGCTACTGTGTACCCACAAAAAAGAAAAAAAAAAAAAAGAAAAAAAAAGAAATCTCTTGATGGACCTTCCTGATTGTGTCTACTTCAACATACCAGTGATGTAGACATCACGCCCCTGACCATCAAGGGAAAGCTGAGAGACGTAAAGTCTCTTCCTGTCATAGTTTCCCCAAGTTTAAGTCACTTTTCTTTTTTTTTTTTTTTTTTGAGACAGGGTCTCGCTCTGTCACCTAGGCTAGAGTGTAGCAGCGTGATCTCAGCTCACTGCATTCTCCGCCTCCCAGCTTCAAGCGATCCTCCTACCTCAGCCTCCTGAGTAGCTGGGACCACAGGCACGCCCAGCCAATTTTTGTATTTTTGTAAAGATGGGGTTTCACCATGTTGGCCAGGCTGATCACGAACTCATGGCCTCAAGCGATCCATCTGCCTCGGCCTCCCAAAGTGCTGGGATTATAGGTGTGAGCCACTGCCCTGCCAAAGTCCCTTTTCCTTTTAAGTATTCTCCTTTTTAGCCTAGGTATTTCTAATTCCCTCTACTACGTGGATTCAATTCCCCACCCAATGTAGTTAATTGGCTCAGAGATGGACACCTCATTAATACCAGTTCTTCCACTCACTGGCCAGTGACCAATCCAATGTTCTCTTTCAGGGTTGGGTGTGGTGGCTCATGCCTGTAATCCCAGCAGTTTGGGAGGCCAAGATGGGTGGATCAGCTTGGGATTGAGTCGAGGAGTTGGAGACCAGCCTGGGAAACATGGCAAAACCCTGTCTTAAAAAAAAAAATTAATGTTCTCTCCCAGGAATCTGACTCAGAGACAGAAACTGTAGCCAGTTAGCAGTGGGAAGCTGAGCTAGAGGGTCACATCGGGTAGGGGCCCAAGTCAGCTCTGTGGCAAGCTGAAGTTGCATGAAAGCTGACACCGAGGTGGAACAGAAGCCACGAGTTATAGGAAGCTGGTTGCAGAGAGCATGGAGCAGACCGCACAGAGAAATTCAGTGGCAGGGAACTCATGCTGTCCCAGAGACAGATGGAGAGAGAGGCTGGGTCAGGCCCCGACGTGGGGCCTCATGGGTGCTGGAACTGGGAAATTTTCCTCCAATGGATCTGTCTTGCTGGTACTCAGCACTGAAGAGGCAGTTCAGTACTCAAGTTAGTCAAGAGGCAGTTCAGTGCTTGTCTCTCGAGGCCACAGTTGTTAAGATGATGGACTCTGGTAGGAGACACAATTCAACCCCTAAGGAGACTGCTGGGATTTGGGTCTTGTCTCTGCCACTTACAACTGTGCAACTTGGGGGAAGTTACTTACTCTCTCTCCAGGCCTTCATTTCCCCATATGTGGAATGGGCACAGTACTAAGACCTGCATCATAACATTGTTGAGGGATCCAACGAATTAACGTGTGGACGGCATTTCACTTGAAATAGTGCCTGACCCTCAAAATGTTGGCAAGTACCATCATTATTTTGTTTTTTGAGACGGAGTCTTGCTCTGTCCCCCAGGCTGGAGTGCAGTGGTGTGATCTCGGCTCACTGCAACTTCCGCCTCCCGGCTTCAAGTGATTCTCCTGCCTCAGCCACCCAAGCCCCTGAGATTACAGGCGTGCACCGCCACACCCGGCTAATTTTTGTATTTTTTTCTAGTAGAGATGGGGTTTTGCCATGTTGCCCAGGCTGTTCTGGAACTCCTGAGTTCAAGCGATCCGCCCACCTTGGCCTCCCAAAGTGCTGGGATTAGACGCGTGATCCACCACGCCCGGCCGTGAATACCATTATTAAAATAGCAATGGGAGTGGAGTGCTTGTTTTAATATCTAAGAAATTATGCAGGCCTTCTTTCTGAATGTAAAATATAGCAGTTGAGACCGTGGACTCTAGCATCTGACTACCTGCCTAGTTTCGAATCACACCATTTGTAGCTTTGTGATGGAAGTTATATAAGCTTCTCATGCCTTGGTTTCTTCATTTATCAAATAGGGATGATAGTAGTACCTACCGCATAGAGTTCCTGGACATTTGGAAAAGAACTTGTATAGCAGGGATCACAAGAAAAAATGTTATTAGCCAGGTATGAAGGCTCATCCCTGTGAACCCAGGGACTTGAGAGGCTAAGGCAGGAGGATTGCTTGAGGCTAGGAATTCGAGACCAGCCTGGGCAACACAGTGAGCTCCTGTTTCTAAAATAAGTAAATAAATAAAATAATTAGTCAGATGTGGTGGTGTGGTGATGTGCACCTATACTCCGAGCTACTCAGGAGGCTGAAGCGGGAGGATCACTTGAGCCCAGGAGGTTAAGGCTGCAGTCAGCTGTGAACACGCCACTGCACTCCAGCTTAGGGGATAGAGCAAGAACACATCTATAAAGAAAAAAAAAAGATAATTCAACTTATTATTCTTACCTTTAGTGACTTTGGCATGTCTTAGGGTTCTCATTATGACATATTATCTTTATGGAGCTATAGAAGACCTGGAAATATTTACTTGGATGAAATTCTGTCTCTTTTCTCCTTGGGAGATCATAGTGTCTCTGATGGTCATCTCCAACCAGTGTAGGGCTACACCAGGAGCCTCCAGAGTAAAGCCAGGAGATGCCTAATAGGCAGCAGAAAGTGTGGC